>NC_000008.11:33496466-33799496 GCF_000001405.40 Homo sapiens
TTTTAAGACACTGCTGGCTCTACACTTAAAAATATTACTCATCAAATTAAGTATTCTGATTTAATCACTGAGGAAAAAGTAATATTCTCCACAGAAAGTGGAACTTCAAGTGTAATATCCAAATGTAGTTAAAGCCAATCTGTGTTTATGTTCTTCAGTATGGCGACATCTACAACTTCCCCATTCATGCCTTCGACAAAGCCCTGGAACAACAGGAGGCAGAGAGTGACTCTTCAGATACTGAGGAAAAAGATGATGATGATGATGATGAGGAAGTAAGTCTTGTTTTTGTTTTGCCAAACCTACTAGATACCATTTGTATAAAACTGAGAAACAGAATATCATCTTCAGTCCGCTAACCAAAAATGATATGTCTTCTTTTTTCTTTCATGTGATTAATTTTGGTTTAGCACTGGTTGCTCTGTTCTTCAGGCTAACCAACAAACCATTAACAATTTTAGTCTTAATTTATTGGTCTTCTAAAATTGTTCCTGCAAGGTGACAAATTATAAAGCCTTTCCTGTCTATATGTAGTTTTTAACCATAATGAGGATGTTTTATTGCTAATAATTTAAATCAAGAATAAGAATGATCTGGTAGCCCTAAAATTTTTAAAATTCAGAAGCATTAAATTTAGAAAGAACTAAATTTTCATTGCCTAGTGAAAAGACTGTGGTTCTCATTATGTTATTTTGTACTTACTTAGATGTCTAATCTGAATCTTCATTATGTATTCTGAACCTAACAGTTATGTTTTATTTATAGGATGTGGGGAAAAGAGAATTTGTCGAAGATGGTGAGGTAGATGAGAGTGACATAAGTGATTTTGAGGTGAGCTTTATGGGTAAAAAGATTGTCCTTTGGCCTGCAGCAAAAAAAAAAAAAAAACAAAAACAGGGAGGTGGCCAGGCACCGTGGTTCACTCCTATAATTGCAGCACTTTGGGAGGCCAAAATGGGAGGATTGTTTGAGCTCAGGAGTTCGAGACCAGCCTGAAGAACATAGTGAGACCTCATCTCTAATAAAAAAAAAAATTTTTTTTTTTAGATGAAGTTTCGCTCTGTAGCTCAGGCTAGAGTGCCATAGTGCAATCTGGGCTCATCGCAGCCTCAGCCTCCCGGGTTCAAGCGATTCTCCTCCTTCAGCCTCCCAAGTAGCTGGAATTACAGGCATGTGCCACTCCACCCGGCTAATTTTTTGTATTTTTAGTAGACACGGGGTTTCACCATGTTGGCCAGGCTGGTCTAGAACTCCAGACCTCTGGTAATCCGCCTGCCTCAGTCTCCCAAAGTGCTAAGATTAGAGGCATGAGTCACAGGGCCTGGCCTAAAATTTTTTAAAAATCATGACCAGGCGTGGTGGCTCACGCCTATAATCCTAGCACTTTGGGAGGCCGAGGTGGGCGGATCACATGAGGTCAGGAGTTCGAGACCAGCCTGGCCAACATAGCAAAACCCCGTGTCTACTAAAAATACAAAAATTAGCTAGGTATGGTGGTGCATGCCTGTAATCCCTGCTACTTGGGAGGCTGAGGCAGAAGAATCGCTTGAACCTAGGAGATGGAGGTTGCAGTGAGCTGAGAGCGCACCACTACACTCCAGCCTGGGCAACAGAGCGAGACTCCGTCTCCAAAAAAAAAAAAAAAAAAAATTAAAATTCAGCTGGATGTGGTGGCGGTTGCCTGTAGTCCCAGCTACTCAGGAAGCTGAGGTGGGAGGATTGTTGACTACAGCAGTTTGAGGCTGCAGTGAGCCATGACTATGCCACTGCACTCCTGCTTGGGCAACAGAGCAAGACCCCGTCTCAAAAAAAAAAAAAAAAAAAAATTAAAGAAAGGGACAATTTCTGAACACAGACATAGACAAATCAATGCCCTAGTCTGTTCTAGATTGAGGGGACAAGGAAGGGAGTTTGGAGAAATCTAGTGTTTTCCCTCTTCCTTTATCTTTTCTCTCCCCGTAATAGGATATGGATAAACTGGATGCCAGCAGTGATGAAGATCAGGATGGTAAATCCTCCAGTGAGGAGGAGGAAGAAAAGGCCCTTAGTGCGAAACACAAAGGCAAAATGCCCTTGAGAGGACCACTGCAGAGAAAACGAGCCTATGTGGAAATAGAATACGAGCAGGAGACAGAGCCCGTGGCCAAAGCCAAAACCACGTGATTTCCCTTTCAGCATTTATACCCAGGACTGAACATGCAGAACTGTTTTTTTTTTTTTTTTATCTTAAACACATACACACCTCCAGTTTTTGCTCTTTTGTGTTGTACTGAACACAATATTTGTGTTTTTATTATTTATGCCACGTCAGTGGGGCAAGAAATCTGGAGTGAGTGAAGAAAGCTAAGTTGTGAACAAGAGTGTTTTTATAGCATATGTGTTGAAGTAACAGCTTGTGCCCGAGAAACTTAACAGATGAGTTCTTGAATCTGGGATGAGATGACGGATGTAAATATTTCTAAATTTTAAATGCTACATTACTTGGTGTCCTTTTTTCTCCCAAACTTTATTTAGAAATGGAAGGAGTTCAATTTTTTCTTGTTCTACTTTCCCTATTCTTATGGAGGTAAAAGGAAAGGAAGGAAGGAAAAAGCAGCTTTCACTTACAAAGTTTCGTGTAAAAATATCTTTTTTTCTTAAATAACTCCATTCATACAAATTGGGATGGGAAGAAAATCCTTTCCTCTTGGGAAAGTAATACAAGTCTTAAGTTCCATTGTAGGGTGCGCCTTCAGAAACCTGCTGCACTTTTCTGATATAGTTCACCACTTTTCTGTCTTCACAGCTTTGGGGAATTTTGGCCAGGAGACCCTGAAACATGAAACCAAACAGGCTTTGATATTTTTTTTTTTTTAATTACTTTCCCCTTTTGCTTGATTCTTCTTCCTTGGTATCATATTCAAAGGAGGAAAGAATGGATGACACTTAGGGACAGGTCACTAAGCAGAATAGGTATTAGTTGGTTTTTTATTATTTTTAAATTTATATAGCTCTCATGTATTGAAGGTGCTACTTTAAAAACTGTGTTAATGTACTTGCAAATCTCCTGCTGGCTCATGAAACAGCAGAATTCCAGCCAAGGCAAATTCAGTTGGATCTAGGGCTTGAAAACTGCCCAAGATTAAAGAGCTAAGATGAAATAGTTTGAATAAACTGGTAAAATAACAATTCATACTATCTCTACATATTTTTAGGATATGAATTTTTTTTTCCTGCTGGGTAGATTGTCCAGTGACTTATGGCATGAATTTCTTTTCATGCTACCTTCAATCTTCAACTAAAGATTTCTAAAAGGGGTAAGAAATGAGGCAGTAGTTTATTAAATACATAGAAGTACACAGCTATTATATGCTGTGGCTTTGAGAAGTTAACTTTTGTGGAATATGAAACCAAAGGAAGAATTTCCATGTAGATAAATTAAGAATAGGGAAAAACATCTACCTAAAAGATGGTTGTCCCTAAAAAACTGGAAACATCTGAAATGCTCTATTTATGTTATTATTCCTGGGAGCTTATAGCCCATTATTTTTACTTTTTTTTTTTAATTCAGAAGACTAGAACAGAACTTAAATTTTACAAACTTTTGATCATAATGCTTTTGCCCATACTGTCTCGTCCTTAGCCCCAGTGACATGTGCTGATCCTCCTGCCTTTAGTTCTAAATGGTTCTGAATAGCTTTAAAAGATGAATAAGAAAAAAGATCAAGCTCTTTTGAGGCTAGAGGGCTCATATGGAGATCTAAAACCCTCCATGTTCATTTCCAGACTTGGTCAGGCACATACATAGTAAATTATAATCAATCATGGGAATTACATAAGGATAATGAGGCCCAACTGAAACCAAGTTTCAGTCTGCCTTACCTTTACCCGTCCTTGAGAACAGCGGTCCAGGAGAATCAGGCAGTCTGTGGCCTCCTGTAGCAGGGCGCTCTTAACAGACTCAGGTGTAAGGTTTGGATCCCTTGCTACATCACAAATCAGTTTCAAGAGGGCCTTCAGTAAGACCACAAGTCTGCAGGAAACTCTGGAATCAGGAAGAAAAGCTATGTTCATACTCTAAATCTGGATATTAAAATTGGAAGAGACTTCAAAGACTGTCAAGTGGAAAGCTATCATTTCCTAAATTAAGGAACTTAGGTCAAAGTTAAATGAAAAAGACCTAAAAACAGAACCAAAGACAGCCTCTAGATTTCTTACCCTCAAGTCTCCTGTTAGCATACTGCCTATACACACAGACACACCCTCTGCCACACTGCTCTCTTCCTTCCAGAAGCTTGGTTCTACTGTAAGCAACAGCTCCTTCATGGGCTGAGAAGGGGAAACCAGGATCTCCCCAACCAAGGGCCTATACTTTTATTTTTCAACTCTATTAACTGAACTATGCTTGGAGAGAGCCCTGAATCCTTTAACTTTAATGCCATCTTAGGCCTGGAAGTTAGAGTGAGGGAAATGAGCTTGGCTTCTGGGACTGTGTCAAGTTGAATTTTCTGTCATTTAATTTCAGATCCTAGCTCATCATCAGTGAAGTCCAGCCTACTTACTTGTAACTATTAACCTTTCTAAAAGTTTTCATCGCCTTGGTAAAGCTCCAGAAATGGACAATGCTAGTGACTGCACAATATTGTGACTGTACTTAATGCCACTGAACTGTACACTTTAAAATGGAAAATTTATATGTATTTTTACCACAATAAACAAAAAACCCTAAAAAAACTTTAATGAAAGGTGGAAAATAATTTAACTTACAATGTGAAAATACAATGTGAAATGTACAATAAATCATATTTATGGACAGATGCGTGACTGGGAGAAAAAAGTTTTCATCTCTATCTAAATACTCCTCATTTTCCTATGGTTTGGGTGCCTCTCAGCCCTCGTTATTCAACTTATAATCGGCTCTGTTTTCCATTTCCCATGCTTCACCCCCTCATACGCATACACACATATTCCTTTTCTACCTCCCTACATTTATTCACTCTCCCTTCTTGGAATCTTGGTCTCTGCTCTTTAAAGACCTGACAATCTGATTCGATTTTATTCATCCATTGATTCATTCTCTTCCAGTCCATTCATTCTTTGAATATTTGTATACCTAATACTAGGTACTGAACATACTTTGGGAGAATATAATAGATGTGGTTTTCCGTTATCCTGGAGATTATAATTCCGTAGGGAGAAAGATAGTAAACAAATGCAACCTAGTTACCAATATGACTAAGGGAAAGGTTGTCATGGGGAAATGTTACTCTGGATTCCTTGCACATTTATAAGGAAGTGAGAGAATACGGTGCAGAATAGCTACTGTATGTTGTTGGGGCACTAGATTCTCTGGCTGAATTCAATTTTCAGCTATGCAAGAGATGCTTCTGCTGACTCCACAGTTTGGGTTCCAGTTCCTGACACCTACCTCAAGCCAGAGTTGGAATGATTTCCAAGCAAGTATATCCTACATTAGTATGCTTTTTTTAAATTTTTATTATTTTTTTTTATATTTTGAGACAGAGTCTCGCTCCGTCACCCAGTCTGGAGTGCAGTGGTTCCATTGCACCTCACTGCAACCTCTGCCTCCTGGGTCCAAGTGATTCTACTGCTTCAGCCTCCTGAGTAGCTGGGACTACAGGTGCGCGCCACCATGCCCGGCTAAGTTTTGTATATTTAGTAAAGACGGGGTTTCACCATATTGGCCAGGCTGGTCTTGAACTCCTGACCTTAGGTGATCCACCAGCCTTGCCCTCCCAAAGTGCTGGGATTACAGGCGTGAGCCACCGCACCTGGCCTCTAGATTGGTATTCTGATCACTGCTCTGCAGATGTTAAATGATGTGCTATGAAGTACTCTATTCTCAATTAGATTTAAAGAACATTAGGATTAACAAAGTTAAGCAAATGTTTTATTGCAACACTTCTAAATGACCTTTAATCTTCTAATATGCATTCTAAATCTAGAGAGAGGTACAACCTGTATGGTTTCCCAACCTATTTGACCACAGAATTTTTTTTTTTTTCCTGTGGGGCATCAAAGAGTACCTAGATGGAGATTCTGCAAAACACCAATCTAAACCATTCTTAAGATATATAGCCAGGCACAGTGGCCCACGCCTATAATCCCAGCACTTTAGGAGGCTGAGGAGGGGAAATCACGAGGTCAGGAGTTCGAGACCAGCCTGGCCAACATGGTGAAACACCATCTCTACTAAAAATTTTTTAAAAATTAGCCAGGCATGGTGGAGGGCACCTGTAATCCCAGCTACTCAGGAGGCTAAGGCAGGAGAATCACTTGAATCCAGGAGGCAGAGGTTGCAGTGAGCTGAGATCGCGCCATTGCACTCCGGCCTGGGTGACAGAGCAATACTCCATCTCAAAAACAAAAACAAAAACAAAAGGCTGGGCATGGTGGCTCACGCCTGTAACCCCAGCACTTTGGGAGGCCAAGGCGGGTGGATTACAAGGTCAGGAGTTCAAGACCAGCCTGGCCAACATAGTGAAACCCCATCTCTACTGAAAATACAAAAAATTAGCCGGGCCTGGCGGTGGGCGCCTGTAATCCCAGCTACTTGGGAGACTGAGGTAGGAGAATCACTTGAACCCAGGAGGCAGAGGTTGCAGTGGGCAGAGATCGCGCCACTGGACTCCAGCCTGGGCGACAGTGTGAGACTCCATTTCAAAAAAAAAAAAAAAAAAAACAAAAAAGATATACTAGAGTTTCAAAGAGAAGCGATTTAACTGTCAGAATCTGGAACTGATACCTGGTAAAAGAGTCAACTATGAGCACCTCAAGTAACTATAGTATATTTTATCTTTCTAATGCCATTTTCTCAGTTTAAAATCCTATAGGTGTGTGAAAATGGGAGGTATTCAAATACATAGTATACATTTAATACTTTGTACTGAATGTATTAAATACATCCAAGCAAGTTCTCAAGAGAAAATCGGCTGAGTTTTGCACCTTAAGGCTGCTATTACCTGGGCCAAGTATGTTGCATGAGAAGTTTTAGGGTTTCCAATATCTTCAGTCTAGCTTCCTCCTCAGGTCCATCATAAACCTCCAGATAACCAATGATGACTCTCTCCAGCCTCTTTAAGTGCCGGACAGTTAGGATCCCCAACCTAAAGATGAAAGAGAAAATATGACGCCAGTGCAGTGGCTCATGCCTGTAATCCCAGTACTTTGGGAGGCTGAGGTGGGAGGATTGCTTGAGGCCAGGAGCTCGAGAGCAGCTCAAGCAACATAGCAAGATCCTGTCTGTATAAAATAATAATAAATAAAAGCCCAGGGCCTCACCTGTTCACGAAAGCCGGCAGGTTTCTTGCGTAGGTCCTGCGTAAAAGAAGGCGGTGCTCTGGCTCCATGTGGGTCAGGATCAGCCGCAGGACCTCATCACAATGGGTGGTGGGTCGAGCTCCATCTCCTTTCCAGTGCAGGGTTTTCTCCAGGATGGGGAATAAATCCAGCAGACACAGGAGCACAGCCTAGGAGGAAGGAATGGAAGGACGGTGCATAGTTCATCCATTTGCATTTACAATACTCACTGACTTCTCTAGAACTTCATTAATCTACCGTCCTTAGGGTCCATACCAGAGAATTCTAAGATACTAGTAATCATATATGAACTGCACATTACTTTACATTTTCAAACTTTTTTACATTCTTAATCTCCATCTGACAGTCTCAAATCAATACATTCTCCTCAGGACCATTCTTTGCTAATTTATAAAATCGGAAAAATGGCAGAGCTGGGACTTTAATCCAGATTTTAGGAATCTAAGTCTACTGTTACTATGTCACTAAGTCTAAGTGACTTAGTGATACATGATATTTACACATTTTTTTTTTTTTTTTTTTTTTTTTGTGAGACAGAGTCACTCTGTCACCTAGGCTGAAGGACAGTGGTGCAATCTTGGCTCACTGCAACCTCCGCTTCTCAGGCTCAAGCGATTCTCGTGCCTCAGCCACCTAACTAGTTGGGACTACAGGTGTGCACCACCACACTTGGCTAACTTTTCTATTTTTTAGTAGAGACAAAGTTTCACCATCCTGGCCTCAAGTGATCCACTCGCCTTGGCTTCCTAAAGTGCTAGGATTTATCCCTAGGCCAGGGGTATCCAATCTTTTGGCTTCCCTGGGTCACAGTGGAAGAAGAATTGTCTTGGGCTACATATAAAATACACTAACACTAATGACAGCTGATGAGCTTTAAAAAAAAAATGCAAAAAAAATCTTACAACATTTTAAGAAAGTTTACAGATTTGTGTTGGGCTGCATGCAAAGCCATCTTGGGATGCATGCAGGCCATGGCTTGGACAAGCTTGGTTCAGGTACTTCCTTTTAACTTTCCTGGGACCTTTGGTTTTTCTCTTGGTGTTTTGGTTTTCTAAAATTTATTTTCTCTACCACCTTAAGAACCCCAGCCTTTCCGGCTGTTACAATCTGGATTCTCAATACCCAGTATTTAAAATACTGTAAAAAGAAAAAGAGGCTGGGTGCAGTGGCCTATGCCTGTAATCCTAGTATCTTGGGAAGCCAAGGCGGGCGGATCACTTGAGGTCAGGAGTTTGAGACCAGGCTGGGCAACATGGCAAAACCCCGTCTCTGCTAAAAATACAAAAATTAGCTGGGCATGGTGGCACCTGCCTGTAATCCCAGCTACTAGGGAGGCTGAGGCAGAAGGATCGCTTGAACCTGGGAGGCGAAGGTTGCAATGTGCCAAGATCGCGCCACTGTACTCCGGCCTGCATGACAGAGCAAGATCCACCTCAAAAAAATAAATTAAATAAAATAAAAATAAAGGCAGCAGGGTGGGGAGGGGGAAAGGAGGGAAGTAAGGCATAAAAAAGAAACAACGTTGCTTCCACCTCTCATTTTATATAACTTGTTTCTTCTGTCTTTGTAGTTTCTTTCTCCCTCCTAAGAAACTTTTACTTATTCATCCTTCATAAAGCTAAGTATCACCTCCTTCCCAAAACCTCCTAAAGTCAACCCAAACCTAGTTAGTTACCTATTGCTTGAAAGCCACTGCACCTTTTTTTTTTCTTTTTTTTTTGAGATGTAGTTTCACTCTCGTTGCCCAGGCTGGAGGGCAATGGCATGATCTCGGCTCACTGCAACCTCTGCCTCCTGGGTTCAAGCAATTTTCCTGCCTCAGCCTCCTGAGTAGCTGGGATTAGAGGCATGCGCCACCATGCCTGGCTAATTTTGCATTTGTTTTTTAGACGGAGTGTTACTTTGTCACCAGGCTGGAGTGCAGTGGCGCGATCTTGGCTCACCGCAACCTCCGCCTCCTGGGTTCAAGTGATTCTCCTGCTTCAGCCTTCCGAGTAGCTGTGACTACAGACACGTGCCACCATGCCCGGCTAATTTTTTGCATTTTTAGTAGAGATGGGATTTCACCATGTTAGCCAGGATGGTCTCGATCTCCCGACCTCGTGATCCGCCCACCTCAGCCTCTCAAAGTGCTAGGATTACAGATGTGAGCAACCATGCCCAGCAATTTTGCATTTTTAGTAGAACGGGGTTTCTCCATGTTGGTCAGGTTGGTCTTGAACTCCCAACCTCAGGTGGTCTGCCTGCCTCGGCCTCCCAAAATGCTGGGATTACAGGCGTGAGCCCTCGCGCCTGGCCACCCACTGCGCTTTATAGAAACCTCTTCTAATGCAGTCATCATTCTGTACTGTATATATATGTAGACATCTAAGTACATATTCGTATTTACATAAATGTCTTTTCCAAAGCTTATCTTAAAGCCAAAAATCCCTATCCGTTCATTTACTCTTGGAACCATGTCTGTTGGATGAAATAATAAATCACACTCCGATATCTAACATGCAAGAAGTTTCAAGTGTGTGTGCTGATAAAAGGCAAAACAGAACACTTAACTAATAAAAATAGACTTTTTCAGACATAAAGCTGCCTCCAAAGTAACGTACTTTTTTTTTTTTTTTTTTTTGAGATGGAGTCTCGCTCTGTCACCCAGGCTGGAGTGCTGTGGCATGATCTCGGCTCACTGCAACCTCCACCTCCTGGGTTCAAGAGATTCTCCTGACTCAGCCTCCCGAGTAGCTGGGACTACAGACACGTGCCACCACGCCTGGCTAATTTTTCCTATTTTTAGTAGAGGCGGGGTTTCACCATATTAGCCAGGATGGTCTTGATCTCCTGACCTCGTGATCCGCCCGCCTCGGCCTCCCAAAGTGCTGGGATTTACAGGTGTGAGCCACAGTGCCAGGCTTTTTTTTTTTTTTTAAATTGAGATGGAGTCTCGCACTGTCACCCAGGCTGGAGTGCAGTGACGTGACCTCAGCTCACTGCAACCTCCGCCACCCGGGTTCAAATGATTCTTGTGCCTCAGCCTCCTGAGTAGTAGGGACTACAGATGCACAACATCATGCCCGGCTAATTTTTTTGTATTTTTAGTAGAGATGGGGTTTTGGCATGTCAGCCAGGCTGGTCTCGAACTCCTGACCTCAGGTGATCTGCCTCCCTCAGCCTCCCAAAGTGCTGGGATTACAGGCGTGAGCCACCATGCCCAGCCCAAAGTAATATACAATTGACTCAGATGAATAAAAAACACTGTCTTATCTGTGGAGACTCAGGAATGTGGAGGCCTGCTTGGTGCTGAGATATTTTTAACTTGGCAACGCTTTTAGTTATCATCCTCACTTTCCAAGGCAGGAAAATGTCTCTCAATTACTACTACTCACACAATGCAACCTTCTACTCAAATTCAGAGAATCCAGACCCAGTTATGAAGAAATCATACTATTACCTGAATGAGGTGGTGCTCTGGTGTGTACAGGTGGTTGGAAATGGCATGGTATAGGACCTGGGCTCTGTTATACTGGAGCAAATCAGCAGCTGGCTGCAACCAGACAAATCGTCAAATTAAAAGAATAGTTTCCCAAGATTGGCACATGTTGACTATCTTTGAAATTGGATTATGGGTATGAAGCATGAAGAACATGCCATCCCAAAATATGCATGATTGTTTCGAGTTGAAAATATTGCAGAAACTGTAGATTCAGAAAGGGTGAGCTGACTTGTCTCTTTCTGCATGCAGCAAGTGATAAAAGATTCCTCTGGGTGGGGTATGCTTTCCATACCAGGGTAAGAAAACAGCCCTTACAGAGACTTGGAATTGAAGGCTGCAATGGACCTACATAAACTGAACAAAGTAACCTTTATCTTCCACCTATCCATCCCCCCACCACCTACAACCATGTATCTCCTAGTGACTACCCTAGAGCCAAGCATGGTGACTCACACCTGTAACCCCAGCACTTTGGAAAGCCAAGGTGAGAGGCTCACTTAAGGCCAAGTTTGACAGCAGCCTGGGCAACAGAGCAAGACCCTGTCTCTACCAAAAAAAAAAATTAAAAAATTAGTTGGCCTGGTGGTGCATGCCTGTAGTCCCAGCTACTTGGGAGGCTGAGGTGGGAGGATCACTTGAGCCCAGGGGGTTGAGGCTGCAGTGAGCTATGATTGTGCCACTGCACTCTAGCCTGGGTAACAGAGCAAGACCCTGTCTCAAAAAAAAAAAAAAAAAGGAAAATGTACTGCCCCTAGCCACATTTTCTTTGTCCTGTCATTTTTTCTGACAAGACAAAGAAAATGTGGCTAGCGGTAGTAAAAAAAAAAAAAAAAAAAAAAAAAAAAAAAAGACGAAAAATTTATCATTCTTAGTCTAAAAAGTATAAAAGCATATTGCTTTGGCCACTTCTTCAGAATACTCTCTCTTGTGAAGATCCCCATGTACACGTAAAACTAATAAAATGTGTATAGTTTCCTCTTGCTAATCTGCCTGTTGTCAATTTGGTTTCTAGATCCAGGAAAAGAGCCCACTAAGAGATAAAAAGGGGGCTGAGGCCGGGCTCACGCCTATAATCAATCCCAGCACTTTAGGAGGCCGAGGTTGGTGGATCACTTGAGGCCAGGAGTTTAAGACCAGCCTGGCCAACATGGTGAGACCCTACCTCTACAAAAAATTTAAAAAAAAGAAAAAGTAGCTGAGCATGGTGGTGCGTTCCTGTAATTCCAGCTACTCTAGAGGCTGACGCACAAGAATCGTTTGAACCCGGGAGGCAGAGGTTGCAGTGAGCTAAGATCACACCACTGCACTCCAGCCTCCAGCGTAAGCGACAGAGCAAGACTCTGCCTCAAAAAAAAAAAAAAAAAAAAAAGGGCAGGGGGGCAGGGTTGGAGGTGATCTCTGGCTCTCCCCTACAGGTACATGGAGATTAATTATACCACTCTCTCTACTTCTGTGTATATTTTAAAAGCTCCATAGTACAAAGTTTTTTTAAAAAATTTTTCCTTGAGTAATAGCTTCCACATTTGGATATAGTCCCTTTCAGGCTCTGATTTTGTTTGTTTTGTTTTCGTCCTTGAAACTCAACTGTAGGCCGGGCGGGGTGGCTCATCTCTATAATCCCAGCACTATGGGAGCCCAAGACAGGCAGATCACCTGAGGTCAGGAGTTCGAGACGGACGTGGCCAATATGGTGAAACCCCATTTCCACTAAAAATACAAAAATTAGCTGGGTGTGGTGGCTGCTACTAGGGATCCCCAGCTACTAGGGAGGCTGAGGCAAGAGAATCACTTGAACCCGGGAGGCAGAGGCTGCAGTGAGCCAAGATCACACTCCAGCCCAGGCGACAGAGTGATAATGTCTCAAAAAAAAAAAAAAAAAAAGAAAGAAAGAAAGGAAGTAGGCCAGGTGCAGTGGCTCACGCCTGTAATCCCAGCACTTTGGGAGGCTGAGGCTGAGGCAGGTGGATCACAAGGTCAGGAGTTGAAGACCGGCCTGGCCAAGATGGTGAAACCCCATCTCTACTAAAAATACAAAAATTAGTTGGGCATGGTGGCACGCACCTGTAATCCCAGCTACTCGGGAGGCAGAGGCGGAGAATTGCTTAAACCTAAGAGGTGGAGGTTGCAGTGGGACAAGATCACACCACTGCACTCTAGCCTGGGTGATAGAGTGAGACTCCCTCTCAAAAAAAAAAAAAAAAAAAAAGAAAGAAAGAAAATCAACTGTTGACCAGTTCTCAACATCTGGTTATTCAGTTTGATAATGACCCATGCCTTCCTGTTTCTTCTATAATTATCATTTTAGTTATTACATTACCTATAGGATACAACTTCTACCAGGTGGATAGAGGAAAAATATAAGGAGAAAATACAAATAAGTAAAGTTGAATGACTTAGCATTACTAGAAATGAAGAACAGCCAGGAATGACTCAGTCTGTCCTGTCAACACAGATGACAAGCCAGAGGTTGCTTACCACATTAAGCACAATGTGATGGAGACAGTGTACACCCAGGATTTTGTTCTCAGTCTGATAGTCATCTGAAATGACCAATGATGCGGGAAGTACCCTTTCCAGATGCTGGCTCAGCCAGGGCCGAGTGACCTGTTGCAGAGTCCATGAGAAAACATGTTTGATGGCAGGGTTATTCTTCCAGGATTCCCTAAGTGAATACATAGAATTACATTAAGTGACATGGTGATAAGTAGCAAAAAAAAAAAAAAAAAAAACTACTTCAAGCTAAACAGAGTATTTTCATGTCTTTGAAAAAAAAAATACATCGCACATAAGATAACTCTTGATTCTATATCATACATTCTAAGATCTGGATTAAAATAACTTCCATAACTTACACCAAATAATCATCCAGGGCTTTGGGTCTACAGCCTATCCAATGAGAAGGAGTCAATTATAACCAGAGCTACATAAAGGACTTATGGTGATGGATGGTGAAGGTATGTTGAGAAGGGAGGGAGGAGTAAAGGAAATGGATTAGTAGTATTACACTAAGGAAACAAATGAATCAACACTTGAACACCTGTTAATCGCTAATAAAGTGAGTGTACACACGACTTAACTAATTCTCAAAATAATTACTGTGTAATAGGTACATTATATTTATTTTGAAATAGAGTCTCACTCTATTGCCCAGGCTGGAGTGCAGTGGCACCATCTGGGTTCACTGCAACCTCCGCCTCCCAGGCTCAAGCGATTCTCCTGCTTCAGCCTCCCGAGTAGATGGGATTACACACTTGCACCACCATACCCGGATAATTTTTATATTTGTAGTAGAGACGGGGTTTCACCATGTTGCCCAGGCTGGTCCTGAATTCCTGGCCTCAAGTGATCTGACAGCCTTGGCCTCCCAAAGTACTGGGATTACAGGTGTCAGCCACCACACTCCGCCAAGTATATTATCTTTATATTAGAAACAAACAGATTCAGATAACTGTCTAATCTGGTCCTACTCAGAGCAACAAATAGAAGCACGAAACTCAAAATCAAGCCTTTTAATTCCGTGTTCCTGGTAAAATGACAGTTACAGATACTTTTTCTCTCATTACTCCAGTGCTAACAAAGTAGCAAGTGGAAACTCATTGAAAGAACTTCAGCTAACAGTAATCTAAAGGTGCTTTTCACTTTTTATCCTAAACATGGCTTTCTTAGCTGATAGTCATCCTTCTCTAACAAGCAGTAATGAGATTCAAGATCCCCAAGTCTAAATTCAAACCATAAGTTTAAATCCTCTCTAAATCCCCCATCCAAATTCTAGTAATTTGTAATTTTTTTTGAGACGATGTCTTGCTCTGTTGCCCAGATTGGAGTGCAGTGGCCCGATCTCAGCTCACTGCAATCTCTGCCTCCTGGTTTCAAGCGATTCTACTGCCTCAGCCTCCCGAGTAGTTTGGATTACAGGCGTCCACCACCATGCCCAGCTAATTTTTGTATTTTTAGTAGAGATGGGGTTTCACAATGTTGGCCAGGCTGGTCTCGAACTCCTGACCTTAAGTGATCCACCCGCCTCGGCCTCCCAAAGTGCTGGGACTACAGGAGTGAGCCACCTCGCCCGGCCACATTTTGTAATTATTAACTCCAAGTAAGTGGGACAGAATTTCCAATTTTCCTAGGCAGTCGTCCTAAGGGCTGGAAAGAGCATTGGACAACTGAGCCCGAACATCTCAGTTATGACCTCCAATTTGCCACTATCCAGTTATGTCATTTATAGCAAATCACAACGTTTCTGGGCCTTAAGAGATCCGTGGTTACAGCACCCTTATTTTACTGCTGAAGAAATTGAGCTTCCTTTGAGGTATAACGCTATAAAAAATTAAGCTAGGGCAGGCGCAGTGGCTCACGCCTGTAATCCCAGCATTTTGGGAGCCCGAGGCGGGTGGATCACTTGAGGTCAAGAGTTCAAGACCAGCCTGGCCAACATGGTGAAACCCCGTCTCTACTAAAAATACAAAAAATCAGCCAGGCGTGGTGACGGGCAACTGTAATCCCAGCTACTCCGAAGGCTGACACAGGAGAATCGCTTGAACCCAGGAGGCGGAGGTTGCAGTGAGCTGAGATCGCAACATTGCACTCCACCCTGGGCAACAAGAGTGAAACTCTGTCTCGAAAATAAATAAATAATAAAAAATAAAAATAAAAAACTGTGAGGCTCAAGTCGGTGGCAAAGGGCAGGAGTACTCACTTATACAAGTCGGGTTTGAGAAGCCCTAGTATCACCGAAAGTCTCCCTTTCTCATCTTCATTTTCTCCATGTAGGAATCCTGCCACAGAACCGCATTCAGTAACTTGAAGCAGTGAGGTGAGCACCTCCCTAGCAACTTCCCGAGATCTCGGAGTGGTCCATGGTTGCTCCAAGCTGTGTGTGATGGCAAAAATATAAACGGGTCCTGCCAAGTGATGCAGGCCCGTCTGCCATGCAGGGCCGACCAGGGAATTCTTAGCAGTCTCAACTTTCCCTAACAGTTTAAGAAACAGTAACCCAACTTGGGCTGCTTTCTCGGCCGCTTCGGAGTGCCCATCACCTCCACCTTCCTCCTCCTTGGAGGGGGCTGCATACTTCTCCAGGGCTTTTGCTACCTGCCCCAGTGTCTCCGGCATTCCGCGGAGCCGTGCACCAGTCCCCTCAAATAACCTATCAAATTCTGTGGCTTCTATTAGATCACCGAGGTCTTTAAGAACTGCATCTTTTACATTGCCTCGTCGTGCCTCCGGGCGGGCAAGACAGTGTAAAATCTTGGAGAAGGCCTGTCCAAAGGCGGAGTGAGACAACTCCTCGGACAAATTAGAGTCTTCCTGCGATGGGGCTTCCAGAGCGCTGTCAAGCTCCATTCCTGACTGCAGCACCAGAAGGCTGGTCTCTCCCACAGAACGAGGATGGAGGCGGGGAGGGATCCGTTGAAGAGGGAAGGAGCGATCACCCAAAGAGAACTAAAATCAAATAAAATAAAACAGAGAGATGTCTTGGAGGAGGGGGCGAGTCTGACCGGGATAAGAATAAAGAGAAAGGGTGAACCCGGGAGGCGGAGTTTGCAGTGAGCCGAGATCGCGCCACTGCACTCCAGCCTGGGCGACAGAGTGAGACTCCGTCTCAGTAAAAAAAAAAAAAAAAAAAAGAATAAAGAGGAAAGGACGCAAGAAAGGGAAAGGGGACTCTCAGGGAGTAAAAGAGTCTTACACTTTTAACAGTGACGTTAAAAGACTACTGTTGCCTTTCTGAAGACTAAAAAGAAAAAAAACTTAAAAATTTAAAGAAATAAACTTCTGAGCCATGTCACCAACTTAACCACCCCCAGGTACCTGCAACGGCTCGCGCCCGCCGGTGTCTAACAGGATCCGGACCTAGCTCATATTGCTGCCGCAAAACGCAAGGCTAGCTTCCGCCAGTACTGCCGCAACACCTTCTTATTTCACGACGTATGGTCGTAAAGCAATAAAGATCCAGGCTCGGGAAAATGACGGAGAGGTGGAACTATAGAGAATAAATTTGCATATATAATAATCCGCTCGCTAATTGTGTTTCTGTTTTCCTTTGCTAAGGTAGAAACAAAAGAATAATCACAGAATCTCAGTGGGACTTTGAAAATATCCAGGATTTTATACGTGAAGAATGGATGTATCGCATTACGGTAGTCACCCTATGTGTAAATTAGTGGCACATACTTGGCACTCCTTAATGTCAACTATAAGATGATCCTTTTGTAGTTCATGAGCGTGATGATTGGGTGTTCATACGCTTGTGTGAGATGTGCCACCCTTGAACCTTGTTACGACGTGGGCACATTACCCGTCTGACCTGAACTTCAAGGATCGATTTAACACTTGTATTTGTGGGCTTGTTACTTATGATAACAGGTGGCCTAGTTTCATGGCTTTGTGTTTACCGTTTTCGGGTGCCCTTTTTTCTGGCTGTATGCTACACGCACGGGTGCTTTTCCGTTGTCCAACTGTGTAATGTGTTTTTGTGTTTGTTCTTTTGTGAGTCGGAGTCTCGCGTTGTCGCCAGGCTGGAGTTGCAGTGTTGCGATCTCGGCTCACTGCAACCCCCACCTCCGGTTTTCGAGAGATTGTCCTACCTCAGCCTCCCGAGTAGCTGGGACTATAGGCGCGCGCCACCACGCCCAGCTAATTTTTGTATAAATATTGGCAAGGATGGTCTCGATCTCTTGACCTCGTGATGCGCCCGCCTCGGCCTCCCAAAGGGCTGGGATTACAGGCGTGAGCCACCGCGCCTGGCCAATGCAGAGCTTTTTAATGGCTTTAATTTTTTAGGTTTGGGAGATACCTGCGCAGGTTTGTTACCTGGATATGTTGTGGGATGCTGGGATTTGGAGTGCAGCTTAGCCCGTTTTCATTGCCCCCTCTAGTAGACCACAGTGTCTGTTGTTGCCACTTTTATGTCCACGTGTTCCTAATGTTTAGCTCCCACTTATGAATGAGAGCATGCGGTATTTGGTTTTCTGTTCAATGCAATACTTTAGCTGGTTTCTGGAGCTAGCGTTTTAAAGCCTGTAGCCACAAGCGTTTGAAAATTCAAATTCTAGCGTCAAGGTAGAAGCCCCCAGCTGGCGTCTGGGGCAGCCCTGAGGGAGGTGGGTCGTCGGGTTGGCGGATCCGGCTTGGGCCCGCCCCGCCAGTGTCGGCGCCGGGTGCGCAGGGACAGCAGAGCGCTGTCTTGGGCATGGGTCGCAGGCGGCGCCCGGAACGGGCCAGGGGAGCTGGAGGCTGCAGACTCGGGCTCGGCGGGTGTAGGAACCAGTGGTGTTTGCTTGGGTTTTGAGAAGGCGCGAGAAGGGTCGCGCCTGTGCGACCGCCCTGTGTTGGGTCCCCCACGCCGCGTCGGCATTGCTTGTTCCCTCTTCCTGCGCTTTCCTGGAGGGTAGAATTGCGTCCGATTGGCCTTCAGTTCCCGAGGAGCTGCTTCCATTTAGGACCTTGTGACTCTCATAGCTTCCACGGTTTCGCAGGAGCCCGAGGAGGCAAACTTCATTTGTGCCACTGCACAGGCGGGAGCTTCGGACCCTGGGAGGGGTGGCGCGAGAGAGACGTGTCGCCAGCTGCTCGGAGAGGGACTCTTATTCAGCCTCTAAGGCGTCAATTGCGCCTCCAGGGTTCCAGGAGTCCAGAGAAAGCCCTTCGGGGTCTTCTGACCTGGGGTAGGGTGAGGGGCGTGTGTGCGCGCAGGGGCGAGGGAGGGGTGACGTGTCAGGTGTCCTTTGTCCTCGCGAGGAGGTGGTTATGGGGTAGAGGGACATACAGTATTTTCGTCCCACCTTGGGGAGCGCACCAGCTTCTTGGTGCACTACTTGCAACTGTCCCATCTGCGGTGTCTTGCTGCCTACTCGCCTGCCCTTCTTTCCATTTTGCTGTCTGACCTTGGGCAAAAGTTCGGTAGCCTCTCTGTGCCTTCATTTCTTTTTATTTTTTATTTAATTAAAAAATATTTTTTTAGAGACAGGGTCTTGCTCCGTGGCCCAGGCAGGAGTGCAGTGGCGTCATCGTATCTCACTGCAGCTTCAAACTCCTGGGTTCAAGCGATCCTCCCGCCTCAGTCTCCCAGTAACTGGGACCACAGGCGCGCCCTACCACACCCTACTAATATTTTCTAATTTTTTTGTAGAAATGGGGTCTCGCTGTATTACCCAGGCTAATCTCGAGCTCCTGGCCTCGCGATCCTCCCTCCTTGGCCTCCTAAAGCGCTTAGATTACAGGTGTGAACCACCCACCTCGCTGGTGCCTTAATTTTTTTTTTCTTTTTCTTTTATTTTTCCTTCCTTCCTTCCTTCCTTCCTTCCTTCCTTCCTTCCTTCCTTCCTTCCTTCCTTCCTTCTTCCTTCTTCCTTCTTCCTTCTTTCTTTTCTTTCTTGTCTCCCTGTCGCCCAGGCTGGAGTGCAGTGGTGTGATCTTGGCTTATAGCAACCTCTGCCTCCCAGGTTCAAGCGATTCTCATGCCTCAGCCTCTCGAGTAACTGGGATTACAGGCACCCACCACGCCCAGCTAATTTTGTATTTTTACCAGACACGGAGTTTCACCATGTTGGCCAGGCTGGTCTCTAAATCTTGACCTCAAGTTATCCACCTGCCTTGGCTTCCCAAAGTGCTGTGATTACAGGCGTGAGCCACCTCGCCCAGCCACCTTAATTTCTTTATCGGAAAAATGCAGGTAGTAATAATTCGTACCACTTAGGAGTGTTGTGAGAAAGGAATTATATGTAAACTGCTTAGAACAATATCTGGTCAGCAGAAAGTTCTACATAGGTGTTGGCTCATGTTAAACCACAGCTCCTGTGTTGTTACATTTCCTCTTTCCAGGGTAATTTTGTGGTTAGGACCCTCCCTCTCGGCCTCTTTCATTCAGCTTTCCCTTCTCTGACCAATTGGTGGCACTCATGATTTTTTAAGCAATTTCAACCACTGGTAACCATCTCCTCCCGAGGGGACTCTCCTGTTTGCAGGCCCAAGTGGAAGCAAGATGCCAATAAATAGACAGTTATTGTGTCCCTCCTGTGTGCAAGCGTCTCTTCCCTGTTCCATGTGCCCCTTGTGCTAAGTGGACCCAAGCTATTACTTCTTATAAGGAAAGCACTTGTATTGTGGAGATCTCCCCATCTGCACTTCTGAGTTTCCTGAAGCCAGAGACCACGTCTTTATTCCCAGTGCCTGGCACAATTTGGTCATGCAATAAATGTTTGTTGAACCCACACATCCATCCACAGAGGACTGGCTGAATAAACTATGTATATCCACACAATGCAGTTTTATGCCGCTGCACAGAGGAAAGAGAACCATCTCTGTGGACTGCCTTGGAAATCTAGGATGTATTGTTAAGTGAAAAAAGCAGGACAGAGACCATGTGTATGTTGCCTTTATTTTTATTTTTCCCCCTTTTCACACGTGTTGAAATGCTGCCTTTCTTGTAAGAAAGATGGGAAAATAGAAATAATGATGTGTGCATTTGCTTACATGTTAAAGATGCAATAGAGTGTAAATTATAAACTAAGAAAAATGGTTATAGGTAAGAAAAGAACGGGGTGAAGGAAATAGGAATGGAAGCTAGATTTCTCTGTATACACTGTGTTTAATAGCTTCAACTTTGGATTCATGTAAATTTTTTTGTTGTTGTTGAGATAGAGCCTCACTCCAGTCCAGGCTGGAGTGCAGTTGTGCGATCTCGGCTCACTGCAGCCTCTGCCACCCCGGGTTCAAGTGATTCTCCTGCCTTAGCCTCCCAAGTAGCTGGGATTACAGGCGCCTGCCACCACACACGCCTGATTTTTGTATTTTTGGTAGAGATGGGGTTTTACCATGTTGGCCAGGCTGGTCTGCAGCTCATGACCTCACGTGATCCACCTGCCTCGGCCTCCCAAATTGCTGGGATTACAGGCATGAGCCACCGCACCCGGCCACATAATTTTTATTTTTTTTTGAAGCAACAAAAGCAGAGACGTATTGAAAATGAAAGTATACTCCTCAGGGCAAGAGTGGGCCAAAGCAAGCAGCTCAAGAGCCTACATAACTATTTTTTTAAAAGAAAATAACAAAGCATTTCCTAAAAGAAAAGAAATAAAGAGTACATTGAGTCACTGGCATAACCACACAAATTAACTGTAAAACTCATTAATTTGACTCTATATCCTTAGTGTGACAAAGCCTAAAATCAGAAAAAAATCAACTGCATTTAATAATGGTATACTGTTGGTAATATTAATATTGTTTAGGTGTGTTTCTTTTGGGTTTGTTTATTTGTTTTTTGAGACAGAGTCTCCCTCTTTCGCCCAAGCTGGAGTGCAGTGGTGCGATCTCGGCTCAGTGCGACCTCTGCCTCCTGGGCTCAAGTGATTCTCCTGCCTCAGCCTCCCAAGTAGCTGGGATTACAGGCATGTGCCACCTTGCCCAGCTAATTTTGTATTTTTAGTAGAGACGGGGTTTCACCACGTTGGCCAGGCTGGTCTCGAACTCCTTACCTCAGGTGATCCACCTGCCTCGGCCTCCCAAAGTGCTCGACCCACCGCGCCTGGCCTGTTTAGGTGTTATTACATGTATTTTGTATAACTTATATATGTATATAAGATAACAAGTAACAATATTATTAGAAACCCAGATTTTCAATGAAAGATAAAAGAGATACTAGTATCAAATCAATTAAGTTAGCTATAAATTCTGTAATCTGATTGAGTCACATATTTGAGTAAACAAATCTGTAATCTGAAATTAGAATTGGCAATGTTGGTATGAATTTATATATGTATATATACACATATACATACATATATATACACACACATATACATATATATATCCCAGTTGTGTCCACTGAAAGGCCAAGAAGAATGACAGTCTAATGGCTGTGAGCACCTGGATGTCCAAATTTGTAGTTTAAATGCCATTTCCCACTAAAAGGAACCAGTGAGGCTTTAGGAAATGATTGATTTCAGAACTAGGGCAGGAATTACACAAGGTGGGCCTGTGGCATTTTGTTATGCCTGAAAGCAAGGTAGCTATTAAATACTGCTGAGGTGATGTGAAAACAAAAACAAAAACAAAAACAACCCAAGGCCCTATAGCTCACGGATTACAGCACTGGTCTTGTAGAGGAGTAATGACTGTAATGAATTAAAACAAATATATACAAATCCATGAGTTCATAATGATACTAAAAAAAATCACTAATCATTCATCTTTGGATCACTTAAGAAAACAAATGTTTATTTTGAGAATTGATATATAAAGGAAAAAAATCAAGCATTTATTCTTCTGTCTATTCGAGGGTACCCAAATCATTCGTAAGGGTCATAAATGCAACAAAATGGTAGAATTAGAAAGTCACTATTCACACCTCCTAATGAAACATTGAGACAAGGCAACTATCATCCATTGTGATTACAATTATGAGGTGAAGGTTGATGGGGAACTTTATAACTGAACTACTGATTTATCGAACATCACTAAAAGCAAGGCAGCCAGGCACCTCTTAATGGAATAAGGTAGGAAGTACACACCACCTATGAAATATTTTTGCCCAAAAATGGACCCTAAATCTAATCAAATTTTTAGGTCTACTACCAAATGACAAGAAACATGAAGGGCAAAGAAACAAAAGACGCCAACAAATTCCACTGATATATTCAAGGAAAGATAAATAAATAAATAAATAAATTTTTTAAAGACACCAAGATGATATAATCAGTCAAGCCAAGGATGAGAACTGATATAGATTAAAAGTTCTAAAATATTCTCAACTAACAATGTTGCATATTCTTTCTTTCTTTCCTTTTTCTTTCTTTCTTTCTTTCTTCTTTCTCTCTCTCTCTCTCTTTCTTTCTTTTTTACAGGCAAGGTCTAGCTTTCTTGCCATGTCAACCTCCCAAAGTGCTGAGATTACAGGCGTGAGCCACTGTGCCCCACCAGATCTTATTTTCTTTCCCTCCTTTTCTTTCTTTCTTCTTTCTTTCTTTCTTCCTCTCCCTCTCCCTTTCTTTCTTTCTTTCTTTCTTTCTTTCTTTCTTTCTTTCTTTCTTTCTTTCTTTCTTTCTTTCTTTCTTTCTTTCTTTCTTTTTCTTTCCTTTCTTTCTTTCTTTCGAGATAGAGTTTCATTCTTGTTGCCCAGGCTGGAGTGCAACAGCGTGATCTCAGCCCACCGCAACCTCCACCTCCCTGGTTCAAGTGATTCTCCTGCCTCAACCTCCCGAGTAGCTGGGATTACAGTCATGCACCACCATGCACAGCTAATTTTGAATTTTTAGTAGAGACAGAGTTTCTCCATGTTGGTCAGGCTGGTCTCGAACTCCCAGCCTCCGGTGATCCGCCCACCTTGGCCTCCCAAGGTGTTGTGAAACGGAGTCTTGGTCTGTTGCCCAGGCTGGAGTGCAGTGGCATGATCTCGGCTCACTGCAACCTCCATCTCCTGGGTTCAAGCAATTCTCCTGCCTCAGCCTCCCAAGTAGCTGGGATTACAGGCATGTGCCACCGTGCCCGGCTAATTTTTGTATTTTTAGTACAGATGGGTTTTTGCCATGTTGGCCAGGCTGGTCTCAAACTCCTGACCTCAGGTGGTCCGCATGCCTCGGCCTTCCAAAGTGCTAGGATTATAGGTGTGAACCACTGCGCCCGGCCCAGATCTTATTTTCAGTAAATAAATTATAGGCCAGGTGCAGTGGCTCATGCTTGAGCCCAGGAGTTCTAGACCAGCCTGAGCAACAAGTGAGACCCTGTCTCCACAAAAAAATAAAAAATAAACCCACCCAAATTGTAAAAAGACATATTTAAGACAATCAGGGAAACGTGAATATAGATTAGTTATTAGGGTGTTCATATAATTTGTCATCTAAGCAGAATATGTTGAGAGTTCAAGGAGGCTCTATTAACAGTTGTGCTGGGACAAAGGTGTAAACTGGATTTGTCCCAGGCAAATGTGATTATCCTAGTATTACACAATTTTGTGGAATCACTGTTAATTTTTTAAATTGATAATGTTAGCACATTTATGTTTTTTTGAAAGCTATTAGTCAGAAAAGCAGTTCTGAAAGGTTTTAGTCTCAGGATCCTTTACACTCTTAAAAATTATTGAGTCATACTCATTAGGATGGCTAGAATGAAAAACACTGAAAATAAGTTTTGGCAAGGATGTAGAGAAATTGGAAGATAAATTGGAATGCTCATACATTGCTGATTAAAATGTAAAATGGTGCAGCTGCTATGTAAAACAGTTTGACAGTTTCTTAGAAAGTTAAACATAGAGTTAGCCATAGGACCCAGCAGTTCTATTCCTAGATATATTGCCAAGAGAACTAAAAACATGTATTCATACAAAAACTTGGCTACAAATGTTCATTGCTGCATTATTTGTAATATCCAGTGGAAACAACCCAAAAGTCAACTGATGATTGGGTAAACAAAATGTGGTATATACATACAATGGAATATTATTTAGCTATAAAAAGGAATGAAGTTCTGATACATACCACAACATGGATGGACCTTGAAGACATTATGCTAAGTGAAAGAAGCCAGAAACAAAAGGCTACATATTGTATGATTCCATTTATCTGAAATGCCCAGAATAGGCAAATCTGTAGAGTCAGAAAGTACATTAGTGGTTGCCAGGAGATAATGGGAGGGGATATTTAGAAGTTACTAATAGGCTGGGTGCGGTGGCTCATGCCTGTAATCCCAGCACTTTGAGAGGCCGAGGCAGGCGGATCACAAGGTCAGGAGTTCGAGACCAGGCTGGCTAATATGGTAAAACCCTGTCTCTACTAAAAATACAAAAATTAGCTGGGCATGGTGGCAGGCGCCTGTAGTCCCATCTATTCGGGAGGCTGAGGCAGGAGAATCGCTTGAACCCGGGAGGCAGAAGTTGCAGTGAGCCAAGATCGCGCCACTGCATTCCAGCCTGGGTGATAGAGTGAGACTCCATCTCAGGAAAAAAAAAAAAGAAGGGACTAAAATGGGTATAGGGTTTTCTTTTGGGGTGATAAAAAGGTTTTGGAATTAGCTAGTGGCAGTGGCTGCCCAACCTTACAAATATACCAAAACCTACTGAAGTGTACACTTTATTTTTTATTTTTTTGAGGCAGAGCCTCACTCTGTCACCTAGGCTGGGGTGCAGTGGTTCAATCTTGGCTCACTGCAACCTCTGCCTCCCGAGTTCAAGCAATTCTCCTGCTTCAGCATCCCAAGCAGCTGGGATTACAGGCTTGTGCCACCACACCCGGCTAATTTTTGTATTTTTTATTAGAGGTAAGGTTTTGTCATATTGGCCAGACTGGTTTCAAACTCATGGCCTCAAGTGAGCTGCCCACCTTGGCCTCCCGAAGTGCTGGGATTATGGGTGTGAGCCAGCGTGCCCAACCATTAGGTGTATATTTTATTTATTTTTTGTGTTTCTTGTTTTTTGTTTCTGAGGTGTACATTTTAAAACAGTGAAGCTGCTGGTCATGGCAGTATGTGCCTGTAATCCCAGCAACTCAGGAGACTGAGGCAGGAGGATTGCTTGAACCCAGGAGTTTGAGGCTGCAGTGAGCCATGAATGCACGATTGCACTCCAGCCTGGGAGACAGAGTGAGACCCCAACTCTAAAATAATTAAAAATAAATAAAATTGTGAATCTAGTGGTTTATGAATTAAATCTCAAAAATATTTTAGAAGTATTGGCCGGGCGTGGTGGCTCATGCCTGTAATCCCAGCACTTTTTTGGGAGGCCAAGGCGGGTGGATCACCTGAGATTGGGAGTTCAAGACCAGCCTGACCAACATGGTGAAACCGTCTCTCTATTAAAAAAATACAAAATTAGCTGGGTGTGGTGGTTCATGCCTGTAATCCCAGGTACTCCGGAGGCTGAAGCAGGAAAATCACTTGAACCTGGGAGGCAGAGGTTGCGGTGAGCCAAGATCAAGGCATTGCACTCCAGCCTGGGCAAGAAGAGTAAAACTCCATCTCAAAAAAAAAAGACAACTCTCTCTATATATATATTAGAAGTATTAAGGACCCCAAAGAGCTTTTCTTTATGTGTGATGCGTAAATATTCAGATAAATGGATTATTTTCTACATTAGAAATTAAAACTGAAAAAATTTTTAAAATACTCATTTGATTTTTAAAAACAGGTCTGGTGCGTTGGCTCATGCCTGTAATCCCAGCACTTTGAGAGGCCGCGGTGGGTGGATCACCTGAGGTCAGGAGTTCAAGACCAGTGTGGCCAACATAGCAAAACCTCATCTCTACTAAAAATTAGCTGGGCGTGGTGGCAAGCACCTGTAGTCTCAGCTTCTTGGGAGGCTGAGACAAGAGAATTGCTTGAACCTAGGAGGCGAAGGTTGCAGTGAGCCGAGATTGCGCTACTGCACTCTAGCCTAGGTGACAGAGCAAGATTCCATCTCAAGAAAAAATAAAATAAAATTTAAAAAACATAGTAATAATAAACATATTACATGTTAAGGACTTATTTTTATGAAAATAAGTATATTTTTCAAACAGCATCGTGACGAGTGATATTGTTTTACACTTTTGTCAATAGATTTGTAAAAATTTGCAACTCTGTCATATCTGGTTTAATAGGAGACAGCTGGATTTTCAGATTTGTGGCTGCATTCAATCTGTGTTGGAAAATTCTGCTGTACACGAGATAATGAGAACAAAAAGATAAACAATATATTAATATTGTTATAAAAATAGTTTTGACTTAGCAGGCTGCCTGACAGGGTCTTGGTAAGTCCCAGGAATCCAGACCACACTTTGTGAAGTATTATTAGAAACACACACAAGTATTAATTGTTGAAATGATGCAATGTCTGGGATTTGTTTTAAAATTCCCAACACTGGGCAGTAGACACTAAGCAGACCAGATTCCACTTGCTAGTGGGCATTGCTCAGCTTCCTCTGTGACTATGTCTGACAAGTCCAATATGGATGAGATCGAGAAATTCAGTAAGTCGAAACTGAAGAAGACAGAAATGCAAGAGAAAAATCCACAGCCTTCCAAGGAATGGATCGAACAGGAGAAGCAAGCAGGCTTCGTAATGAGGCGTGCATCGCCAATATGCACTGTTCATTCCACAAAGCATTGCTTTCTATTTTACTTCTTTTAGCTGTTTAACTTTGAAGGATGCAAAGAGGTCAAATCAAGTTTAAATGACTGTGCTGCCCCTTTCACATCAAAGAACTGCTGATGATGATGGCTGTGCCAGCCTCTCTTATCCGCCTGTCTGGCTGGCAGGGAAGGAAAGAACTTGCATTTTGGTGAAGGAAGAAGTGTGGTAGGATAGCAGTGAAATCTAGAATAAAACCAAGCTGGCCCAAGGCATCCTGCAGGCTGTAAAATGCAGTTTAATCAGAGTGCCATTTTTTGTGGTTATTGTTCAAATAATTTTAATTATGAGAATGCATAATTTTTTTTTTGAGACTGAGTTTTGCTCTTGTTGCCCAGGCTGGAGTGCAATGGTGCGATCTCAGCTCACTGCAACCCCACCTCCCAGGTTCAAGCAATTCTCCTGCCTCAGCCTCCCGAGTAGCTGGGATTACAGGTGCCTGCCACCATGCCCAGCTAATTTTTTTTTTGTATTTTTAGTAGAGACGGGGGTTTCACCATGTTGGCCAGGCTAGTCTTGAACTCCTGACCTCAGGAGTTCAACACCTGCCTCGGTCTCTCAAAGTGCTGGGATTACAGGTGTGAGCCACCGCGCCTGGTTCAATTTTTAAAATAGGCAAATAAAAAGTTTAAAAACTTGAAAAATAAAATTCTCCATGACAGGGGATGGTGGTGAAGGAGTGGTCAATAGCTAGATGAAAAAGATTATCAACATCTTGACAACTGTAGAAGCTGGGTGATGGATCACAGATGTCCTCTATGTTAATCTCACTTCTTTAGTGTAACTCTGAAATTGCCCATAATAAAAGTTGTTGTTATTAGCTGGGCACAGTGGCTCATGCCTGTAAGCCCAGCACTTTAGGAAGCTGAGGTGGGAGGATCACTTGAGCTCAGGAGTTTGAGACCAGCCTGGGCAACATAGTGAGACCTCATCCCTACTAAGAATAAAAAAATTAGCCGGGCGTTAGTGGCACATGCCTGTGGTCCCAGCTACTTGGGAGGCTGTGGTGGGGGGATCGCTTGAGCCAAGGAGGTCAAAGCTGCAATGAGCTGTAATCATACCACTGCACTCCAGCCTGGGTGACAGAGCAGGTTGCTGTCTCAAAACAAAACAAAACAAAAACAAAAAAATTGTTGTTATTGCCCTTATTTCAATCAATGCTTATTTAGCAGAACAAAAGACCTGGAGGTAGTTGGTAGGAGGAAAAACCAAGTTAGGGACTGGATATGTAAAGATGCAAAGATAAATTAGATACAGTTCCTGCATTCAACAGGTTTTCATCTGACGAGGGGAAACTGATACATAGCTGGAAAGAACTATAAGGAAGACATCTGATAAAGAACCCATCATATTTAATGAGCACCAGGCACTCTGCTGAGGGCCTTACATGCACTTCCTCCTCAAGGCAACCCTCTCAGACTCGCATCATTATCTCCATCTTGCAGAGGAGGAAACTGAAGCTCTGAGAAGTTGAGTAACTCGCCCAAGATCTCACAGCGGAAAGTGGTAGAGCTGCAACTTACACTTCGGTTTGTTGACTCCAAAGCCTGTGCTTTTCATGGCTCCACCCTTTCTTTCTAAACCTTTCAGTTACACAATCCTGGAACATCACTGTCACTGTGTACCACATAAATGGCACTCATCAGAGGCCCTGCTGGCGACCTAAAGGAGCCCACAGTCTTTAGAGAACAAAAAATATTATCAGCCAGGTTGGTCTTTACACTGTACCTATGTCCTCATTCAATCCTCACAATTTAAACTCATGGAGTAGGGGCTAGGCGGGGTGGCTCACACCTCTAATCCCAGCACTTTGGGAGACCGAGATAGGCGGATTGCTTGAGGTCAGGAGTTCGAGACCAGCTTGGCCAACATGGTGAAACCCTGTCTACTAAAAATATAAAAATTAGCCGGGCATGGTGGTGGGTGCCTGTAGTCCCAGCTACTTGGGAGGCTGAGGCAGGAAAATTGCTTGAAACTGGGAGGCAGAGGTTGCTGTGAGCCAAGATCACACCACTGCCCACCAGCCTGGGCGACAGAGTGAGGCTCTGTCTCAAAAAAAAAAAAAAAAAAAAAATTCATGGAGTAGGCATTTCTGTTCAAGTTTGCCTTTCTTTTCTTGACTCTCTTCCTCAAGGTTTTGGAAAGCAACATCTCTTAAAAAGAATAATAAATTCAATGGCAACTCTCCTGTAACTAGCAAATGCAAATAACCATATGTAAGGATATGGATTCAAGACCATAAAGATAAAGAAGTAGGTTTATCACATCACTATTCATAATGCAGAAATGTGAAAACAGTGAAAGCTTGCTCATCGATGGCACATCCACACTGGGGAATTCTCCAGCCATTTTTTTTTTTTTTTTTTAAGAATGACATGGAGCTAAGCCAGATGTCAAGGAGAGGTTTCCATAAGGTACTGTTAAATGGTGAATGTAAGATTTAACAGGCTAGGTGTGGTGGCTCACGCCTGTAATTCCAGCATTTTGGGAGGCTGAGGTGGGTGGATCACTTGTGGTCAGGAGTTCGAGACCAGCCTGGCCAACATGGTGAAACCCCATCTCTACTAAAAATACAAAAATTAGCTGTGCGTGTTGGTACACACCTGTAATCCCAGCTGCTCGGGAGGCTGAGGCACAAGAGTCACTTGAACCTGGGAGGCAGAGGTTGCAGTGAGCTAATATTGTGCCACTGCACTCCAGCCTGGGCGACAGAGTGAGACTCTGTCTCAAAAATAAATAAATAAATAAATAAATAATAATAAAGATACCATGAGTGCTTGTTTACAAAACTATGATTTAAGAAGTGACTGCTCAGCCGGGTGCAGTGGCTCATGCCTATAATCCCAGCATTTTGAGAGGCCAAGGCAGGTGGATCTCCTGAGGTCAGGAGTTTGAGACCAGCCTGGCCAAAATGGCAAAATACTGTCTTTACCAAAAATACAAAAAATTAGCTGGGCATGCTGGCATGCACCTATAATCCCAGCTACTTGGGATGCTGAGGTGGGAGGATCGCTGGAGCCTGAGAGACAGAGGTTGCAGTGAACTGAGATCGCACCACTGCACTCCAGCCTGGGCAACAGAGCCAGACTCTGTCCTCCCTCTCCCCTCAAAAAAGAAGTGAATGCTCTGTATGTGTAGACTCATATATATATGTGTAGGTATAAGATTACCTGAGTAAAGAGGAAACATGGGAGGATACATCCCAGGTTCTCGGTGTGGATGGGTGACCTTGGGCAAATGGTGTTGACATAGGGGAAGGGAGGAGGAGAGGAAGATGGGGGGCTCAGCAAAACAAAAGGAAAGAAAAAAAAGCACTTTTTTTTTTTTACAAAGCATATATGTTACTATATTTAGGTAGTTAGGTAAAATTATGTATGAATGTGATTATGATAAAGATTACATTTTAAAGTATTTCCTTTAAAAAGAAACGGAAGGCTGAAATAAATTCCTGGGAATTGATGACTAAATGGTAAGCAATACGTCTTAGCTTTCCAAAGACCATATGATCAACAATTTTAGATGAAGATTTCTTCATAAGGATAAACAAAAGTGAGAGAAAGTAAAAAAGGAAGTATTTGCTCCCCTTCATTCTACGAATAACAAACTAATGGAATTGAAGCGTGACAAATACACCAACTACAGCTTTCAAGGTTCATGTGGTCTAAACATGGTTAATAATAGGAGTTTGAAACACACTGTAAGGGCTGGCCGCGGTGCCTTACGCCTGTAATCCCGGCACTTTGGGAGGCCAAGGGGGACCGATCACGAGGTCAGGAGTTGGAGACCAGCCTGACCAACATGATGAAACCACGTCTCTATTAAAAATACAAAAATTAGCCAGGCGTGGTGGCACACGCCTGTAATCCCAGCTACTTGGGAGGCTGAGGCAGGAGAATCACTTGAACCCAGGAGGTGGAGGTTGCAGTGAGCCGAGATTGTGCCATTGCACTCCAGCCTGGGCAACAGAATGAGACTCAGTTTCAAAAAATAAAAAAATAAAGAAACACACAGTAAGATAATTACTGCTTGCAGCAGAGCTACTTTTCTGATTATAGGCCAAATGGAAAAATAATATTACAATATTTATCATCCTTGAATGCCTGCTAAGATTGAGGGAACCACTATATTCTTTTGCATATGAGGCTATAAAATTTTTTAAAATAAAAATTTAATATATATATTTTTCCGTAGAGGTGGGGTTTCACTATGTTGCCCAGACTGGTCTCAAACTTCTGGGCTCAAGGGAGCCACCTGCCTCAGCCTCCCAAAGTGCTGAGATTACAGGCATGAGCCACTGCGCTCAGCCTACAAAATTTTTAACGTGGATTATGAAGGTTAGTTTAGGCTCAGGGATATACTAATAATTTTAAAGAATATTCTAATATACTAAACATTTTATTTTATTTATTTATTTATTTATTTATTTGAGACAAAGTCTCGCTCTGTCACCAGACTGGAGGGCAGTGGCGTGATCTCAGCCCACTGCAACCTCCGCCTCCCGGGTTCAAGCAATTCTCCTGCCTCAGCCTCCCGAGTAGTGGGATTACACGTGCATGCCACCACACCCAGCTAATTTTTGTATTTTTAGTAGAGACGAGGTTTCACCATGTTGGCCAGGATGGTCTCGATCTCTTGACCTCATGATCCACCCGCCTCGGCCTCCCAAATTGTTGGGATTACAGGCGTAACATGTTTTTAAATTTGTAGAACAAGCACCAAGTGAAACCAAAATATTTTCAAACAATGTAGACAGCTATATAAACAAAAAAATCTTGTAAATACAAAATAGTCATCAAAGTAACAAAAGTCATATCCATGCTGAACATTTGACTCCAGGTGTCTGCTTTGACTTGGATACAAACACATCACATTGCTAACATTCCCTTACTCCTTCTACAATGATAGGATTGCTTAGCTTCCTTTTCCCTTTTCTTTCTTTTCTTTTTTCTTTTTTTTTTTTTTTTTTGGAGACAGAGTCTCACTCTGTGGCCCAGGCTGGAGTGCAGTGGCATGATTTCGGCTCACTGCAACCTCCACCTCCTGGGTTCAAGCGATTCTCGTGCCACAGCCTCCCTAGAAGCTGCGATTAACAGGCACCTGCCACCATGCCCGGCGAATTTTTTGTATTTGTAGTAAAGATGGGGTTTCGTCATGTTGGCCAGGCTGGTCTCAAACTCCTGGCCTCAACAGAGCTGCCCACTTTGGCCTCCCAAAGTGCTGGGTTGGCAGGCGTGAGCCACCATGCCCAGCTAGCTTCCTTTTCATTCTGTTTTCAGTTTAATATTTGTACAAGTATTTAGCCGGGCGCGGTGGCTCACTCCTGTAATCCCAGCACTTTAGGAGGCAGAGGCAGGCGGATCATGAGGTCAGGAGTTCGAGGCCAACATTGGTGAAACACTCATGTCTGTAATCCGAGCACTTTGAGAGTCCAAGGCAGGAGGATCTCTTGAGCCTGGGAATTCAAGACCAGCCTGGGTAATGTAGTGCGACCCCGTCTCTGTTTTTAAAACAATTTAAAAAAGAAACATTCCAGGATAACTCTAATTTCCAAAAAAAAAAAAAAAAAAGAAAACTAAAACTTAAGAAACATCAAAAAATAAAAAATTTTTAAAAGATGAGTGGATAATTGGGGACAACAGGTGTGGATTTGTTGTGGTTTTTTGATTTGTTTTTTAGAGGGTCTTACTCTGTCACCCAGGCTGGAGTGCAATGGCATGATCATGGCTCACTGCAGCCTTTAACTCCTGGTCTCAAGTGATCCTCCCACCTCAGCCTACCAAGTAGCTGGGACTACAGGTGTGCAGCACCATGCACAGTGAATACTTTTTACTTTGTAGAGATGGGGTCTCCCTAATTGCCAGGTTGTTCTTGAACTCCTGGGCTCAAACAGCCCTTCTCCTTTGGCCTCCCAGAGCACTGCGATTATAGGCATGAGCCACTGAGCCCAGCCTGTTTTTGTTTTAAGACATTTTGCTGAGCAGAGAAATAGCAATTGCTGGAGAGAAATATGGCATATAGAAAATTTCAACAATGAAATTGAATATTTTGGAGCACTAGAGTAAAAAAGTGTGGTCTTATCCTTTGGGTAAGATGTTCTTAGATAATGTATTACCTACCCTAATCAAAAACACTTGTAAAAATATTCTTTCTTTTTTTTTTTTTTTTTTTTTTTTTTTTTTTTTTTTTGAGACAGAGTTTCGCTCCTGTTGCCTAGGCTGTAGTGCAATGGCACAATCTTGGCTCACTGCAACCTCCATCTCCTGGGCTCAAGCAATTCTCCTGCCTCAGCCTCCCGAGTAGCTGGGATTACAGGCACACACCACCATGCCCGGCTATTTTTTGTATTTTCAGTAGAGATGGGGTTTCACCATACTGACCAGGCTAGTCTCAAACTCCTGACCTCAGGTGATTCTCCCGCCTCGGCCTCCCAAAGTGCTGGGATTACAGGCGTGAGCCACTGCGCCCAGCTATTTATTTATTTTTTGAGGTGGAGTTTCACTCTGTTGCACAGGCTGGAGTACAGTGGCACAATATCTGCTCCCTGCAATCTTCAGCTCCCGGGTTCAAACAATTCTCACACTTCAGCCTCCCAAGTAGCTGGGACTACAGGCATGTGCCACCACTCCTGACTACTGTTTTGTATTTTTAGTAGAGACAGGGTTTCACTGTCTTGGCCAGCCTGGCCACAAGTGATCCGCCTGCCTTGGCCTCCCAAAGCACTGGGATTACAGGTGCTCTTGATGTTATTTTTAATTTGTTCCTCTATCTAACCCATTTCCTGTAAAGGGGTGGTTGGATCTAGAGATAAAATGAAATTTAGGATCAGCCTTGGGGGTGGGGCTGTATACTTCTTACTGTATCACAGGAGGCATGTGATGTCTGATTGTCCCACTTTTACTAATGATAAGACAGATTGATCTGTTACAAAAGTCTCCATCAATCTTTCCCCTGGTGTCTACAGGAGCCATGAATAATCACTGCTTAATTTTGTTACTTCATTAGAGTTACAAAATGGCAATTTCCTAATTCTGTTATTTCCTTTTGCATCTTTACCTGGAACTCTGCTTTAAATAGAACTTTCCCCCAGCAACCAGTTATCTGATCACCCTGAATACAATTTGCACAGGAAAAGCAGGATAAATGCTTGATTTTTTCCTTTCATTAGCCAGTTTTTAGAATAATGAATTTAGTGCCTTAGTGACCTTCAATGAATACCTGATATTTGGTGGTTGTTCTTGTTAGTTTTTATTTTATTTTATTTATTTTTATTTTGTGGAGACAGGGTCTCACTATGTTGCCCAGACTGGTCTACTAACTCCTGGGCTCAAGCAATCCTCCCACTTCAGTCTCCCAAAGTGCTGGGATTTGGGAGGCATGAGCCATTGACACCCAGCCCGTTCTTACTAGTTTTATATGATCTTAAGGAATTTTATACATTTAATGAGTTTTATTCCATTGTAATTATTCTTGTTATACTCAAATCGTCCCATCTTTTGCCAATGGGGGTCTTTTCATTTTGGCTTCTGTGTCCTATTAACATGACTCAGTAGTCATGGATTGCTTCTTTCCTTTCTAGAATGGCAAGGTTGAAGCAACCATGTCTCCAAGAATCCCTAATTCCTTGTAAGGGGAAAGGCTATTTAAGGGCTACAATTTGAAGAGTGAGATGCCATTGCTCTTGAATTCGTATTGATTTTAGTTTTCTAGGTCTCGGTGGATGACACATCTAGGAAATATATGCTCTTTAAAAGCAGAAAAAAATCATAAATTTGTATTAATATTTCCAATTCAGATTTAAGATTTCAGGCTTATACTTCTTTAAAATGAGACTTGTATCTCTCCTCTCTTTTACTGCCCAGGTTGGAGGGCAATGGCACAATCTCGGCTCACTGAAACCTCTGCCTCCCAGGTTCAAGCTATTCTCTTGCCTCAGCCTCCCAAGTAGCTGGGATTACAGGAGCGTGCCACCACGCCCAGCTAATTTTTTTCTGTATTTTTAGTAGAGACGGGGTTTCACTATGTTGGCCAGGATGGTCTCCATCTCTTGACCTTGTGATCCGCCCATCTTGGCCTCCCAAAGTGCTGGGATTACAGATGTGAGCCACCGCGCCCGGCCAAAAATCTTGATTCATAATAACATTAATGTAATTACTTATTTGCTTTATTCTAAAATATACACATAAAGGTATTAAAATAGCAATATTGTTATTACTAAACATAAGATTACCTGGGCGTGGTGGCTCATGTCTGTGATCCCAGTATTTTGGGAGGCTGAGGTGGGCAGATTACCTGAGGTCAGGAGTTAGAGACCAGTCTGGCAAACACTGGTGGAACCCCACCTGTACTAAAAATACAAAAATTAGCCAGGTGTGATGGCATGTGCCTGTAGTCCCAGCTACTTTGTAGGCTGAGGCAGGAGAATCAGTTGAACCCAGGAGGCAGAGGTTGCAGTGAGCCAAGATCGCACCACTGCACTCCAGCCTGGGTGACAGAAAGAGACTCCGACTCAAAGAAAAAGAAAGAAAGAAAAAAACATGAGATTATTGAATATAATTTAAGACTTCTTTGCTATTTGTTTTTGTCTTTAGGGTACACTGAGTAAATAATTGCAATCAGCTGGGCATGGTGGCTCGCTCCTGTAATCCCAGCACTTTGGAAGGTCAAGGCAGGAAGATTGCTTGAGGCCAGGTGTTTGAGACCGGCCTGAGCAACATAGCTAGACCACCCCCACCATCTCTACAAAAAGTAAAATTAGCCAGGTGAGATGGCACATGTCTATAGTCCCAGCTACCTGGGAGGTTGAGGCAGGAGGATCACTTGAGCCCAGGAGGTTGAGGCTGCTTGAGCCATGATTGGGCCACTGCATTCCAGCCTGAGTGACAGAGCGAGGCCCTGTCTCAAATAATAATAATTTCAATCAAATGTTATGTTTCAAGTTACTTGAAATAGGCTTCTTTTCTATATAGCTGTGATATTCATTTTAGATGTCGACTCAACTGGGTCAAGGAATACCCAGATAGCTGGTCAAGGAATACCCAGAAAGCATTATTTCTGGTTATGTCTGTGAGGGTGTTTCCGGAAGAGATTGGCATTTGAATCAGTGATTGAGTAAGGAAGAGCTACCTGATGTGGGCAGGCATCATCTAATTTGTTGAGGGCCTGGATAGAATAACAAGTCAGAGGAAAGTCTAATTCACTCTGTCTTCTGGAGCTGGGACACCCATTTTCTCCTGCCTTTGGACATATGAACTCTAGCTTCTCAGGCCTTCAGACTCTGGGACTTACACCAGGAGCCCACAGGTTCTCAGGCCTTCGGACTCAGACTGAATTATGCCACTGGCTTCCCTGGTTCTCCAGCTTGCAGATGGTATATCATGGGGCTTCTCAGCCTCCATAGTCATGTGAACCAGTTCCCCTAATACATCCCCTCTTATCTACCTATCTGGAAAATTCTGACTTATACAATGGCTATGTGAGGACCTTGATATACGTTTATATGCATTTTTGTTTCTTTTCAATTTTCTAGGAATGGCTTGTCTCTTCTCATATATTATTATTTTTCTTTGTAGAGATAGGGTCTTGCTGTGTTGCCCAGGCTGATCTTGAATTCCTGGTCTCAAGTGATCCTCCTGCCTCAGCCTCCTAAAGTGCTGGGATTACAGGCATGAGCCAGTGTATCCTGCTCATTCACTGTTCAACACACTCAATTTTTCCTTCACCCCATGAATCCAGCAAAACTGCTTTTGCTCAGGCCCCCAGTAGCCTCCTCATTGCCAAATTCAATGGAGTGAAGTGGTATGCCCTCGACTCACTGCAACCTCCGCCTCCTGGGTTCAAGCACTTCTCGTGCCTCAGCCTCCCAAGTAGCTGGGATTACAGGTGTGCACCACACACCTGGCTAATTTTTGTATTTTTAGTAGACATGGGGTTTCACCGTGTTGGCCAGGCTGGTTTTGAACTCCTGACCTGAGGTGATTGGCCTACCGGGGCCTTCCAAAGGGCTGGGATTACAAGCATGAGATAATGCGCCCGCCCTGCCCGGCTCATTCTTTTTTTTTTTTTTTTTTTTTTTTTTGAAACAAAGTCTTACTTTGTTACAGTAGGTAGCTGGTCAGGCATGAGCAGGGCAGGAGAGGGCTCCGCCCAACACACACAAATATCAGGAATATCAGGCAACCATCAGGTGATGATCAGGCAGTTGTTAACTGTCTTTCTAAAATAGTAATTGGTCACAGCCAGTGCCAGGGAAAGGCAGTGTCCTAATACATGGAAAACACATGAAATGTGATCAGTGGCTTCTTGAGAAGACCTCAGGGGTTGGGCAAGTGGGCTCAGGAATGTGCCTGCAGACAGCCCACCCCAAGGGATGAATCAGGGGAGAAGTAACAAGACCGCAGAAGCATGCCAGCGTATAAAACCCCAAGTCAAAAGGTCAAACCGCACACTTGTCTTTCAAGTCACACACTTGGTCCTCGTCCAAGTGTAGGTTCTTTCCCTCCTTTTATTCCTGCTCTAAAGCTTTTCAATAAACTTTCACTCCTGCTCTAAAACTTGCCTTGGTTTCTCCTTTTGCCTTAGGTCCCTCGGTTGAATTCTTTCTTCTGAGGAAGCAAGATTTGAGGTTGCTGCAGACCCCTACAAATTGGCCTTGTCTAACATATTTTGGTGCCATGTGACTCGGATACCTTCCACCAGTAACAACTCTGTTGTCCAAACTAGGGTGCAGTGGCGCAACCATGGCTCACTGCAGCCTTGACCTCCCAGGTTCAAGGGAGCGATCCTCCTACCTTAGCCTCCTGGGCAGCTAGGACTATAGGCACATGGCCCAATGCCTGGCTAATTTTTTGTATTATTTTATATATATATATATATATATATATATATATATATATATATATACACACATATATATATATATATATATATATATATGTATATGTATATTTTGTAGAGATGGGGGTTTCACCATGTTGCCCAGGCTGGTCTTGAACTTCTGGCCTCAAGCGATCCTTCTGCCTCAGCCTTCCAAAGTGCTGGGATCACAGGCATGAGCCACTGTGCCCGGCCTATTTTCCATGAGCCACTGTGCCCGGCCTATTTTCCATTCTGGTACACAATTCCATTTCCAATAAAAACTTAACCCAGATAATGTCACTTTTCTGCTACAGTCCTATTATCAAAAGTTAGAATTCCCTAACATGGCTACTAGGCCCTCCCTGATCTGCTGCTGTGTCTCTTTGACCTCATTTGTACCTCCCTTCCCCATCTCTCACTAAGCTTAATTACATGGGATGTGTTCACCAACAGCCCAAGCTCTATTCTCTCTCAATTTCTTTTCTTTTCTTTTCTTTTCTTTTCTTTTTTGTGAGATGAAGTTTTGCTCTTGTTGCCCAGAATGGAGTGCAATGGTGTGATCTCGGCTCACTGCAACCTCCGCCTCCCAGGTTCAAGCGATTCTTCTGCCTCAGCCTCCCGAGTAGCTGGGACTACAGGCGCCTGCCACCACGCCTGGCTAATTTTTTTGTATTTTTAATAGAGATGGGGTTTTGCCATGTTGGCCAGGCTGGTCTTGAACGCCTGACCTCAGGTGATCCGCCCGCCTGGCCTCCCAAAGTGCTGGGATTACAGGCGTGAGCCACCACCCCCGGCCCTCAATTTCTTTCTTTTTTTTTTTTCCTCAATTTCTTACATACACTCTTCTGTCTGGCCTTTCCCTACCTCTTGTCATTCTTGTGCTCTGAGCTTAAATGTCTCTTGCTCAGAAAAGACCTTCCTTGTCCATCCCTCTCCTCTGGTTTTACGAAGGTAGTCACTGGATACCTTACGATGGTTGGTCCATGTATTAAATATATGAGTATGCTTGTTTAGGCTTCATCTCCCCCATTAGACTGTAAACATCTTGGGAGTAGGAGCCATTTTGGTCTTGCTCATTGGCACAATGCCTGGCATGTAGTAGGCACTCAATATGTGTTGGCTGTTTAATAAGTTTGAGAAGTTTGATTCTAAGTACAATCATCCACATCAGACTTCTCTACAAATTGTATATTCAGTGGGCATCAGCTCTGCCCAGTGAAAGAAAGCAAACCCGGAATGCAGTGCTTGTGACTTAGTACAGGCTCAGTAAGGGACAGCTGTATTAATTGGGATAATGGCAGGGGAGGGATATACACAAACTTCCTTATTTCTTACAGACTTTTCACTTAGTCCCCTTGTTTAGTTGCATGGCTTCCTATGACCTTATTTTATTTATTTTTATTTTATTTTATTGATTCATTTTTTTTTGAGACAGAGTCTCGCTTTGTCACCCAGGCTGGAGTGCACTGGTGCAATCTCGGCTCACTGCAACCTCTGCCTCCCAAATTCAGGTGATTCTCCTGCCTCAGCCTCCTGAGTAGCTGGGACTACAGGCGCATGCCACCATGCCCGGCTAGTTTTTGTATTTTCAGTAGAGACGGGGTTTCACCATGTTGGCCAGGATGGTCTCGATCTCCTGACCTCGTGATCCACCCGCCTCAGCCTCCCAAGGTGCTGAGATTACAGGTGTGAACAACTGCGCCCTGCCCCCTGTGACTTTAGAAACAAAAATAGCATGACTTCAAGTCTTTCATATACACTTTTTTATGTACTCTTCTTAATCACACTCTGAGGCAGTTACTATATCTCCATTTTACAGAGGAGAAAAAGGAGGCTTAGAGAGATTAAGGAACTAGGCTGAGGTCTCCTGGCTAATTAGAGGCAGAGCTGGGTTTAAAACCCATTCTTTGAATTCCAGGGCTAGCTTTGTTTATTCCACACTACAAATTAATCTCATAATGAGGCGTAGAAGGGAAAGATCCCATGTTTTCCCAAACACAGCCACATTTCATCACTGACTCTTGTCAGTGAACCTTTTGTTCCTCAAATACTAGGAACAAAAATCATTCATTTGGAACTGTTCTTTCTTCCTCTGTACGTGCTTCGTGCATTTCTCTTTGTAAACAAGACTTTAAATAAATTACTTCTAGGCCAGGAGCAAGGGCTTATGCCTGTAATCCCAGCAATCTGGGAGTCCAAGGCAGGAGCATCACTTGAGGCCAGGAGTTTGACACCAGCCTGGGCAAAAAATCGAGACCCCCATCTCTACTAAAAAATAATAATAAGAAGAAAACCAAAGAAATTACTTCTAATTGTTTTATTCTATAGGCACATCTCACTTAAACTTATTTACATGCAGATCTTAGTGTTTTAAAGTCTATAAATTAAGTAAAAAACTCCTTAAGTCTCATTTTAGAGAGGTTTTAGTTGTAAAAAGGCTCGACATAGACTTCTTTAGATAATGAAAACCCCTGGCATGTTTCAGGCAATTATTCAATTCAATGTGCACAGCTTCCAGAACACAGAATGCAGAGATGCCCAGAATTAATGGTCTGGCAGCAAGTCTGTTTCTCATGTTTTCCAATCTGAATGTATAAATTTTTAATCTTACAAACCTGTAATGAATGTGTTGGATTACTGTCTTTGCTCTATTGTCAGCATATAAAGAGACTCAGCTTCTTGGCAGAATGATTAAGTTAAGGATATTGCATTCTAACCACAAGGAAACACAGATCTCCTCCTTGTCAGCATTCTTCCTTCCAAAAAGGTTGCTTAAAGTGGTGCTTAAAAGATAATTCTATCCTAAAACACAGTGACTTAGGAAAAAAAAAAAGAGAGAAATAAATAAAGATAATTCTAGCTTACTAAATTTAGGGTGTGGAAAAAGTCCAAAATGAGAATATTCACTGGGTAATTGTGCAAGGAATGTTAATATGTGTGATAAAGGGAGGGTATTCTACCCACCTGATGCTTGCCTCTGCACCCTCCCCCCCACTTCCGTTTTGCCTTGACATACAACATACAATTTATCAAGGTTAAAAGTTAAATGAGGGCCAGGCGTGGTGACTCATCCTGGTAATCCCAGCACTTTGGGAGGCCGAGGCAGGTGAACTGCTTGAGCCCAGCCTGGGCAACATGGCAAGACCCTGTCTCGATAAAAAATATAAAAAAATTAGCTGGCTGTGGTGGTACAAACCTGTAGTCCCAGCTACTTGGGAGGCTGAGGTGCGAGGATCACCTGAGCCCAGAAGGTCGAGGCTGCAGTGAGCCATGACTGTGCCACTGCACTCCAGAGCCTCGGTGACAGAGTGAGACCCTATGTTACTCTGTTCTCATGCTGCTATGAAGAATAACCCGAGACTGGGTTATTTATAAAGGAAAGAGGTTTAATTGACTCACAGTTCTGCATTGCTGGGGAGGCCTCAGGAAACTTACAATCATGGCAGGAGGCAAAGGAAAAGCAGGCACCTTCTTCACAGGACAGCAGGACGGACAGAGTGAGTGCAAGCACGGGAAATGCCAGACGCTTAAACAACCATCAGATCTCGTGAGACTCACTATCATGAGAACAGCATGGGGGAACCACCCCCATGATCCAATTACCTCCACTTGGTCCTGCCCTTGACACACGGGGATTATGGGGATTATAGGGGTTACAATTTAAGATGAGATTTTAGGTGGGGGAGCAGCCAAACCATATCAGATCATGTCTCAACGAAAAAAAAAAAAGAAAGAAAGAAAAGCTAAGTGAGGCAGTCAACTCTTTGTCACTGCCACCACATTTTAAATATGAAATAGGCTGTGTGCGGTGGCTCATGGCTATAATCCCAGCACTTTGGGAGGCCAAGATGGGTGGATCACCTGAAGTCAGGAGTTCGAGACCAGCCTGGCCAACATGATGAAACCCTGTCTCTACTAAAAATACAAAAATCAGCTGGGTGTGGTGGCAGGCGCCTGTAATGCCAGCTACTCGTGAGGCTGTGGTAGGAGAATTGCTTGAATCCAAGAAGCGGAGGTTGCAGTGAGCTGAGATCATGCCATTGTACTCCAGCCTGGGTGACAAGAGTGAAACTCTGTCCCTGCCATACCAAATAAATAAATAAATACATAAATATGAAGTGATTTCATATCTGAGTTATTCCTTTTTTTTTTTTTTTTGGGACAGGGTCTCACTCTTTTGCCCAGGCTGGAGTGCAGTGGTGTGATCATAGCTCACTTGTAGGCTCAACCTCCTGAGCTCAATCAGTTCTCCCATCTCAGCCTCCTGTGTAGCTGGGTCCATGGGCCCACCACACCCAGCTCACCTTTGTTTAAATTTTTTGCAGGCATGGGGGTCTCACTATGTTGCTCAGGCTGGTCTCAAACTCCTGGGCTCAAGTGATCCTCCCACCTTGGCCTCCCAAAATGCTGGGATTACAGTCGGGAGCCACCACACCCACCCATATAGCTGAGTTATTCCTGAAACCACCCTGAAGTCAGAGCTACTCTTCAAAAATCTGTCAGCAAGTTCTCTGCTCATCTTCATATTCAAGGCAGATTTCTAGTCATCCTCAGTTAACTCACAAAAAGAGAAGCTAGCAGCACAAGTTAATATAAGAAGCTTACTGGTATCTGCTTTGAAATGCATTTTTTTTTTTTTTTGTGACAGGGTCTCACACTGTCACCCAGTGTCTGTGCCTTTGACACTTCAGTAAGCTTCCTGCACTTGACATTAGGCACGAAGGGTGACAGATAGGGGCGGGGCCAGAAAAGGTGCCCAGGAGACCAGCAGCTTAGTGGTTAAATGGTGTGTACAGAAGGATGGCTGGGTAGTGTTGATCTGTGTGACTCTGAGGTACATGAATATTTATGGAAAGAAAGACAGCATTGCAGACAGGGTATGGATTTCCCATGATCTCAGAAGGATGGTAGCTCAGCATCAATTTAATGGGAGGAAAACTGTAATTTCTAGAATATCTGAGTTTGCAATGGAGATTCATGCTTACAACATAATACTGATGACCACCAACTTGCTTGTCTCTTGGTCTTTGTCCCTCCAGATTTAAAAATACTCTTTCAATTTCTTCCTCATGGCAGCATATATATATATATATATATGCTGGGGTCTCACTATAGTGCCCAGACTGGTCTCAAACTCCTGGGCTCAAGCGATCCTCCTGTCTCAGCCTCCCAAAGTGCTGGGATTGTAGGTGTAAACCACTGTACCTGGCCCCTCATGGCACTTTTTACAGCCTCCCTATTTTTCTGCAGATGTAAAATGAGAGTAAAGGAATCCAATAGAAATTTGGTCAGTATTGAAGGCAGAAAGGACTTCTCGGCATGTTATAATTGTGCTATTGCATTTTGGATTCATTTTGACTTTTTTCTGCCTTATGACCAACTTGACATCCACTATGCTTTCAAATCAATTTCTCCTACACTTAAGAAAATCTAGTTTTTTCTTCATTTAGGTTGGTATTTGATGGCCGCCTTCACATTGCATCAAAGTCGCCATGGATTCTATTCCTGTCTTTGAGGATATCAGCATCATCTTGAGAAATAATAGACATATATAAGTAAACATTCAGAAACTCAGAGCTGGTTGCTGTGGGGGCTTAAACCCACATTTGGGTTAAACCATTTGGGTGTACTCTTAGTAATCTGTGTATCCTTTGAACTATTCATGACTATCGTAGCCCATCAGGAGGGGTTTTGCAATGGCTTGGCATTCTCAGCCATGATAGAGACTAGACTGCGATGAAAGGTGAAAAAAAGAGGAAAGAAAGGAAGAGGGAGAAAAAATGAATGGGAGAGGAGACGAGATTGATAAGAAAGAAGTTCTGATCCCAGTGTGCAATGGCTGCAAACAGCAGCTTTCTTGGTGGTGTACATGGCCTGTTTCTTGTATGGGTTGCTCTAAGGGTCCTTGGAGACAGGCCTTTCAAATGTACGTTCATGTCTCTGACCTTGCACTACCCCCGATGTAGGCTCGAAACAGGCATTCAAGGTGCCTTTGGAAAGCCCCAGGGCACTGTGGCCAGGGTTCACATTGGCCAAGTTAAGTCCATCTGCACCAAGCTGCAGAACAAGGAGCATGTGATTGAGGCGCCATGCAGGGCCAAGTTCAAGTTCCCTGGCCACCAGAAGATCCACATCTCCAAGAAGTGGGGCTTTACCAAGTTCAATGTGGATGAATGAGAAGACATAGTGGCTGAGAAGCAGCTCATCCCAGATAGCTGCAGGGTCAAGTACATCCCCAGTCATGGCCCTCTGGACAAGTGGCAGGTCCGGCACTGGTGAGGGCTTCCACTGTGCTGCTCCCCACCCCCTACCTTTTTTTTTTTTTTTTTTTTTGAGACAGAGCCTTGCTGTGTTGTCCAGGCTGGAATGCAATGGCGCAGTCTCGGTTCACTGCAACCCCCGCCTCCCGGGTTCAAGCAATTCTCCTGCCTCAGCCTCCCAAGCAGCTGGGATTACAGGCGCCTGCCACCACACCCAGCTAATTTTTTGTATTTTTAGTAGAGATGGGGTTTCACTATGTTGGCCAGGCTGGTCTTCAACTCCTGACCTCGTGATCCGCCCGTGTCGGCCTCCCAAAGTGCTGGGATTACAGGTGTGAGCCACTGCACCCGGCCTCTGCCCCATCTTAATACCCACCAATAAATGCTACTTCCTGTCCAGGTAAAAAAAAAAGAAAAAAGAAAAAGAAAGAAAGAAGTGCTGATGTTTAGCACCAGAGAGGTGCCGAAGATGGGAAAGTGTGCTCAGTAGTCATCAAAAACATCTTCTAGTCCTCCTGGCGCTCTCCCTCCTCTACAGAGCACATGCCCTGGTTTCTTTTCTTTTTCTTTCTTTTCTTTTGAGATGGAGTCTCACCCTGTCTCCCAGGCTGGAGTGCAGTGGCGCGATCTTGGCTCACTGCAACCTCTGCCTCCCAGGTTCAAACGATTCTCTTGCCTCAGCCTCCCAAGTAGCTGGGATTACAGACACCCACCACCACGCCCAGCTAATTTTTGTATTTTTAGTACAGACGGGGTTTCACCATGTTGGCCAGGCTGGTCTTGAACTCCTGACCTTGTGATCCACCTGCCTCGGCCTCCCAAAGTGCTGGGATTACAGGTGTGAGCCACTGTGCCCAGCCTGCCCTGGTTTCTTACTGAGACTTTCACATGGGAACAGAATAGGAAGTCGTGCCCATGTACAAAAGTGACATTGGTCAGGTCCTCCTTGCTTCCCTGGCTGACTAGTTTATTAGAAAAGGAATTAAATGGGCATGATTTTAAAAATAAGATAGGTAGGAATCCAGTGCTGACTGGGGTGTCGTAAACAGCTTGATTTTTTTTCTGTGAATGGCACTGGCCACACATGCCTGCATTACTGGTCAGTCTGTCCTTGTCTCTAATTTGATCACATCTGTCCCTCTGAACCTGTGCATATGGCTTCAACAGAAGACTCCCTCTGAGTGAGTCAAGAGCATGCAGGATATTACTCTGACACCCACAAAGATAGAAGAGGGTGGTAGAATGGAAGGCAGAGGTTGCGTCCTACCTTAGTGGGGAAAATATGCAAAACTGGGGAAACATAAGAACCCCAGGTGAGAATGGGAAAAGCCCTGTTGAGGGATGGGTGGCAGAAGTAAGAACTGATGGGAGGGGCCGGGCACAGTGGCTCACGCCTGTAATCCCAGCACTTTGGGAGGCCGAAGCAGGTGGATCACTTGAGGTCAGGAGGTGGAGACCAGCCTGGCCAACATGGTGAAACCCCATCTCTACTGAAAATACAAAAATTAGCTGGGCATGGTAGTGAGTGCCTGTAATTTCAGCTACTTGGGAGGCTGAGGCAGGAGAACTGCTTGAACCTGAGAGGCAGAGGTTGCAGTGAGCCGAGATCATGCCACTGCACTCCAGCCTGGGTGACACAGCCAGGCCCTGTCTTTAAATAAAAACAAAAACAAAAAACTGATGGGAGGGAATAAGGAGGAATGGGAGGGCACAGTCCTTGAAGAGACCCATTGTTTCAGTCTATCAGTCAGGAGTTTTCATATTCTCATCCACGCTCCAATTACTCATTTCATAAATGCTTCTTCAACATAGATTCCTTATTAGCTCAGTGTGGCTATGGGTGCCTGTAATCCCAGCTACTTGGGAGGCTAGGGCAGGAGAATCGCTTGAACCCAGGAGGCGGGGGATGCAGTGAGCGGAGACGGCGCCATTGCACTCCAGCTGGGCAACAAGAACGAAACTCCATCTCAAAAAAAAAAAAAATAAAGAAACAAACAAACAAACAAACAAACACAGATTTCTTTAAAAGAAGTAATCCACTGTGGAGTTAAAAAAACAACAAACGGCCGGGTGCGGTGGCTCACACCTGTAATCCCAGCACTTTGGGAGGCCAAGACGGGTGGATCATGAGGTCAGGAGATCGAGACCATCCTGGCTAACACGGTGAAACCCTATCTGTGCTAAAAATACAAAAAACTAGCCGGGCGTGGTGGCGGGCAACTATAGTCTCAGCTACTTGGGAGGCTGAGGCAGGAGAATGGCGTGAACCCAGGAAGCGGAGCTTGCAGTGAGCCGAGATCGCGCCACTGCACTCCACCCTGGGCGACGAAGTGAGACACCATCTCAAAAAAAAAAAAATCTCATGGAAGTAGAGAGTAGAATGATAGATACCAGAGGCTGGGAAGGGTATGTGGGGGGAGTGTAAAGAGGGGTTGATTAATGGAGAGAAACATGTAGTTAGAAGGAATAAGTCCTAATATTCCACAGGAGAGTAGGATGATTCAAGTTAGCAACAATATATTGTATATTTCAAAACAGCTAGAAGAGAGGACTTGAAATGTTTCCATACATTGAAGTGGTAAATACTCGAGGTGATGGATACCCTAAATACCCTGGCTTGATCATTACACATTCCGTACATGCAACATATATCACATGTACCCCCAAAACACTTACAAATAGCACAAAAAGAAAACTCACACCCCATGGCCCTAGATAATGACAAGCACACAAATCACTTGACAATTTTCTGGGGTTTTTGTCTTCCCGGATTGCATCAGTCCAGGCATTAATAGCACCTGCCGCTTTCTTATCTTTGCAGAGAGCAATCTGCTTCTGAAGCTACATGTGGCAGCAAACTTAGATCCATACAACCTGGGTTTGTGCCTTGACTCTGATGCTTATTATCTGTGTAGTCACAAGTAAGCTGTTGCTTTTCTCAACATTCTTTCCTAATCCGAAACTCAGAGGGATATATATGGCAGTGGGGGCGGGGCAGGGGGAAGCAGGAAATGCATTTTGTGAAACAACTTGGTGGGTAAATGCTTATTATCTTTGACTGATTGGTGTTTGTTTGCCACAGATAAGATCATTGAAGTTGGAATTCTGGTACCTATGATTATCACCCAGCTTTCTTCAGTTTTTACCTTTTTATTTTTATTTATTTATTTATTTACTTTGAGACTGCATGCAGTGGTGCAATCTTGGCTCACTGGAACCTCGGCTTCCCGGGTTCAAGCGATTCTCCTGCGTCAGCCTCCCCAGTAGCTGGGATTACATGCACCCGCCACCATGTCTGGCTAATTTTTTATTTTTAGTAGAGATAGGGTTTCACCATGTTGGCAGGCTGGTCTCAAACTTCTGACCTCAAGTGATCTAACTGCCTCGGCCTCCCAAAGTGCTAGAATTACAGGCGTGAGCCACCGCGCTTGGCCCAGTTTTTCACCCATTGAAACACATTCAGGGTACAAATTATCCTTCAGTAATGAGAATAGAGCTAAGTACACTGTAGCTGCCCATGGCCATCACATGAACAGAGAGGAAAATTATGTGCTTAGCTCCCAAATGGTGCCCCAATTTTTTTTTCTTTTTGAGACAGAGCCTCACTCTGTCTCCCAGGCTAGAGTGCAGTGGTGCGAATTTGAATCACTGCAACCTCCGCCTCCCAGATTCAAGCGATTCTCCTGCCTCACCCTCCTGAGTAACTGGGATTACAGGCACCCGCCACCACGCCTAACTAATTTTTTGTATTTTAAGTAGAGACAGGGTTTTGCCGTGTTGGCTAGGCTGGTCTCGAACCCCTGACCTCATGATCCTCTCACCTCGGCCTCCTAAAGTGCTGGGACTACAGGCCTGAGCCACTGCTCCTGGCCCAGTGGTGCCCAAATTTTTAAAAAGCCCAACCTAAAGAAACTTCAGAATTCTCACTCTATCAAGTCCCAAGTGTCTGGCCCCACCCAAGACTTCTCTTCTCCAGCCTTCGCCCACCTCAACTTTATTCTCTACAGTTTGCATTCTCTGGTACCCAACAGGCTGTTATCCTGTGTGAGTTTGCCCACACTGCTCTCGAGACTCAGATGTCATATCCCGGCAGGTACCCTCGCAGTTTTCAGAGCAGTGGTGCTAAGGGTCTCTCTGCCATACCAGCCTGCTCACCTAAAATACACTGCTTACACTGTTTTATGAGGCAGGAGTTATCCTATCTCAGCACCTGGCCCAGGTAGTAGGTTCTTTAGAAACACTGAACTGAGTCACAAGACAACGCTAATGACTACAAGTTGATTCATGATTATTTAACTTGTTTTCAGCTGCTGCCAAGTCATATCTGATCAGCTAAACAATATCCAGTTTTCCCTTCTCGGTGCTCCATCATGGCATTCTACCTAACTGTATGGAAGCACTAGAAATAATACAAGGAAGTTTTTCCCCTGTCCTCTTGACTTCAGGACATTGATTTTCAAATTTGTGAACACAGACAATTTAGTGCTAATATTTTAATCAAAATTGGCTGGGCATGGTGGCTTATGACTGTAATCCCAGCACTTTGGGAGGCTGAGGTGGGCAGATCACCTGAGGTTCAGGAGTTAGAGACCTGCCTGGCCAAAATGGTGAAACCCCGTGTCTACTAAAAATGCAAAAATTAGCCGGGCATGGAGTCCTAGCTACTCAGGAGGCTGAGGCAGGAGGATCACTTGAACCTGGGAGGTGGGGGTTGCAGTGAGCCAAGATCGCAACACCACACTCCACCCTGCGTGACATAGTAAGACTGTCTCAAAAAAAAAAGAATAAAATTCAATCAGAATTATGCTAATCTGATGAATTCAACACCAATAAATTTTCCTTAAGAGGAAGGGGAGACGGTTGAGGCAGGAAAGTTGAAGCCAACCTACTGATCATACTTTCCCCATCTGATCCCAGCAATGCATCTACCATGAGGCTGCAGCAGGAGCTGGAGGGAAGGCTCTGTGTTTTGCTTAGGAAACACATTTTATTTCCCACATTAAAGCAAGCTGAGGGTTGCTGGGAGATGATGCGGTACCCCCAACAAAGAAAGGATCAGGCTCCATAGGGTTGGCAGCAGCAAGCTGGAGCTGGTGGCTTCAAGGAAGAGCAGGGGTTACCTCTCAGTGAGGGAAAAATAGGTGGTAAGAACAGGTGTACCCTTGGGCAAAGAACTCCATCAAGACAGGTATCAACAACTGCACCAGGACTGCCAGGTGCCCCAGCTGCACCTCGGGACTGCCCAGCATGAGCACACACTGTGCTGACAGCCTCCATGGTGCAACAACAGGGGTGAGAAGGCATCGCACCTACCTGTGGGGCCTGGAACCTCTGGGTGTATGGGCATCTCCTGCTTACCTATGACACCAGAACAGTATACTTATTCAGCAAACGCTCTTGTTCAACACATAGGGGCAGTATAGGCCCAGCTGCTCCATGCTTATTATGGTCACGAAAATCATTCCCAACATTTTTACTTTTTTTTTGAGAGAGAGTCTCACTGTGGCTGAGGCTGGAGTGCAGTGGTGCAATCTTGGCTCAGTGCAACCTCCGCCTCTCAGGTTCAAGTGATTCTTGTGCCTCAGCCTCCAAAGTAGCTGGGGTTACAGGGGTGCGCCACCATGCCCAGCTAATTTTCCTATTTTTAGTAGAGACATGGTTTTGCCATGTTGGCTAGGCTGGTCTCAAACTCCTGATCTCAAGTGATCTGCCTGCCTCGGCCTCCCCAAGTGCTGGTATTACAGGCCATTCCCAACACTCTTAATGCACTTTGCATGCCCCCTGCTGACTCAGTGCTTCCTTGGGACATGGACAGAACAAAGCTGGAGGGCATGGATGCAAGGTCTGAGTGCACATAGGACCATAAAGCATCACCATGCAACATTGCTAGAGGTGGCAGCAATTGTCAGCAATTGCAGCTACTAGCTAAGAAAAAATAAGAGGCCTGGGCTCAGTGGCTCACCCCTGTAATCCTAACACTTTGGGAGGCTGAGGTGGGCAGATCACTTGAGCCCAGGCATTTGAGGCCAGCCTGGGCAACATAGTGAGACCCCATCTTTACAAAAAATACAAAACCCAGCTGGGCATGGTGGTGTGTGCCTGTGGTCCTAGCTGCTTGGAGGTTGAGGTGGGAGGATTGCTTGAGCCCAGGAGTTTGAGGCCACAGTGAACCATGATTGTGCCACTGCACTCCAGTGACACTGGGTGACAGAGTGAAATCTTGCCTCAAAAATTAAAAAAAAAAAAAAAAAAAAAAGGGGGTGGGCACGGTGGCTCACGCCTGTAATCCCAGCACTTTGGGAGGCCAAGGCAGATGGATCACTTGATGCCAGAAGTTCAAGACCAGCCTGGCCAACATGGTAAAACCCTGTCTCTACTATACACAAATAATTAGCTGGGTGTGGTATCACATGCCTGTAGTCCCAGCTATTCATGAGGCTAAGGCAGGAGAATCACTTGAAGCCAGGAGGTGGAGGTTGCAGTGAGCCAGAATTGCACCACTGCTCTCCAGAGACTCTGTCACCACAAAACAAACAAAAAAAGAGAGATCAGAGCCTCTATGGTAGCAACCTCTATGGTATAACTAAAAGGTAGACCTTTTTAGTTGTGACTAGTTGTGTTAAGGGCACTGACAATTGCTTAAATTACAAGTAGAATTCTTAGTTTCAAGTCTTAGTCGACGGAATGCTGTGATTGAAAATACCAACTTCCTTTAAAAATATGCTAGAAATCAGACGGAGCCTGGTTTAGCAAGGTCTTAATGTACCTTGTGTTAATCCTAACATATATTGTTCAGGTAATAACCTAAGATCGATTTTTGTTCCTAAGGATTAGGAACTTTTAGGCTGAGCGCAGTGGCTCACATCTGTAATCCTAGCACTCTGGTGGCTGAGGTGGGAGGATTGCTTGAGCCAAGGAGTTAAAGACCAGCCTGGGCAACATAGGGAGATCTAGTCTCTACAAAAAATTTTAGAAAATTAGCCAGGCACACGCCTGTGGTCCCAGCTATTCGGGAGGTTAGGTGGGAGAATCACTTGAGCCGGGGAGGTTGCAGTGATCTGTGATCATGCCACTATGCTCCAGCCTTGATGACAGAGTGAGACCCTGCCTCAGAAAGATAAAAGTAAAGACATTTAAAAAGGATCAGGAACGTGTGTGTGTGTGTATGCGTGTGTGTTTGATTTGGGTATGGAAAAGTGAGAAGAGGCAGTTTGAGAACTTTTTTCCCTCTACTGGCAGAAAAGGGCCAGGCAGCCACAACCACAAGCAAAAGTAGGTTAGAGAAACTTGTTATTAAATTTATTTTTCTTTAAATATGTAACTTTCTCCCACCCTCACCCACTCCAGGGAGGAACAGAAAATCCCCACCCCCTTCCATTCTGGAGATTTCGTATCTAAAGCCTGAGAGGCGAGGATGAAGTATAAAAATACTATTTACAAAGGGAAGGAGGTATCTGTTGCTTAACCGTAGACACCCCCATCCCCACACCCCTTTTGATCAAAAAAAAAAAAAAAAAAAAAAAAAAGGCCCCTGGGAATCAATTTAAGTATAGAACTAGCCCTCCTCTAGAGGGGCCCACAAACCTCAACATGGAATAGGAAGCTCCGAGATTAACTGAGGAAGAGACTGAATGGATAGCACCGTGGGTCCTGGCAGGGGAAGGGCCCTCTCTTACTCTGGAGTCAGCTGGCGCCCGCCAGCCTTTGTTTCCATAGGTCCCATGTAAACACTGACATTTTCCTTTATGTCCCTGCTCTTCTGTTTCATACAGAGCCTCCCTCGCCTCCCGTGGAGGCGCTTGGTTCCTTGATCTTTCCTTCCTTCCCTTCTAACCTTACTCCGGAAGGAGTGGGAAGGGGAGGGAAGGTTGTAGAGAGGTAAGAGCCCGTCTCATCCCTTCTGGGTCAAGGCAGCTCATCCTCCTAATGGGAGCCTTGAAAGAGGACTTTCTCCATGTTCTTGATCGGGGTGGACACCTTCCCCCAGAACAGGGACAAGGCAGGTAGATAGTCCAGTACCAGGAGACAGTGGTCTTGATGGGTGAGGCCACCAGCATGGAGTAGCAGGGAAGAAGGCTTCAGGAGGCAGGAAGTGGGGGCACATCTGGCACTGGTCTTGCACTGAGGGTAGAAGCCCAGTCCTAGACCACCCTTCTCATCACTGGGAAAGTGATCGTCATCACCCTACAGTCCTGTTGGTTGGAGCTGTGCAGAGGGACCAGACATCCATGAGGCAAGAGGTCTTCTCCAGGTCTCGGTGTAGCGGCAGCACTCACACCAGCTCATCCAATAGAATCCCAATGTTCTGCGTGGCCTCTGAGGGACTAGCAATGGGCTTGTTACACATGGGGCAGACACAGCGAACTTCCAGCCATTTCACCAGACACCTGAGAACAAATGAGGAATGGTAATCTCTAACCAGACAGACCACGCTGCTCCAGTTGTCTCTCAAAACAAGAATATCCCGTGGTGGCTCACAACTGTAATCCCAGCACTTTGGGAGGCTGAGGCAGGTGGATCACCTGAGGTCAGGAGTTCGAGACCAGCCTGGCCAACATGGTGAAACCCCATCTATACTAAAAATACAAAAATTAGCCAGGCATGGCGGTGGACACCTGTAATCCCAGCTACTTGGGAGGCTGAGGCAGGAGAATCGCTTGAACCTGGGAGGCAGAGGTTGCAGTGAGCTGAGATCGCACCATTGCACTCCAGCCTAGGCAACAAAAGCAAAACTCCAACTCAAAAAAAAAAGAAGAATATCCCTACCCCTGTCCCAACCTAATCCCTCTGGGCTTTGCTCGGTGTTCACGTAGGACCTGGGGCATCACGGATAAGGGGCAAATAGAAAGTGGCAGAGACTGGAAGTTTCCAGAAGATGCTCCCTGATTATTTCTCCTTCGACGGGCACCCTGGACACATTCCCACGTACTTGCGGTGAAAGGCGTGTTGGCACGGGAGCACGCCTAACTCATCCTTCCCCTTGAAGTCTTCCAGACAGACTGCGCAGGTCTGCTGCAGAGAGAAAAGAGCAGGTGTGTGAGGAACTGGGGAACCATCTCACTCATTCAACCCCAGACAAGAAAACTAAGCTCTAGCCTAGTCTGTTCTACCAGGCAGAGAAACTTTTTAGCCATCCTTTACAAAACTATATTGATGGCATGGTAGTCATTAACCATATGTGGCTGTTTAAATTTAAATTAACCAAAATTAGATGAAATTATAAATTCAGTCCCTAGTTACACTCACCACATTTCAAGTGCTCAACAGCCACATGGTTTCCATATTGAATGGCATGGATATAGAACATTCCTATTATCACAGAAGTTTCCACTGCACTGGAAATTACTGTCCTAGAAGAATGGTTTTCAATCCTTTCTTGCCCAATACATTTGGTGATGTGGCACTTAATACCAACTAGAGGTAGGATGAGGGCATGGTATATGTGATCAGTTATGTTTTTTTTTTTTTTTGAGATGGAGTTTCACTCTTGTTGCCCAGGCTGGAGTGCAATGGTGCAATCTTGGCTCACTGCAACCTGCACCTCCCAGATTCAAGCAATTCTCCTGCCTCAGCCTCCCAAGTAACTGGGATTACAGGAATGTGCCACCACACCCAGCTAATTTTGTATTTTTTGTATAGATGGGGTTTCACCATGTTGGTCAGGCTGGTCTCGAACTCCTGACCTCAGGTGAGCCACCCACCTCGGCCTCCCAAAGTTCTGGGATTACAGGCATGAGCCACCGCACCTGGCCCAGTTACATTCTTTAAATCCAGACTTCCCACATCCCTACATATTAACTCCCTTGATCTCAGTTGAATTATTCTCTGAGAGAAAGGCTTGGGAAACATCAGCACTTGCAGAGGTGTAATAGACAAAATGAGGCCACGTCTAGGCAGTCTCATGTTTAGTGGAACTGTGATCCGCTCTGCTCCCAGACAACCACAAACATGCTCTGAGTAGGAGTGTCTGTGGTCATGAACAGGAGCCTTGGGAAATGGGTTAGGTGACCTTAGAGGCATAGGTAGGAAAGGAATAGGATATGACTAATTCCTCAAGTCAGAGTTGAGGGGACTCAAGGAACTGGTGTATGGGTGGGAGTGGGGTGGGAGAGAAATGGCAGAGCCACAGGAATGAACACACTAGTCAGATCTAGTCTGTTAAGATGGGGTATATACAAAAGTAAAAGGACCTCATTTCCTATGATAACAACCAGGATGTAGGGGCTGAACATAGGGAAAGTTAGCTGAATTCTGTCTATGGCATGAAAGGGTACGACCATCCTCCTGGTAAAAATTATGTATTGTGGGACTCCTGGGGCTGTGGGGCACTACTTATCTAAACCCTTCTGTGATCCCTTCATGTCTTCTGCCTGAGGCTGTTCCAGGTGTAATCAATTCCACATATTAATTACTTGCTGAGATGTGTCTCCATTATTTGGCCAAAGGAGATATGAAGGCATGGACTAAGCAGTTTTCTGAAAAGCGTCCAGGCAGAGAACTGGAGCAAGGTGCTGTCTGCCTCACCTGCTGGGGCCCTCCTGCACACTTTCCTGGCACACTTACCCCATATAATTGTAACTTCTTGGCATCACCTTTAAGCACCACCTGAAAAGAAAGAGGAGGCATGATGTCCAAAGAAGAACCAACCACTGGGGCCAGCCAGGTAGTATCAACCAATGAAGGGAGTCCCCTGGACTGCCTGGGGCAAGCCGGACTTCAGACACTGAAGGGGTTTAGCCTCAGGGAGACCCAGAGGTGAGGCCAGGGGGATTCCTGCCCAGGAGAACCTGAGCCTGCCCTCCTTGCCTCTTCCTATCAGGTCAGGCAGAGAAGGAAGCTTCTGGGAAACACGCAGCACTTTACCTCCTTATATCCGTATCGCTCACTCTGTGCCTGGTTCCGCAGTTTGCTGGGAGAAAGAGAAAAAAATTAGAGAAAGCAGGTTAAATGGAACAATTCAAAGCAGGAGAGGCTGGCTGGCTGCTTGGGCATTCTTCCGAGGGCAGGGAGGGGTGCTTGTCCCATACACACCACAGGGCATACTTTGGACCTATGCAAGCCAACAAGGGTTGATAAAGGACTAAGACTGTTACTCGGGTTTGACAGCCTCAAAATTCACCACCAGGTCTCATACACAGATTGGGGGACCCTCCAGCACAGCATCCCCAAATAGCTCATTCACTCACCCTGCCTTTTTCTGGTCGGCAAATTCCTTCAGTCACCAAACTACATAGAAATCAACACTGTGTTTACTGAGTGTGCGGAAGTTAGACAGATATGCATAAAAGGGTTATTTCTGTTAAGCCAGGATAGCAGAATAAGTCTCTGTTGACCCTGGGGAATTTTCCACCCGGAGAACATAAGTATTCTGGAACCAAAGCACACTCTTCCCTTCACTGTGCCGGACAACACAGACGATGCCTCCTTTGTTTTCTTCTTTTCATTTTAAGCTGGTGGCCTGCAAACGGGCTGACTCTCAATGGCCAAAACATGGCATGCCGTTACTAATGGCAATAGCATAATATAATGGTTATGAAGTACTTGCTATATGTCGCTGGGACACTTAACATATTCATATATGTTCTTAATGATTCCAAACTCCAAGAGTGAGATACCTTCGCTTTTACAGATAAGAAAAATAAAGCCTGGCTGGGTGCGGTGGCTCATGCCTGTAATCCCAGCACTTTGGGAGGCCGAGGCAGGTGGATCACTTGAGTTCAAGACCAGCCTGGCCAACATGGTGAAACTCCGTCACATTAAAAATACAAAATGTGCCGGTGTGGTGGTGCATGCCTGTAATCCTAGCTACTTGGGAGACTGAGGCAGGAGAATCGATTGAACCCAGGAGACGGAGGTTGCAGTGAGCCGAGATTGCGCCATTGCACTCCAGCCTGGGCAACAAGAGCGAAACTCTGTCTCATAAAAATAAAAAAAGAAAAAGAAAAAGAAAAATGAAGCCCAAAGAAGTGAATTTATTTGCCTAAACATCACAGAGCTAATTGGTAGCAGAGTCTAGATTTGAATCAAAGTTGGTGTGATGACAGAGTCCAAGCTCTTTACCATATAATGTGGTCTGTTCCCCTAATCAGGTGGAATACATCATAGTCCTGAGAATATGATCTGGTCTTGGGACACACCCTACCTTTTATTAAGTTTACAACTCTGAATGGCTTGCTGTGCAAATGGCCGAGACCATAATTATACACTGGATTTTTTGCCGTATTATTTTCAAGGAAGGGATGGAGGATCTTACATGCTGAACTCTGCAGGTAGCTTTAGAATGCCTCCTGTATGTGGGTTGGGTGGGATGGCTCATGCCTGTAATCCCAGCATTTTGGGAGGCCGAGGTGGGCAGATTGCTTGAGCTCAGGAGTTTGAGACCAGCCTGGGCAACATGGCAGAACCCCATCTCTACAAAATGTACAAAAATTCACAGGACAATTCACACGGCATGGTGGCATGCACCTGTAATCCCAGCTACTCAGAAGGCTGAGGCATAAGCATCGCTTGAACCCAGGAGACGAAGGTTGCAGTTAGCAGAGATCGCACCACTGCACTCCAGCCTGGGTGACAGAGCAAGACCCTGTCTCAAAAAAAAAAAAAAAAAAAAGAATGCCTCCTCTATGTGTGCTATGGGGGAACCTTATGGAGCTTTTCCTGGTGATCACTTCTAAACACAGTCCTGGGTTATTTGGAAGGAAACATAGAAACCCAGCAAGCCAGGAGAAGCAGGAAACTTTAGTCTGAGGACCAAATCCAGCTCACTACTTGTTTTTGCAGGGTCTAGAGGCTAAGAGTGGTTTTTATTCTTAAATGGTTGAAAACAGAAATAAAGAATAATGCCAACTCAGGTGGATTGCTTGAGGCCAGGAGTTTGAGACCAGCCTGGGTGACACAGTGAGAACTTGTCTCTTCAAAAATAAATAAACAAAAGAAAATTAGCCAGGTATGATGGTGCATGTCTGTAGTCCTGGCTACTTGGGGGGTCTGAGGCAGAAGGGTCCCTTGAGCCCAAGAGTTCAGAGGTTACAATGAGCTAGGATTGCCCCCACTGCACTCCAGGCTGAACAACTGAGTGAGACTCTGGCAAAAAAATTTTTTTTAAATAAATAATTAAAATAAATAAACAAATGAGTGGATAGATGGATGACTGACCCAAGTCAATAAAAGGAAGGCTCCAATCACAAACAGCCCCAGTGGAAGGGGGTGGGGTGAGAAGCTGAAGCTGCTCCCTGGGTAATGGAAGAGGCAGAAGATGGGGGCACAGCCAGGCCCGTAGCACAGTGCAGGGCAGATAAGATCAGGCTGCCAGCCTCCTCCATTGTTCCTGATAGGAAGTCAGGTGTCCTGGCGAGGTTCATGTTCCTGGAGCCTCTTGAGAGCTCCAGTCCAAGTGGACTCATGCCACGGGCTTGGGCACTGGGGCAGCCCATCCACCGTCCCCTCCCCTCCCACCTCTCCCCACAATATCCTTTCTGCTTAAGGCAGGGCTGGGCTAAAGGCCTAACCAAGGCTCCCACTGTCTCATCCTTCACTTTGCAGAGAGCTCCTTGGTCCAGAAAAGGTCTTTGTACATACACATGTGTCTCTGTTCCAATTTCCAAATGAGCAGGGCAGGACATACCCAACGCTTAGGTGGCTACTGTTGCTTGACTGACACTGGGTTCAGCAGAGGTGGGAAGGAAGTGTTCCCAGGGACAGGGAGCTCACAGCGGCCTTGAGGGAGAAAGACACTGTTGCTCTGTTATGAGGCACGTGCAGAGTAAATAAGGAAGTGGTGAAAAGCCTGTGTTTTTAACTGTCTGGGGAATGAGTGATTGCTATGCATCTTTGAGGCACCAATGTCTCACCTGCAATGTGGCTATACTTATGTAGCAGATGCTGTCTTTTTCTGTTTTCTGTACCCCAGGCACCTAGAGTACCACTTCCCCACCCATCATGCCTCTTGTCTGGCTGGATCCTTTAGTGGTTTTGCCCAGGGATCCTCCAAAACTCAGAACAGGGAGGGGCATCAGAGCTGCCCCCTCATCCTGCATACAGATTTCAGCTCAGAAAGGATGAGATCATGATGAAATGTGGCCGAAAAGCTTGCAAGGAAACCAGAGCAAAAAGCAAAAACCCTGGGCAATCCCAGCTGGGGACCTAGTACCAACCAGTCTGGACAGGTGGCCTTCTCAGCTGTTGGGTGAACACAGCAACTAAAAATACCCTGATTTCAATGAGACCATTTCTAGCCGCTGCCAGTGGGCTCTCCCTTTCCTCTTTTCCCTTTTAGAACAAACAATGCAGCCAGGTCCTGAAAATAATGTTTCCCTTCCTGCCTATTTGTACTTCCCCGGCCCCTCCATTCCTGTGTAGGGCAGAGGTCAGCTCTGAGAGAGGGGGAAGAATGAGCGAGGGGCTGGCCTTGGCCGCTGAGCTCACCAGGTCAGAAGTGGGGCCTATTTTGGCTGAGGAGGAAACCGAGAAGCAGGGAGAGGAAGTGGTGGCTTCTGCGCCTGTGTGTCTTTCTATATATAGACATTCACAGGCTACCATGTACCAGTGGGCCTCTGAGACTGTGAAACTCCAGGGTCAGCAGGCTTCAGGCAGGCTACAGACCAGGGCAGGGTGACGAAGGAGATTACTAAAGGAACAGGTGGTGCTCAGTAGCACCACAGTGGGGTCAGCTTTTAGCATCATGTGGTTACTGTTCTGTTTTTTGTGTTTTTTTGGGTTTTTTTTTGTTTGTTTGTTTTTGAGAGGGAGTTTCACTCTTGTTGCCCAGGCTGGAGTGCAATGGCATGATCTTAGCTCACTGCAACCTCCACCTCCTGGGTTCAAGTGATTCTCCTGCCTCAGCCTCCCAAGTAGCTGGGATTACAGGTGCCTGCCACAGCACCCGGCTAATTTTTGTATTTTTAGTAGAGACAGGGTTTCACCATATTGGTCAGGCCAGTCTCGAACTCCTGACCTCAGGTGATCCACCTGCCTCAGCCTCCCAAAGTGCTGGGATTACAGGCGTGAGCCACCACGCCCAGCCCTGTTCTGTTCTTTGACCACAGCCAAAGAAAAAGAAATCAGCAATTCACAGCTCTCAAACCTGTCCTTCTGCAAGAACAGATCCTGACCTGCAAGGGGGTGGTTGTGGAGCCTATAGCGGCTCCTCTACTTCAAGGAATATGACTCAAAAGGCAAACACTTGGAAGGACTCGGCAAGACCCTAGCTCATTGCTACCAGACTTGTCCACCTCTGTATCTTCCTCTATGTATCACCTTGGGCAGATCCTGAACAGTCTGAGCATGAAATTCCTCATTTATAAAGTGGGTCAATACCTATACTAAGGATTAAGCGAGCTAAATGTTTTTTCAAATGCTGACCACAATGCCTGGCCTATGGAAAGCCCTTGGTAAAGAGTGGCTAAAGGCCGGGCACGGTGGCTCATGCCTGTAATCCCAGCACTTTGGGAGGCTGAGGCAGGCAGATGGCTTGAACTCAGGAGTTTGAGACCACCTTGGGTGACATGGTGAAACCTCATCGCTACAAAAAATATAAAAATTATCCACAAAAAATTAAAAAATTAGTTGGGCATGGTGGCACACACCTGTACTCGGGAGACTGAGTTGGGAGGATGGCTTGGGCCCGGGAGGTGGAGGTTGCAGTGGGCCGAGATCTTACAACTGCACTCCAGCCTGGGCAACAGAGCAAGACCCTGTCTCAAAAAAAAAAAAAAAAAAAAAAAAAGAAAACCTAAGGTCACACCTATTATTGGTTGATTTACGAAATGAACTCTGGTCACCCACTTCCTAGCCTAGAGTAGTTTTCTCTAAGTCATTTTTGTAGAGATGGAGTTTTGTTCCCAAGGCTGGTTTCAAACTCTTGGACTCAAGCGACTCTCCTGCCTTGACCTCCCAAAGTGCTACAATTACAGGCAAGGGCCATGGTGCCCGGCCTAGATGGTCTCTTGAAGCCCTTTGCCGCTTGGCATGTGTATGCTTCTGTGTGTGTGTGGTGGGCAGGGGGAGCAGGGAGGAAAGGGACCAAGGAGAGTTGGTTTTACAAACCCCTCTCAGCCTCATCATAAAGAAATCTTTGGTATTTGGTGTATCTTCATCCCTGTCTCCAGGATTTAAGTGTGAATTGCTTAACACGGGTGTGCGGGAGTGGGCAGGTTGGTGGTCAGGAAGAATTCAAGGAAAAAAACAGGCTTCAGGAAAGGGGAGGAGACAGGAAGAGAGGAGAGATACCAGAAATCTACCCTCATCTCCGCTTAATGGTTAGATGCAATCTTCAGACCCAACTGTACAAGAGGGAAGATAAACCAGTATCTCCTCTGCATAGATTTTTATGTGGAAAATTCTAGTTTCAGGGACCTGTGTGAAAAGTTCTGAGAAAGAACAGGTCCAAGGTAGCACCTGGGAGTGGTGGGGAGATGTGCCTGAGGGCACTTCCCCTTCTTAGAGGGAGCTCTTCCAGCCTTGGAGAAGATGGACTAGTACCTGCCTCTCTTGTAGCTGCCTTCTAGCAAAGCACTCAAACCCAGAAGGGCATCTTAGGAATAAAGCCAGCAAAGCCTTTTCCTTAATCTTAATTTAATCTTCTTAAATTATTTGATCAGTCACCAGCCCAGACCACAGCTGATGTCTACCCAAGCATTTGGTAATGTGTGGGTGGCGGGGGAGACAGCTAATGGCCACAATGGCCCTAAAGACTACTAGTATGCCCTATTGGCCAGGGATGTTCAATATTCTCCAATGTACAGAACAGTCCCATACAATGAGGAATTGTCAATGCCAACAGTAAACCCCAGTCAGAAACACTACTACTTTGATTCCCATTCTAAATACCAGTCATGCTCAAAATTTTTTATAGAAAACAGCCACCAGAGGCCGAGCACGAGGGCTCATGCCTGTAATCCCAGCACTTTGGGAGGCCGAGGGGGGTGGATGACTTGAGGTCAGGAGTTCGAGACCTGCCTGGCCAATGTGGCAAAACCCCGTCTCTACTAAAAATACAAAAATAAAAATTAGCTAGGCATGCACCCATAATTCCAGCTATTAGGGAGGCTGAGGCAGGACAATCGCTTTAACCTAGGAGGCAGGGGTTGCAGTGAGCCAAGGCTGTGCCACTGCACTCCAGCCTGGGTGATGAAGTGAGACACCGTCTCAAAAAAAAAAAAAAGAAAGAAAGAAAAAGTAAAAAGAAAACAGCCACCAGTCCCCATGTCCTTCAACAAGAGATAAGAGAAAGCGTTCCTGGAGTGTGGCGAGCCCTGCCAAACTCCAGGTCTTCTCTTGGATCCCTAAGCAATCAAGAATAAATGACAGTTTTTTAGGTTTGTTTTGGTTTTTTCCACTCTCAAAAATAAGAGCTTATAAGGCGGAATAAACAAGTAGCTCCGCCCGGGTGTGGTGACTCATGCCTGCAATCCTAGCATTTTGGGAAGCTGAGGTGGGTGGATCACTTGAGCTCAGGAGTTCGAGACCATCCTGGTCAACATGGTGAAACCCCATCTCTACTAAAAATACAAAAACTAGCCAGGCGTGGTGGCGTGCGCCTATAATCCCAGCTACTTGGGAGACTGAGGCAGGAGAATTGCTTGAACCCAGGAGGTGGAAGTTGCAGTAAGCTGAGATTGCACTCCAGCCTGAGCATCTCAAAAAAACAAAACAAAACAAAAACCAAGTAGCTCTCTAGACACCGGCTTGCTTCCTAATATTAGTATCTGGAGGGCTGACAACAGGTCCCAGGAGGGCAAAGGAACATGACGCTGGCATAACTGATGCCCACCTGTTCCCGACCACCCAAAGGGCATGAGTAGGAATAGAGACAGACAGACAAGGAAGGGACCACTAACTTTATTACTCAGTCACACAGTAATTCTAGGCAACCTTAGAATAATTGGCGAGGAGGTGGGATGCAGCCCAACCCGTGGTGACCTTATATGCTCAGGAACAACTTGATAGGCTAATGTAAATAGAAACACCAGATCCTCAGGGGCCTAGAGAAGGGCAGGCTCAGCCGTGTCCTCAAAGTGGTGGCTCCAGTATAAGACTGGTGACTCTGCTGTGGGACCCTCGCTCAGCTTACCCCACAACCCTGGTCTCCTCCCTCCTGCTGGACTCCCACCCCGGTCAGCCAGGGATCCACGCACCTGATAAAATAGCAGCAGAAGATAAGGCTGAGCATGAAGACAAAGATGCCTGTGCCGAAGATGACCATATAGATGTTGAGCGGAAGGTCCTGGAAACTGATGGGTGGCATCGAGCAGGACTTGTTGGTGCTAACCAGTCCCAGGCCACAGAAACACCCTGCAAAGGGAGAGAAAAAAAAATCATTAGGGTTGGAAATTTACTGCTGGGCTGATAGCACTGTGTCAGCAGGATAGAAATAACTGGCAGGCTCTGGGCACCTAAGCCTCAGATTCAGTGGCTCCAGTTTTATATCCTAGTTCTAACATTTACTAGCTATGTAATCTTGAGTAAATCTGATCTACAAAATTGAATACTATCCAAAATACTTAAAACAATATCCCCATCTAAGGGACAATAAATTCAGGCAAGCTGGGTGTGGTGGCTCATGCCTGTAATCCCAGTACTTTGGAGAGGCTGAGGCAGGTGATCTCGAGGCCAAGAGTTCAAGAACAGCCTGGCCAACATAAGACCCCATCTCTAAAAAAAAATAGAAAAATTAGCTAGGCATGGTAGCGCATGTACTACCATGTAGTCCCAGCTACTCAGGAAGCTGAGGTGGGAGGATCACTTGAGCCCAGGAGTACAAGGCTGCAATGAGCGGTGATTACACCACTGCACACCAGCCTGGGTGACAGCGTGAGACCCAATCTCTATTTTTAAAAATTAAAAAAAAAAAAGAATTTAGGCAATGGGCAGAAACTGGAGAGCTTAATTCCATTAGGTAGGAGCCCATATTGCCTTAGCTGAGAAAATATTATTTGGGTTCCAACTCCCCCATCCCTAGCTAGCCATATGACCGTTAAGAAATTACCTCTAAGCTTCACTTTGTTATATGAAAACAAGCAAAATAGAGAGAGGAATGAAAATGAGCGCATAAGAAAATATGCTTTGTAAATTGCAAAGGACAATTGCAAAGGTCATTTGTCATTATTAAGCCACCTGTTCCAGAAGACAAGCCATGCCAGGACTAGAATAGAAATTATTCACTCCAAGTCCTGGGCCAGCATTCCAGAAAGTGGCGATGGGGGTGGGGAGGAGGTTGCAACTTCCCTTACTGTGGTCACCTTCCCTCTTTCTCCTCAAAGTCTCAATGTGTGGTACCAATGGCAGCAGCATCCTCTGGGAGCTTTTTAGAAACATATACTCTCGGGTCCATCCCTGCCTAACTGAATCAGGACCTACGCTGTTTTTTTTTTTTTTTTTTTTAAACAGAGTCTTGCTCTGTCACCCAGGCTGGAGGGCAGTGGCGTGATCTTGGCTCACTGCAAACCCCGCCTCCCAGGTTCAAGCGATTCTCCTGCCTCAGCCTCCCGAGTAGCTGGGATTATAGGCGCACGCCACCATGCCCGGCTAATTTTTGAATTTTTAGTAGAGATGGGGTTTCACCATGTTGCCCAGGCTGGTCTCGAACTCTTGACCTCAGGCGATCCACCCACTTTGGCCTCCCATGGTGCTGGGATTACAGGCATGAGCCACGGCACCTAGCCAGGACCTACGTTTTAACAAGCTCCTCAGGTGATTCCCCTGCACATTCAGTTTGAAAAGCACTGGCCAGCCACTAGATGCATCCCTTCTCACAGGACTCAGGGATAAATACTGACTGGCCTACTCATCATGATAGTCACCTCTCCCTTCCCCCCTTGCCAGTATTTGGTGTTCAGGTGGGTACGTAACCAGGTTCTGAGCAAAGAAACAAAGAGATCTGCTGGAAAAGGAACTTTGCTTGTTTGTTTTTGGAGACAAGGTCTCACTCTGTCCCTGCAGGCTGGAGTGCAGTGGTGTAAACATGCCTCACTGTATCCTCCAACTCCTGGCCTCAATGAGATCCTCCTGCCTCAGCCCCACAAAGGGCTGGGACTATAAGCATGAGCCACTGCACCCGGCAGGTTCTTTTTTTCCTTTTTTTTTTTGTGAGGGGGGTCATGTCTCTCAGAGACACCTAGAATTGTGATAGCCAAGCTGTAGCTGGAAAGAGCAGCTCAGTAGAAAGTCAAATGCTTGACCAGGCATGGTGTCTCACGCCTGTAATCCCAGTACTTTGGGAGCCCGAGACGGCTGGATGGCTTGAGGTCAGGAGTTTGAGATCAGCCTGGCCAACATGGTGAAACTCCATCTCTATTAAAAAATTAGCTGGGCATGGTTGCACACATCTGTAATCCCAGCTACTCGGGAGGTTGAGGTAGGAGAATCACTTGAACCTGGGAGGTGGAGGTTGCAAGTGAGCTGACATCGTGCCACTGTATTCCAGCCTTGGAGACAGAGCAAGACTCCATCTAAAAACAAAAACAAAAACAAAACAAAAAAAGTCAAATGGCTGAGGATGGCAGAAGGGAAAGGGAAAGAGGGGAGTCCTTGATGAAAGGGAGAGCTGGAATTTGCTGTTCACCTGCTGCATCCTAAGCACATTCTCATGCTATCAATTTAATCTTTGTACTGCCACAGTAAAGGTTACTTCCCCCCGCCAATGGGAAAAAGACTCAATCATTTAGTAACTCGCCCACAGTCAAACAGCTAGGAAAGCCCAGCTCCAAAGGGTTCTCTGTACCCAGGCCTTGGGTTCTAGGCACTTTCCTGACATCTTGGTTAGGAGCCAGGATGCATTCACATGCCACAGAATTCTATACGCTAATAACCAGTGCTACTACAACTCAGCAGAAGGTGGCTTGAAAGACTGGAAGTCAACTTGGACATCAGTCCTCCTCATCCCTTACTGATGACTATATAACGAGCCTCCATTCAAACCTCTTTCAGGCTGTGCCCAATTCTACTGCCACAGCCCTATTGTAAACACTCATCACCTCCTACTGTTTCCTAGTTGATGTCATCCCTGTTTCTAGTTCCTTCTCTCATTTACCCCACACGCCTGACACATCCTCCTAGTTGCCTTTTTTTTTTTAATTTTTTTTTAGACAGTCTTGCATTGTGTCACCCAGGCTAGAGTGCAGTGGCACTATCTTGGCTCACTGCAACCTCTGCCTCCTGGGTTCAAGTGATCCTTCTACCTCAGCTTCCTGAGTAGCTAGGACTATAGGTGTACACCACCACGCCCAGCTAGTTTTTGTATTTCTAGTACAGACTGGGTTTCACCATGTTGGACAGTCTGGTCTTGAACACCTGACCTCAAGTGATCCACCCGTCTTGGCCTCCCAAGAAAGTGCTGGGATTACAGCGCATAAGCCACTGTGCCCCGCCCTCTCCTTGTCGTTTTGATCTTGTATTTTACAAACTCATGACTGGCTTCAAGTCCTCCTAAAACATTCACCCTGTCCCTTCACAACTTCCTACTTAAAAGTTCTCCAATACTACTCCATGTGGGCCAGTCTTTTTCACTATTTCTTGTACAATCTTGTCCTTGCCTGCTTCCCTGTCTTTGTTTACACAGCTTTCCCTGCCTGAAACGCTCTCTCTGAGGCCCATCAAGCCTGTGATAGTCCAATAACCTCTCTTCCTTCAATTCTACAGCACTCATGACCTCCATCATTTGTTCGGCCCCTACTTACTCAGTTAACTGTCTTACATCGTTCCTAGCATTAAGTTACTTTAACTCAAATGTGCATTAAGCATTGATTATATGGTAAGTACTATTAAAAGAAAGCACAGGCCGGGTGTGGTGGCTCACACCTGTAACTCCAGCATTTTGGGAGGCTGAGGCAGGAGGACCGCTTGAGGCCAGAAGTTCAAGACTAACCTAGGCAACATAGTAAGACCCCCACCTCTACAAATAATAATAATGATAAATTAGCTGGGTGTGGTGGTAAGTGCCTATAATCCCAGCTACTCAGGAGGCTGAGATGGGAGAATCACTTGAGTCTGAGAGGTCGAGGCTGCAGTGAGCCACAATTGCACCACTGCACTTAGCATGGGCCAGAGTAAGACCTTGTCTCAAAAAAAAAAAAGAAAAAGAAAAAAAAAAGATTAGATGATCTGATGATCTTACCACATAGGAAAAAAAGACACAAAGATTTTCACCATAGAAAGTGAGGCTCAGGCCAGGTGCAGTGACTCACGCCTGTAATCCCAACACTTTGGGAGGCTGAGGTAGGCAGATCACCTGAGGTCGGGAGTTCAAGACCAACCTGGCTAACATGGTGAAACACCATCTCTACTAAAATACAAAAATTAGCTGGGTTTGGTGTCTGGCACCCGTAATCCCAGCTACTCGGGAGGCTGAGGCAGGAGAATTACTTCGACCTGGGAAGCGGAGGTTGCAGTGAGCGGAGATCACACCACTGCACTCTAGCCTGGGCAACAGAGAGAGACTCCCGTCTCTAAACAAAACAAAACAAAAAACCTGGGCATGGTGGTGCACACCTGTAGTCCCAGTTACTCGGGAGGCTGGAGCAGGAGAATTGGTTGAACCCGGGAGGCAGAGGCTGCAGTGAGCTGAGGCAGAGGCTGCAGTGAGCTGAGATGGCGCCACTGTGCCCCAGCCTGGGCGACAGAGTGAGACTCAAGAAAAAAAGAAAAAAAAAAAAAAGCCTGAACCCTCCTAGGTTTGCTGACTCCAACTTGGACTTTTGTATATTCTCCAGTGTCCGGCCTAGCCTAGAGTTTGGCTTGTTCTCAATAACTAGTTAACAGATAAATAATTCCCCATTTTCTTAAAATAACCTGGTCCCCTTGGCAAAACCTCCCACTTCAAAGCAGCAGGACTGATGTTTGGGAAAATTGCCCAGAAACTGCCCTCCGCTAATGGATCACCAGTCAACCAGCAAGTATTATTGAGGGCTTGCTTTATGCACTGACCTACACATTGTGGGAAAACAGAAAGTAGAAGTTCTTGTTGTGAAAGACTTTTTGATTAAGTTGAAATGAAAGAAATAATTAGCTACTAAACTTTGCTGTGCCCAACAGGAAGTTCCTTGTGTCTAGGCTCTAGTAGGGGTTAGAGAGAAAGTGCTTTTCACCACCAGTCCCCACCCAAATATTTACTTTCTGTGGGTCAAAGAAGAACAATTTTCCATGAGGACATCATGGCAGACTGGCTAGAGTGACAAACTTCAGTCTATGCTGGAAAAGGGGCTCAGGACTTCCCTTCCAACAAGACCTGGTGCTCCCAGCTGTTTTCTCACCTCCTTCCCCCGCACTATTTGATGTTACAAGAGGGTCTAACCCCCCGTTTCCTTAGTTCTTCCAGGCACCTTTTATGAGCTGAAACCTCCTTTGGTTTCCAGTTCTGGGAACTTGCAGAACCTGGTCAGAGCTATTACAGAGGATATCTGTGCACTCCACAAGCACGATGGTCCCCGCAAGTCCTCTGATCAGTTTATCCCCACCAACTTATCCTGCCTGATAAAGGCTTCCCCTTTATCTCCCACTGATTGAATCAGTGAGCTTGGTATTTCACGTGATAAAGAGGTCGGTGGGAAGAGCATAGTCAAGAGGAGATGGTTCATTTGCTTGTGTTACTATTAAAGAAATGGCAAAATAGTCTACTGGTCAAAAGCTGACACTGTAGTAAGTTTTTCTTTAAAACTGTATAAGGACAGAGAATACCAGCCCCAGGAAAGAGGGGCTCCAGGTAGTTTCTGAAGGGGTGAGGGAAGGGTTGCTTCTTCACAGGAGTCAAAGGACAGGATCTCTCAGTCACTTTTCTAAGAAGTGCAAAGAGGGCCAGACAAGGTGGCTCCTGCAGGTAATTCCAGCATTTTGAGAGTCCGTGGTGGGAGGACTGCTTGAGCCCAGGAGTTCAAGACCAGCATAGGCAATGTAGTGAAACCCTATCCCCAAAAAGTAGATTAATTAATTAATTAATTAAAAATTAGCCAGTAGCCAGGTATGGTTGCACACACCTGTGGTTCCAGCTATGCTGGGAGGCTGAGGCAGGAGGATCCCTTCAGCCTGGGAGTTGGAGGCCGCAGTGAGCCCTGATCGTGCCACTGCACTCCAGCATGGTTGTCGGAGTGAGACCCTCTCTCAAAAAAAAAATTAAAGTAGGCTGGGCGCAGTGGCTCACGCCTGTAATCCCAGCACTTTGGGAGGCTGAGGTGGGCAGATCACCTGAGGTCAAAAGTTCAAGACCAGTCTGAACAACATGGAGAAACCCCCTCTCTACTAAAAATACAAAATTAGCCGGCCATGGTGGCACATGCCTGTAATCCCAGGTACTCGGGAAGCTGAGGCAGGAGAACCGCTTGAACCCGGGAGGCGGAGGTTGTGGTGAGCCGAGATCACACCATTGCACTCCAGCCTGGACAACAAGAGCGAAACTCAGTCTCAAAAAAATAAAAAATAAAAAATAAAAAAAATAAAGCAGCAAGTCTAAAATCTGATATGAAAGGGCGCTGCCCAGAAAGGGCAGTGTTACTGACAGCTGCCTCATTTCTCCCTAAGTCTCTGTTCCATTGTCTCGGCCAACCTATGAAAGCACTGACATCAGAATGTCTCATCTCATCTGGCAGGCTGGGAGCAGGAATGACGTCAGACAAGGGCTGGCCAAGAAAGACCAGGGGATCTGGGAACTGCTTCTCTTTCCCAGCCAACGGGAATCTTTCCCAGATGCTAGGGTGCAAGGGCCTTCCTCAACCCCCATCCTCTGCCCCCTCTCCCACAAAACCGCCTATCACACACGGCTTGGTTCATTTTCAGGAAATGAGATCCGACCAGCAAAAGGAGGAAGGCGGGGTGGGGGGATGTGGGGTATACATGCTACCCAAACCCTGCCTCAAAACAAAGCCTCTTGACATAATTAATCCAAGATCTGGCAGGAGTCTACTCTAAAGAATGATTTTTTTCCCCCTGTAACTAGCTCGCTTGCCATACTGAGAGATAAGGCCAGCTGCTTCCCATCTCTCTCTCCCAGAAACTCTCCAAGCATCGGAACAACGCGGTCAAGACTAGGACCCCAGGAGGACTGGAGCGGGTGGGGTGGGGGGCGATTAGTATCCAAGGTTTTGAAGTGTCCCGCTCAGAAACACCTACCTTTCAGGTAGCTCGCTGAGGAATCAGACTCCAGCCTAACCCAGTATCACCTGAACCTCCAAAAAGCCTCAGGTGAAATGAACTAACTTAGAAGCATCACCCAGGCCTGGGGAGAAATGGGGCGAGGGGTTGTCGCGTCTGGAGGTGTGGCCTTCACTTGGGCTCAGGAGCAGACACCCTAATCTGGCCTTGTGGCCAGAAACACGGCTCCCGCCAGGCCAGCCTCGCACCCCAGGGACAGCCGGGCGCGGAGCTCTCTGCGAGGGTTTATCAACTCAGGAAAACGGCTTTTTTTTAGATGGAGTTTCGCTCTTGTTGCCCAGGCTGGAGTGTAATGGCACGATCTAGGCTCACTGCAATCTCCGCCTCCTGGGTTCAAGCGATTCTCCTGCCTCAGCCTCCCAAGTAGCTGGGCTTACAGGCATGCGCCACCACTCCCGGCTAATTTTGTATTTTTAGTAGAGACGGAGTTTCTCCATGTTGGTTAGGCTGGTCTCGAACTCCCGACTTCAGGTGATCCGCCCGCCTCGGCCTCCCAAAGTGCTGGGATTACAGGCGTGAGCCACCGCGCCTGGCCGAAAGCGACTCTTTAATCCAGTCTTCCGCAAGCACCCAAGCCACGCCAGCAGCCCGTGGGAAACCAACAAAGCCAGAGGAAGCTACCCCCGCGCCCAGTCCCGCACGCTGCACGGTATACATATTTACAATAGCCTGCAAAGTTTCAGGCCGGGAACTTGAGCTCCCTCTAGGAGATCCCAGCCCGAGTGCGGATTTAATTCTCCTCCAACAACCACAACAAAGAACAGAGTTTGAGCGCACAAAGGCAGGGGAAGGGGGTAGAAGAGCCGGGCCGCCACACAAAGGCCGGGAACCCCTCGGCTCCCACGCCCCCGGCCCGCCGCCAGTCCGGAGGCCCCTTCCAGGCTCTGGAGTGAAACCTGGATAGTTTCAAATTCCGCGCTGTGCAGAGCAGAGTGGGGCGCCAAGACGCCTTCTCGACTGTCCCATTTCAGGAGAAACTTGGTTCCCGAGGGAGGACCAGCGCGCTGCTGTCCGACCTCGCACCCCGCGCCGCGGCTCCCACCAGCCCCACGTAGGCTCGGCCCTCGCCCCGGGGACTCACCGTTACACCACTGGAATGGGTGCATCAATGAAGTCGCGGTTGGCTTCCTCGGGCGAACGGACGCAGGCGGGGTGCCAGGAGGGCGGGGTGGGAGCACTAGCGGCGTGAGGGGCCGCAGGCGGGGTCGGGGCAGCGCGCTGCAGCCGCCCTGCTGGAGAAGCCGAACTCCCTCCGGAGTGGGGGGCTTTGACGAGGCTGGTGTTCAGCCCAACAAAGAGGGACGAGGAGGAAACAAACAAAGTCCCGCGGAGCACAGCCGCACGGAGCGCACGCGCCAAGGGCCCCGGGCTGGGGGAATGTGGGGCGCCGCGGGGCGGGGGTGCCCGGGCTGCAGAAGCCCTCGGCCGGGGGAGGAGGGAAAAACCTTTGCCGGAGGCTCGGATCGGGTTCAGCGGCGCAGAGGTGAGCTGGCTGGGGTTCCGAAACTGACACCCGGCGGTGCACACCCCCTCCCTTTTACTTCCCCCACCAGTCCCCAGGAAAACTCCGCCCCTTGTTCGTCACCCTCCCTCCGACCAATCGGAGCCTTTCTCCTGCCCCCGGCTATTATTTGCAGGCCCAGCCTCCCTTCCCTGGAAGCCGGGAGGATCTTCGCACGGTGGGCGCCTCCCACTTAGTCTTCCCAGGCCTGGGGAAACTTCGGTCTGCAGAGAATGGAGCGGCGACGAGCGATGCCCCGGAGTGGGGGCCTGCCTTTTGCCCAGGGACACCAAGGCAAAGGAACAATTACTGCCACATTGTTTTCCGCCTACAGATCTGTTATTTATTTACTTATGTATTTGGAGGCAGAGTCTGCCTCTATCGCCAAGGCTGGAGTGCAGCGGCGCGATCTCAGCTCACTGCAACCTCTGCCTCTCGGGTTCAGGTGATTCTCCTGCCTCAGCCTCCTGAGTAGCTGGGATTACAGGCGCTTACCACCATGCCCAGATAATTTTTGTATTTTTAATAGCGACGGGGTTTCGCCATGTTGGACAGGCTGTTCTCGAACTCCTGGCCTCAAGTGATCCTCCTGCTTCAGCCTTCCAAAGTGCTGGGATTATAGGCGTGAGCCACCGCTCCCGGCCCTCTTTTTCTTTTTTGAGTTAGAGTCTTGCTCTGTCACTCAGCTGGAGTGCAGCGGTGCAATAATAGCTTACTGCAGCCTCCAACTTCTGGGCCCAAGCAGTCCTGCCACCTTAGCCTCCCAAGAAACTGGGACCACAGGTGCCTGCCACCAAGCCCAGCTACTTTTTAATTGTTTTGTATAGATGAGTGGCCTCACTATGTTGCTCAGGCTGGTCTCGAACTCCTGGACTCAAGTGATCCTCCCGCCTGAGCCTCCCAGATTGCTGGGATTACAGGCATGAGCCATGGCACCCAGGACATTTCATTTCTTAATTGGATAATTGCAAAAGCTTCCTAACTGGCCATTCTGATTCTAGTCTATAGCTCAGACTTCAGAGCCTACAAGAATCACTCCTATGTTTGAGATGTAACATGCAGATTCCCAGGCCTTGAACCCAGAGATTCTGATTCAATAAAGGGTGGACCCAGAAATTTTCATTTTAATGTGCCTTGTCTTCCCCACCCCTCAAATTCTCATGCGGCTATTGAAAGAAACAGTGCTCTGATTTCACTCTCAAGTCCATCCCTTCTGGTCACAATTATCTCTGTAAAATGTAAATCTGAACATTTCTTTGCTTGATAACGTTTGTTGGTCTCCAGTGTTTACTGAATAAAGTTCTGTAAACTAGAGTGTGGCATTCAAAATGTTTCAGTCTAGACTCACTCCTATAATCTCAAAACTTCGGGAGGCTGAGGCGGGCAGATTGCTTGAGCTCAAGAGTTTGAGACCATCCTGGGCAACATGGTGAAGCCACCTGTAAAAAAAATACAAAAATTAGCTGGGCCTGGTGGTGCGCACCTGCGGTCCCAGCTACTCTGGTGGCTGAGGTGGGAGAATCACTGGAGTTCGAGAAGTCGAGGATGCAGCTGCAGTGAGCTGTGATTGTGCCACTGCACTCCAGCCTGGGCGACAGAATGAGACTACTCTGTTTCAAAAAGAAAAAAGAAAAAACTATTAAAATAAAGTGTTTCAGTCTAGCCTTATTTGTTTCAGTCTTCCTCATACTCAAATACTCCCCTTCACCACACACTATTCATCAGCCATGAAGCTTTTTGTTGTTACTCTTCCTTGAACATAGGCTGTGTATATTCTTTTTTGTTGTTGTTTTTATTTATTTAGAGACAAGGTCTGGTTCTGTTGCCCAGGTTTGAATGCAGTTGCATGATCTTGGCTCACTACAACCTCCACCTCCTGGGTTCAAGCCATCCTCCCACCTCAGCCTCCTGAGTAGCTGGCACTACAGGCACTCACCACTATGCCCGGCTAATTTTTTTTTTTTTTTTTTTTTTGTAGAGACTGGGTTTAGCCACGTTGCCCAGGCTGGTCACAAACTCATGAGCTCAGGCTATCTGCCTGCTTCAGCCTCCCAAGTGCTAGGATTAATGGGGGAGGCTATACATGTGTGGGGCTGGGGGTGTATCAGAACTCTGTACCTTCTTCTCAATTTTGCTGTGAACCTAAAACTACGCTGAAAAATAAAGTCTTTAAAAAAAAAAGTGTGCATAATGGTAACTATTGTTCTTTCTATTCATTGGCTCGGGGGAGAGATGTGATGGGTAATCCTAATTTTATTAAGGCTCTCCTGCTAACTGCCTCCAGCGCCAGACTGTGAAAGAAGGAGAGCCTTTGAAGGGAAAATTGATGGGAAGTGAGGAACACCTCCCGTCCCACTCGCCTTTGGACTAGAGGTTCTTGGAAGGAAAACACCCTTAAAGGTAGGAATGATGGAAATTCTTCTTTTTTTGAAACGGAGTCTTGCTCTGTGTCGCCCAGGCTGGAGTGCAGTGGCTTGATCTCAGCTCACTGCAGCCTTCGCCTCCCAGGTTCAAGTGATTCTCCTGCCTCAGCCTCCTGAGCAGCTAGGATTACAGGTGCAACAATTTATATTTTAAGCCTGATATTTTAAGCATTCAATAAGATCTCCAGAGGCACTTAAGGACTCCAATTTCGAAAAACTGCTGTATCCCTTCACACTCTCCTCCCTTCGTCCCTCCTGGCCAGTGTGGCCACAGGACCTCAACTGATGGCTGACATTGGGAGTTATATGTTGGTAGAAGGGCTTTGGTTCTGGGCATCTTTGAAATGATTGGTTCAGTCCCAGCATTTTCCTGGACTGAAGGGTTCTATGAAAGATAAGCTGATTTCTCACACCATGTCAACCAAATTTAGATCTCTCACTCCTCCACCCTCACCACCAGGTGACTCAGCTCCACATGAGTCAGGAAGACTAGTTTGGTTTATTGAGGAAGAAACTGAAACAGTAAAGAAGATGATGGGCCATATATTCAAAGCTACTTGATAAATATGAGGTAGAAATATGTTTCTAGGATGGGTGTGGTAGCTCACACCTCAGCACTTTGAGAGGTTGAGGTGAAGGAGCTTGAGCCAGGAGTTGGAGACCAGCCTGGACAACATAGCAAGACCCCATCTCTACAAAAAATAAACATCAGCTGGGCATGGCGGCACATGCCTGTAGTCCCAGCTACTCCAGAGGCTGAGGTGTTCAAGGCTGCAGTGAGCTATGATTGTGCCACTAGACACTAGCCTGAGCAACAGAGCAAGACAAAAGAAAAGAAAAGAAAGAAATATGTTTTAAAATCTTCCATGGAAAGGGAAAAAATAATACTAAACTTCCGGAAAAACTTTTTTTTAAAATTAATTAATTTTTTTATACAGGGTCTTGCTCTGTCACCCAGTGGTGCAGTGGTGACATCTCGGCTCACTGCAACTTCCACCTCCCAGGCTCAAGCGATCCTCCCACCTCAGCCTCCCGACCAGCTGGGACTACAGGCGCATACTACCATGCCTGGCTAATTTTCTGGGGTTTCGCCATGTTGCCCAGGCTGGTCTCAAACTCTTGAACTCAGGCAATCCCTCAGCCTTGGCCTCCCAAAGTGCTGGGATTACAGGCAGGAGCCACCGTGCCTGGCCTAGGAAAGCTTCTGAGGAGTCAAGGGATTCTTTTTATTCCCACTGCCTGACTCCAGCTTCCTCTTAGACACTCCGTGAGCCCCCTCATTTTAAGGCCTTGTGAACATTAGAGAAACACTCTGGAGAGAAGCAGTCAATTCTGTGGAGGTGCATGGGGGAAAAGGCCTGAATCACCTCCTTTCATCTTTAGTAAGACACCCTCTTTCATGGGCCTCCAAGTGTGACCCGATAATGTAGCAGAGAATGGTAACCATGGATGGTTGTAAAAAATGATAAATGGCTGGGGGCCATGGCTCATGCCTGTAATCCCAGCACTTTGGGAGGCCAAGGTAGGCAGATCACTTGAGCTCAGGAGTTCAAGACCAGCCTGGGTAACATGGCAAAACCCCATCTCTACAAAAAGTACAAAAATTAGCTGGGCATAGTGGAGTGCACTTGTAGTCCCAGCTATTCAGGAAGCTGAGGCAGGAGGATGGCTTGAGCCTGGGAGGCAGAGGTTGCAGTGAGCTGAGATTGTGCCACTGCACTCCAGCCTGGGTGACAGGGTGAGACCCAGTTCCCTGCCCTCCCACCAAAAAAACGATAAATAACCCCAAGTAAACATGTCATGTTTCAGAATTAGACAAATTGTGACAATATTTTCCCAAACTTTTAAATTTTGTATAAGAAGCATTTTCAGGCCAGGCACGGTGGCTCACGCCTGTAATCCCAGCACTTTGGGAGGCCGAGGCAGGCGGATCACGAGGTCAGGAGATCGAGACCATCCTGGCTAACACAGTGAAATGCTGTCTCTACTAAAAATACAAAAAATTAGTTGGGCGTGGTGGCGGGCGCCTGTAGTCCCAGCCACTTGGGAGGCTGAGGCAGGAGAATGGCGTGAAGCCAGGAGGCGGAGCTTGCAGTGAGCCGAGATCGCGCCACTGCACTCCAGCCTGGGCGACAGAGCAAGACTCCGTCTCAAAAAAAAAAAAAAAAAAAAAAAAGAAGCGTTTTCATGGGAGGGGCATGTAATTCTTTGAAGGTGTTGAGAGTCGTGCATTGTATATTGGGCAAATGAAGCCTTCGCGTTTTCTTTTTATTTTTTTTTTGAGACAGGATCTTGCTCTGTCTCCCCGGCTGCAATTTTTATTCTTGGAAGATCTAGCCTTCTTCTGTCCAGATACCCTAGAAGTCTCAGTAACAGGAATTTTTTTTTTTTTTTTTTTTTGAGACAGAGTTTTGCTCTTGTTGCCCAGGGCTGGAGTGCAATGGCGCAATCTCGGCTCACCGCAACCTCCGCCTACCGGGTTCAAGTGATTCGCCTGCCTCAGCCTCCTGAGTAGCTGGGATTACAGGCATGCACCACCACGCCTGGCTAATTTTGTATTTTTCGTATGTTGGTTAGGCTGGTCTCGAACTCCCGACCTCAGGTGATCCGCCTGCCTCGGCCTCCCAAAATGCTGGGATTATAGGCATGAGCCACCGCGCCTGGCCAGTACCTAGGTTTTTTTAGGGGATCGATGCAACTCTTGGCCAAAGGTGTTCATAATCTACCCAGCAATGCCCCCAGGTCCTAGTCTGTGGTTCTCCAGGAAAGCAAAGCAGCAATTTCCCACCCTTCCTGTCAGCTCGAAAACCACGTGGAAAGTGCAATCAGAGAAAAAGGCATTGGTGTGACTAAGGAGGAAAACACTTTGTCTCTCCAGAAGCTGGGGCAGTTCTGGGATGGTGCCAGGGGCTTTTATTAATTAAAGTATTTCTTTAGGGAATGCTCTGATGCTTTTCCTAAGTGTCAGCAGAGGCTGGGAGGAAACAAAGGCTATGGAGTTCAGGCGTACCTGGTTTCCCAGGAATTCCGCATAGTCCTGCTACGTTTTGCTTTCTGGAACGAAGCCAACAGTCTGGCCACAGCTGAACCATCTCATGTATGAATGAGAGTGGAGATTTGAGAAAAAAGTGAAGGAGAGGAGAAGACCACCTTTTACTGACCACCCCTATCTGTGCCAAGCCCTGTGCTCAGGTCTTTGGATAGTTTTATTTATTCCTTATCATAACCATTAAGGGATTATCTTTTTTCTATTTTTCTATAAGGTAAAATCAAAGCCCAAGAAGACTAGGTTTCACCAAAAATCACATAATTCTTGCCTAACAAAGATGAGCAAATAAAAGAAAAATCACATAATTCTTTTTTTCTTTTTTTGAGAAAGGGTCTCGCTCTGTCACCAAGGCTGGAGTGCAGTGGCACCATCTTGGCTCACTGCAACCTCCACCTCCTGGGTTCAAGCAATAATCCTGCCTCAGCCTCCCAAGCAAGTAGCTGAGACTACAGGTGCCCTCCACCACGCCCAGCTAATTTTTGTATTTTTAGTAGAGATGGGGTTTCACCCTGTTGGCCAGGCTGGTCTTGAACTCCTGACCTCAGGTGATCCACTCACCACGGCCTTCCAAAGTGCTGGGATCACAAGTGTGAGCCATGATGCCCTGCCGAAAATCAGACAATTCTTAAGTGTTGGTGCCAGAACTCCAACCAATCTCAGTCTCTCTCCATAAAGCACACATTTTCCCCAGCACTAGTTCAGTGATTAAGAGTAAGGCTTGGGGGAGGGATAGCACTAGGAGGAATACCTAATATAGGTGATGGGTTGATGGGTGTAGCAAACCACCATGGCACATGTATACCTGTGTAACAAACCTGCACATTCTACACATGTACCCCAGAACTTAAAGTATAATTTTTAAAAAAAAATCTAAAAAAAAAAGAGTAAGGCTTGGGACCAGGCACAGTGGCTCATGCTTGTAATTCCAACACTTTGAGAGGCCGAGGTGGGTGGATCACCCACTGGGAGTTTGAGACCAGCCTGGCCAATGTGGTGAAAAAACCCTGTCTCTACTAAAAATAAAAAAATTAGCCAGGCATGGTGGCAGGTGCCTATAATCCCAGCTACTTGGGAGGCTGAGGCACAAGAATTGCTTGATCTTGGGAGGTGGAAGTTGTAGCTAGGTGAGATTGAGAGGTGACAGCGTGCTGGCAGTCCTCAGAGCCCTCGCTTGCTCTCAGCACCTCCCCTGCCTGGGCTCCCACTTTGGTGGCATTTGAGGAGCCCTTCAGTACCCCACTGCACTGTGGGAGCCCCTTTCTGGGCTGGCCAAGGCCGGAGCCCACTCCCTCAGCCTGCAGGGAGGTGTGGAGGGAGAGACACGAGCGGGAACCGGGGCTGTGTGCGGCACTTGCGGGCCAGCTGGAGTTCTGGGTGGATGTGGGCTTGGTGGGCCCCGCACTCGGAGCCGCCAGCCAGCCCTGCTGGCCCCGGGCAATGGGGAACTTAGCACCCGGGCCAGTGGCTGCGGAGGGTGTACCGAGTCCCCCAGCAGTGCTGTCCCACCGGCGCTGCGCTCGATTTCTCGCCGGGCCTTGGCTGCCTTCCCACAGGGCAGGGCTCGGGACCTGCAGCCCGCCATGCCTGAGCCTCCCACCCACTCCATGGGCTCCTGTGCGGCCCGAGCTTCCCCGACGAGCGCCACCCTCTGCTCCACGGCGCGCAGTCCCATCGACCACCCAGGGGCTGAGCAATGCGAGCGCACGGCGCAGGACTAGCAGGCAGCTCCACCTGCAGCCCCTGTGCGGGATCCATCAAGTGAAGCCAGCTGGGCTCCTGAGTCTGGTGGGGACGTGGAGAGTCTTTATATCTAGCTCAGGAATTGTAAATACACCAATCAGCACCCTGTGTTTAGTTCAAGGTTTGTGAGTGCACCAATCGACACTCTGTATCTAGCTGCTCTAGGCCTTGGAGAACCTGTGTGTGGAAACTCTGTATCTAACTAATCTGATGGGGACGTGGAGAACTTTTGTATCTAGCTCAGGGATTGTAAACGCACCAATCAGCGCCCTGAGAAAACAGGCCACTGGGCTCTACCAATCAGCAGGATGTGGGTGGGGCCAGATAAGAGAATAAAAGCAGGCTGCCCGGGCCAACATTAGCAACGTGCTCGGGTCCCCTTCCACACTGTGGAAGCTTTGTTCTTTCGCTGTTTGCAATAAATCTTGCTACTGCTCACTCTTTGGGTCCATGCTGTATTTATGAGCTGTAACACTCACCGCGAAAATCTGCGGCTTCACTTCTGAGCCCAGTGAGACTACAAGCCCACCGGGAGGAAGGAACAACTCCAGATACGCTGCCTTAAGAGCTGTAACACTCACCGCGAAGATCTGCGGCTTTATTCCTGAGCCAGCGAGACCACGAACCCACGAGAAGGAAGAAACTCCAAACACATCTGAATATCAGAAGGGACAGGCTCCAGACACACCACCTTAAGAGCTGTAACGCACACCGCGAGGGTCCACGGCTTCATTCTTGAAGTCAGTGAGACCAAGAAGCCACCACTTCCGGACACAAGATAATGCCACTGCACTCCAGTTTGGGCAACACAGTGAGACTCTCAAAAAAAAAAAAAAAAAAAGTAAAGTGTAGGAGTGTGGACTGGTATGTACTCTGCTAAACCTGTTTCCTCACCTACAAAATTAAGGCATGTCGGCAGGGCGCGGTGGCTCACGCCTGTAAGCCCAGCACTTTGGGAAGTCGAGGCGGGTGGACCACCTGAGGTCAGGAGTTTGAGACCAGCCTGGTCAACATGGCGCAACCCCGTCTCTACCTAAAATAAAAAAATAGCCAGGCATGGTAGTGCATGCCTGTAATCGCAGCTACTCAGGAGGCTGAGGCAGGAGAATTGCTTGAGTCCAGGAGGCAGAGGTTCCAGTGAGCCGAGATCGTGCCATTGCACTCCAGCCTGGGCTGGAACTCAGCCTGGGCTGAAACTGGAAAAAAATAAAAAATAAAAAAAATAAGGCTTGTCGTAGAATCTACCACAGAGGTTCTCATGAGGCACAAAATGTTTGAAAATGCTTGGCATGTGCCTGGCACATAAAAAGCCCCCAGTGATGTTATTATTGTCCTTGAACTACATCATGAAGCATTATGGCTCAGAATATGCACTGGGATAGGAGTTGGTAGATTTAGCGTATTAATTAGGATGCAGAATAAAAAAAATTCTGTAAAAGTTATGGATTAGGCTGGGCACCATGGCTCATCCTTATAATCCCAGTGCTGTGGGAGGCCGAGGCGGGTGGATTGCTTGAGCTCAGGAGTGTGTGGTTTTTTTTTTTGTTTGTTTTCTTTTTTTGAGATGGAGTCTTGCTCTTGTTGTCTAGGCTGAAGTGCAGTGGCATGATCTCGGCTTACCGCAACCTCTGCCTCCCAGGTTCAAGCGATTCTCCTGCCTCAGCCTTCTGAGTAGCTGAGATTATAGGCACCCGCCATCATGCCCAGCTAATTTTTGTATTTTTTTTTTTTTTTTTTTTTTTAGTAGAGACAGGGTTTCACCATGTTGGCCAGGCTGGTCTTGAACTCCTGACCTCAGGTGATCCGCCCATCTTGGCCTTCCAAAGTGGTGAAATTACAGGTGTGAGCTACTGCACCCAGCTGAGCTCACGAGTTTGAGTCCAGACTGGACAACATAGCAAAACCCCATCTCTACAAAAGAAGATACACACACACACACACACACACACACACACACACACACACACTCTCTCTCTCTCTCTCTCTCTCTCTCTCTCTCTCTCTCTCTCTCACTCACTCACTCACTGGCTGTGGCGGTATGCGCCTGTAGCCCCAGCTACCCTGGAGACTGAGATGAGAGGATCACTTGAGCCTGGGAGGTGGAGGTTGCAGCAAGCCAAGATGGCACCACTGTACTGCAGCCTGGGGGACAGAGCCAGAACTTGTCTCAAAAAAAGAAAAAAAAGTTGAGTTAATAATGATAGTTAGGATACAGGCTGAGCCACTACGGTTGTTTTAAAATATGTCCACACATTCTTTGATACTCCTCCCTTTAAAAAGTGGAGCCTAGTTCTCACCCCCTTGAGCTTGGGCAGGATTTGGTGACTTTTTCTTAAAAAAGAAATTTATTTTAATTCTTAATTTTTAATTTTTTTTTTTTTTTGAGATTCACTCTTGCTGTCCAGGCTGGAGTGCAATGGCGCGATCTTGGTTCACTGTAACCTCTAATTTTGTGTTTTTAGTAGACATGGGGTTTCTCCATTTTGGTCAGGTTGATCTCGGACTCCCGACCTCAGGTGATCTGCCTACCTCAGGCTCCCAAAGTGCTGGGATTACAGGCATGAGCCACGGTGCCCGGCCGTATTTTTTGTTTTTAATTTTAATTTTTTTTTTCTTGAAACAGTGTCTCGTTCTGTCACCCAGGCTGGAGTGCAGTGGCTCAATTCTAGCTCACTGCTTCCTCCAACTTCTGGGTTCAAGCAATCCTCCCACCTCAGGCTCCCGAGTAGCAAGGACTACAGGTGTGTACCACCATGCCTAGCTGTTTATTTTGTTTTGATTTTTGGAGAGATAGGGTCTTGCTATGTTGCCCAGCTGGTCTTGAACTCCTGGCCTCCCACCTTGGCCTCCCAAGGTGATGGGATTACAAAGAACTTGGCGACTTTTCTAGCAAATAGAATGAAAGGGAGGTGACAGTGCTTGACTTGGGACTGGAGACTGGGTTATAAAAATGCACGGCAGTTTCCTTCTGGGCCACTCCTTATTTCTGGTCATTTGCTCTGGGGGAAGCCAAGAACCGCCTCACAAAGACACTCACCTGTGGAGAAGCCACGCGATGAGGAGCTGCGGTCTCTGACAGCAGCCAGAGTGGATGAACGTGGGAGTGAATATTCTAGTCCTGAGCTAGCAGTTCTGGATGGCTGTGGTCCCCACCAATACTCTGGCTGCAGCCTCAGAAGGGATCCTGAGGCAGCTGAGCTGCTCCTCAGTTCCTAACCCACAGAAACTATGAGACAAGAAATGGTTTTAAATTTTTTTAATTTTAATTTTAATTAATTGTATAATTTATATTTTTGAGAGAGAGTCTCACTCTGTTGCCCAGGCTGGAGTGCAGTGGTTCAGTCTCAGCTCACTGAAACTTCTGCCTCCTGGGTTCAAACAATTTTCATATCTCAGCCTCCTAGGTAGCTGGGACTGCAGGCATGCACCACCATGCCAGGCTAATTTTTGTATTTTTAGTAAAGACAGGGTTTCACCATGTTGGCCAGGCTGGTCTTGAACTCCTGGCCTCAAATGATCGACCAGTCTCAGCCTCCCAGAGTGCTGGAATTACAGATGTGAGGCACTGCACCAGGCCTAATTTTTATTTATTTATTTATGAATTTTTGATACGGGGTCTTGCTCTGTTGCCCGGGCTGGAGTGCAGTGGCATGATCTGGGCTCACTACAACCTCCACCTCCCAGGCTCAAGCGATTCTCCTGCCTCAGCCTCCCAAGTAGCTGGCATTACGGGCACCCGCCACCTCGCTTAGCTAATTTTTGTATTTTTATTAGAGGCAGGATTTCACCATGCTGGCCAGGCTGGTCTCGAACTCCTGACCTCAGGTGATTCACCTGCCTTGGCCTCCCAAAGTGCTGGGATTACAGGTGTGAGCCACTGTGCCCGGCCAATTTTTATTTTTAAGACAAGGTCTCATTTTGTTGCCCAGGCTGGAGTATACTAGTGTGATCATAGCTCACTGCAACCTTAAACTCCTGGGCTTGAGCAAACATTCTGCCTCAGCCTCCTGAGTAGCTAGGACTGCAGGTGCAAGCCACTATGCCCAGCTAATTTTTAATTTTTTTTTTTTTTTGAAGAGATGGGTTCTTGTTATGTTGCCCAGGCTGGCATTGAACTTCTGGCCTCAAGTGATCCTCCTGCCTGGGCCTCCCACGTTTTTTGTTTCAAACTACTGTGTTGTGGGGTAATTTGTTACTTAGCAATTGATAAATGATATAGCTACTGTAACAAACAGACGTAAAAATACCAGAGTGCTCCAACAATCCAGTTTATTTCTGTCTCATAAATATTCCAAAGAAAGTAGAAAGTGCAGGGCAAGGAGGTGGTTCTGATTCACAAAGCCTTCGGGAGATCCAGGTTCTTTTTCTATGTGGGTGTGTCCTGAGACGTGTTCCTTGTTCATAAGGTCTGGTCTTATCTTATCTCAACAGTTAGATATTTTATGTCCCAACTCAAAGGAAGGATACCAAAGAATGAAGAAACAGCATTTTCCTTATAAGAAACAGAGCATTATTTTCATTCACATTGCTGAGAATGTAGTCACTGCAAAGGAGGCTGTGGACTGTGGTCTCTAGCCCAATAGTTATGTGTCTGGTTAAAGCCTGGGGCAGGTGTTTCAATAAAAGGAAGAAGGGGAGAATGGAATCTGGTGGATGCCTAGAAATTTCTCCATACTTGAGTCCTGGTTTGCTTACTTTCTCTGTGACTTCCAGTTATTCGCCTTTGTATCTCAGTTTTCTCATTTATAAAGTGAAGAATAAGATTGGTGATTTTCGATTTTTTTTTTGTACCTTAACCTTTTCCTTTCTCTTCTTTCTTTCTTTCTCTCTCTCTCTTTCTTTCTTCCTTTCTTTCTTCCTTCCTCTCTCTTTCTCTCTCTCCCTTTCCTTCCTTCCTTCCTTTCTTCATTCTTTCTTTCGATGGAGTTTTGCTCTTGTTGCCCGGGCTGGAGTGCAATGGTGCCATCTTGGCTCACTGCAACCTCTGCCTCCCAAGTTCAAGCAATTCTCCTGCCACGGCCTCCCTAGTAGCTGGGATTAGAGGCGCCCACCACCATGCCCCACTAATTTTTGTATTTGTAGTAGAGACGATGTTGGCCAAGCTAGTCTTGAACTCCTGACCTCAGGCGATCCACCCGGCTTAGCCTCCCAAAGTGCTGGGATTACAGGCGTGAGCCACCGTGCCCGGCCAGCTTAACCTTTTTTTTTTTTGAGATGGAGTCTCACTCTGTTGTCCAGGATGGAGTGCAATGGCGGGATCTTGGCTTACTGAAGCTTCCGCCTCCCTGGTTCAAGCGATTCTCCTGCCTCAGCCTCCCGAGTAGAGTAGCTGGGATTACAGGTGCCCACCACCATGCCCAGCTAATTTTTTTTTTTTTTTTTTTTTTTTTTTTTTTTTTTTTTGGAGACGGAGTCTGGCTCTGTCTCCCAGGCTGGAGTTCTGGAGTGCAGTGGCGCGATCTCGGCTCACTGCAAGCTCCGCCTCCCGGGTTCACGCCATTCTCCTGCCTCAGCCTCCCGAGTAGCTGGGACTATAGGCACCCGCCACCATGCCCAGCTAATTTTTTGTATTTTTTTTTTAAGTAGAGACGGGGTTTCACTGTGTTAGCCAGGATGGTCTCGATCTCCTGACCTTGTGATCCGCCTGCCTCGGCCTCCCAGAGTGCTGGGATTACAGGCGTGAGCCACCGCACCCGGCCATTTTTTTTTTTTTTTTTTTTTAAGTAGAGATGGTGTTTCACCATGTTGACTAGGCTGGTCTTGAGCTTCTGACCTCAAGTGATCTGCCTGCCTCGGCCTCCCAAAGAGCTGGGATTACAGGTGTGAACTACTACGCATGACCTGTAGCTTAGTCTTTTAATGCAGTCATTTTTAAAAAAAGAGATGTGGTCTCAACATGTTGTCCAGGCGGGAATGCAGTGGCTATTCACAGGCATGATCCCACTACTGATCAGTACAGGAGTTTTGACATGCTCCGTTTCTGACCTGGGTGAGTTCATCCCTCTTTAGGCAACCTTGATAGCCCTCAGCTCCTGGGAGGTCACCATATTGATGCCAAATTCAGTGTAGACATTTAACTGGCATAGCGCACTGCAGCCTAGAATTCTTGGGCTCAAGCAATCCTCCCACCTCAGCCTCCTGAGTAGCTGGGACACAAGTATGGGCCACTGCACCCGGCTCATGTGCAGTAATATAGTTAATTTAATTAACTTATTTAAATATTTAATTGAGGTGAAATGTACAAACTGTATGTATAAAAAATAAAAATATCCAGGCATGGTGGCTCATGCCTGTAATCCCAGCACTTTGGGAGGTTGAGGCAGAAGGATGGCTTGAGCTAGGAGTTTGAGACCAGATTGGGCAACTTGGTGAGATCCCATCTCTACAAAAATAAAAGCATTAGCTGGGTTTGGTGGTGAGCACCTGTAGTCCCAGCTCCTTGGCAGTCGGAGGCGGGAAGGTTGCTTGAGCCAGGGAGGTCAAGGCTACAGTGAGCTTGGATTATATCACTGCACTCCCATTCCAGCCGAAGTGACAAAGTGAGACCCTGTCTCTAAAATAATTTTAAAAATACAGTAAAAAATAAAAATAGACCTGCTTTGTTTGAATCACAGTAGGATTTCTCTCTCTGTCCCCATTCCACATCAGTGGCCCCTTTGAAAGTTATTTAAAATACTAGGGCTCTGTCAAGCACTGTCCAAAAATCACCAAACTAGAAGTTCTCCTGGATTCCTTCCAGTTCTGGTATTTTTGAGGTTGTGATCATTCACCTGTGTGCCCTGAACTGGGTTGGATCACAGGCTTGTCTTGCTTGGCTGCTGTGAGCTTTTTGTACTTGGCCTGCATTGGCCGAGGAAAATGCTCTGGCTATCCAGACTCACGTCACTTCCTTTCACCCCTCATGAGGAAGGGGCATACCTCTCCTTTCTCCTAATGCAAGCGACGGTCCCCTTCCTTCCGGGACCAGGGGCCAAAGTGCGGTGGGGCTGGGATGGAGTGTTGTGGGTTGCTAGTATGCATCCCCCCACCGACCTCTGCGCTGCACCTCTCTCCTGGTGTTGGACTTGCAGATTGTTGGAGCGGACTCTGCCTCTCTCCCCAGGTTAATGTTTTTACTCACCCTCTGGCCTTGTCCTCTTGTAGGCTGCCATTGGTTTGGACTGGAATCAAGAGCTCAGGCTCCGTCAAGGTTATAGACTGAGGATATGAATTTACCCAGCCCAAACTCAGTTTGTGAGTAAACTCCGGAGGCCAGAGAGGAGGGGCCTGAATTCATCTTGGTATCTCTCCAGAACACAAACTGCTTCAGGGAAAGTTACCCAGGAGGAGGGGGCATTCGGCCTTTTCCTGGGCAGACCTTCAGAAAGAAGCCTGCCTGGGAACTGATAAACACATCTCCCTCTCTGGTTCCCAAGGACAGGGCTTGGCCTCTATCCACTTGTTTCCAAAGTTCCTTCCTGAGTGGCCTGCCTGTGTTAGCTACCTTCTCCCAGCCTGGCTCCAGTTGCTGGGTGGGAATCCAGCTGGGGGCTTAAGTGTCTGCTGTATCAGGGAAAACAAAATCTTAGGCCATTCTGAAGTCCAGAAACCACTGCCCAAAAACTAAGAGCATTCCTAGAATGGCTGGGAGAGGAGTGGGGATTGGGAGAAGATGAGAGAAGGTGAACTAGCCTGAGTTCCCTTTTTTCTTTTTGAGGTGGAGTCTCACTCCATTGTCCAGGTTGGAGTGAAGTGGCGTGATTTCGGCTCACTGCAACCTCTGCCTCCTGGGTTCAGTTGATTCTCATGACTCAGCCTCCCAAGTAGCTGGGACTACAGGTGTGTGCCACCATGCCTGGATAATTTTTGTATTTTTAGTAGAGACGGGGTTTTGCCATGTTGGACAGGCTGGGCTTGAACTCCTGACCTCAGGTGATCTGCCCACCTTGGCCTCCCAAAGAGCTGGGATTACAGGGTGAGCCACTTCACCTGGCCTAGCCTGAGTTCTTAAGATGAAGAACTCAGATGAACTCTTAAGATGAATAACTTTTTTTTTTGAGACAGGATCTTGCTTTGTCACCCAGCTTGGAGTGCAGAGGCTTGATCACAGCTCACTGCAACCTCCAACTCCTAGGCTTATGCCATCCTCCTGCCTCAGATTCCCAAGTAGCTGGGACTACAGGCATGTGCCACCGCGCCCGCTAATTTTTCTGTTTTTTGTAGAGACAAGAGTCTCTCTTTGTTTCCCAGGCTGGTATTGAACTCCTGGCCTCAAGTGATCCTCTTGCCTTGGCCTCACAAAGTGCTGGGAGTACAGGTATGAGCCACAACACCTGGCCTCCCTTTCAGCTTTTTAAGAGAAACCAGAACCCCACATTTCATATTAAGTTTTCTAGTTATTGAAGCAGTGTACAGAAAACAAAACACCCTCTTCTGTAGGCTTTGCTCTTGGGCTTTTCGTTTGCAAGCCCTGGTTTAAAGCCTTTGACAGATACATCCTTCTCCATGTACTTTTGCTTCACCAATGACCAATTTCTCAAACCATGTTAGAGATGAGCTCTGTCATTTGTCTAGATTTCCATGGAGAAAGGTCTTCATGGTTAGTCAAGGGACTCATATTAGATCCCTATTGCTGCTGTAGTAAATAACCACAAGCTTAATGGCTTAAAGGACACAAATTTATTCTCTTCGTTAGGTAGGTCAGAAGTCTGACACAGATCTCATTGGGCTAAAATCAAGCCTGTCAGTAGGGCTGTGTTGATGAAGAGTCAAACTCTGTAAAATACTTAAAGAGGTTTATTCTGAGCTAAATATGAATGACCATGGCCAAAGGGACAGTCTCAAGAGGTCCTGAGAAAATGTGCCCAAGGTCATTGGGTTACAGCTTGGATTTATACAGACATAAGACATCAATCAGTATATGTGAGGTACACATGGGTTCAGTCTGGAAAGGCAGGACAACCCGAAGCAGAGCTTACAGGTCACAGGTGGATTCAAGGATTTTATGATTGGCAGTTGGTTGAAAGAGTTATTATCTAAAGACCTGGAATCAACAGAAAGTGGTGTCTGAGTATAGGTAAGGGTGTGCAGAAATGAGAGTTATTATGTAGATGAAGTCTTATAGGTGGCTGCCCTTAGAGACAATAAATGGCAAATGTTTCCTATTTAGACCTTTAAAAGATGCTACACTCTAGCTAATCTCTTCAGGATTGGGAGGGTCTGGAAGAGGAAAGATCTAGTTAATAGACATTATTATTATTATTATTATTCTTTTGAGACATCACCTCACTCTATTGACCAGGCTGGAGTGCAGTGGCACAATCTTGGCTCACTGCAACCTCTGCCTCCTGGGTTCAAGCAATCCTCCCACCTCAGCCTCCCAGCTAGCTGGGACTATAGGTATGCGCCATCATGCCTGGCTAATTTTTGTATTTTTTGTCTTCCTATATTGCCCAGGCTGGTCTCAAACTCCTAGGCTCAAACGATCTGCCCGCCTTGGCCTCCCAAAGTGCTGGGATTACAGACGTTAGCCTCTGCACCTGACTGTTTCCTTCTTTGCCTTTCATGTGATGTTGTGCCAGAGTCAGGTTGGAAAGTAAGCCGTGTTATATAGGGTTAAATAAAACCCACCTGATGAGATTTTACGATTTGTAGAAGGTGAATCCTGGGGCCCCTAAGAAAGGAATTTGGGGTTGGGCGCAGTGGCTCACGCCTGTAATCCTAGCACTTTGGGAAGTTGAGGCGGGTGGATCACTTGAGGTCAGGAGTTCGTGACCAGCCTGGCCAACATAGTGAAACCCCATCTCTACTAAAAATACAAAAAATTAGCCTCAAGTGGTGGCATGTGGTGGCGTGTGCCTGTAGTCCCAGCTACTCGAGTGGCTGAGGCACAAGAATTGCTTGAATCCGGGAGGTGGAGGTTGCAGTGAGCCCAGATCACACCACTACACTCCAGCCTGGGTGACAGAGCAAGACTCCATCTCCAAAACAAAAAAAAAAAAAAGGAATTTGGGCAAGACAGGAAAAAGGCTAGAGTTTAGATCTCAGCTGTGTTCCTTTCTGGAGGATTGAGGGAAGAATCCACTTTCTTGCCTTTTCCAGTTTCTAAAGGCCACCCACATTCCTTAGTTTATGCCCCTCTTCTTTTTTATTAAATAATTCATTTTTAATTGCTGAATAGTATTCCATTGCACAACATTTTTTTTTTCTTCATAGAAACAGGGTCTCGCTATGTTGCCCAGGCTGGTCTTGAACTCCTGGGCTCGAGCCATCCACCCGCCTCAGCCTCCCAACATGCTGGGATTACGTGTGTGAGCCACTGCCCCTCTTCTTCATCAAAGCCAGCAAATGGGGCCTAGGTGAGCCTAGGTGGCTCACATCTGTAATCCCAGCATTTTGGGAAGCCAAGGCAGACAGATCGTTTCAGCCTAGGTGCTGGGATTATGTGTGTGAGCCACTGCCCCTCTTCTTCATCAAAGCCAGCAAATGGGGGTCCAGCCCTTCTCACATCAAACTTCTCACCACAAAACAGGTTCACCACTTTTTAATTTTAATTTTTTTTTTTATAGAGACAGGGTCTTGTTCTGTTGCCCAGGCTGGAGTGCAGTGGCAGGATCATAGATCACAGTAGTCTCGAATTCCTGGGCTCAAGTGATCCTCCCACCTCTGCCTTGGGAGACTCGACCCCTCTCTACAAACAAATAAACATCTTAAAAATTAGCTAGGAATGGTTTTAACCTAGCTAATTTTTAAAACTATGCCTGGCTAATTTTTAAAATGTTTGTTTGTTTGTTTGTAGAGATGCCCTGGCTGGTCTCAGACTCCTGGCCTCAAGCTATCCTCGTGCCTTGGCCTCCCAAAATGATAGGATTACAGGTGTGAACCACTGCGCCCAGCTGGTTCTCTACTTTGAAGGATTCCTATGATTGGGCTCATTCAGATACTCCAGGGTAATATCCTCATCTCAAGGTTGTCATTTTAATCAAGGGCAAAGTCCCTTTGGTCAGCTAAAGGGACATATTCGCAAGTTCTAGGGATTTGGGTGTGAACAGGGCTTTCTCATAAACTTTTGAATCTCTTGCCTCTTCATCCCACTCAAAAAAAAGTAATAAGGACAGAAACTTATGATAAACAGGCTTTATCTTTCCTTATAATCTGGACCATTTTTCTTCTATTCAGTCCTTTTCTTTAAGGGATCCGTTTCTAGCAGGGGCCTTTTGGTGCAGCAATGCTGAACCCACTATAGCCAGCATAATTCTGAGCTGCCTACCTGTGTATTTCCAGCTCCATCTGCCACACTGGGGCTCAGAATCAGTAGTTTTCCCTTAGCTGCATCCCTGTGGAATTTCCCAGCTGGGATTAGTTACAGGGGTGAAGGACTGGGCAAACATCCCTCCACCTTCCCAGAGAAAGCAAAGGCTCCAGGGGTCTGCTCAAGGATTTGAGTGAACACTGCAGAGTTGGTGGCTGGAGGTGATAAGGGAAGAAGGGGTAGGATGACAAGATTGACTTGGATCTCAATTTTGGAGCATTGAGGCTCCATGGGCTGGAAGCACAGGCTGAATACAAGAGCACGTTTATTCCTATTAATGCTGTGGTCCATTGTTTGGGATCAAATGATTAACTGCTCAAGAGCAGGATAGGGGAGGCTGGCTGGATTTTTAATTTTGGTTTTGGAGGTGGGAGTAAGACTCATTTGTGACAGGTGTCACCCTTGGCCCCCCGGAAGGATAGGACTGATTCTATCTATGTGACACCCAGGCTGTGGCCTCTCAGTTCTTCCCCTTGAACTATATAGATCCCTCTAGAAGAGTGGCAATCTCTAGAAAAGATAGGGAAATCTTCAGTCACTTGATATCTCCAGATGTAAGCTCTCAGAGCTAGTAAGAGTGGGGCTTCCCAGTCTGAAGTCTGAGTAGCAAGTCCTCTTCTCCCTCCCCCAATACACACACACACACACACACACACACACACACACACACACACACACACAACTTGAGATGGCGGAGTTGAAGGCAAAGCATAGTAGGATGATGATATATATATATATAAAATTTATATATTAATTATATATAAATATAAATATATATATACATATAAATATATATATTTATATATATATTCTGGAGTCTGAGAACCCAAGTATAAATCCTAGCTCTTCTATTTACTATTTTGTGTCTTTGGGCAAATTAGGCAAATTTAATCTGCCCATTCCTAAGCAATTGCAATTATACCTACTTCACAGGGCTTTTATGAGGATTAAATGAGTTGATATCTATAAAGACAGAAGAATGCCTGGGTATAGCCATAATATGTCTTTGTTAAATAATAAAAATGTATAAACTGTTTTATGAGGATAATCTGGAAGTTGTTCTTTGGTCAAATATAATTTTTTTTTTTTGAGGCGGAGTCTCACTCTGTTGCCCAGGCTAGAGTGCAGTGGTGTGATCTCTGCTCACTGGAACCTCCACCTCCTGGGTTCAAGCAATTCTCGTGACTCAGCTTCCTGAGTAGCTGGGATTACAGACTTGTGCCACCACATCGGCTAATTTTTGTATTTGTAGTAGAGATGGGGTTTTGCCATGTTGCCAGGCTGGTCTTGAACCCCTGACCTCCGGTGATCTGCCCGCTTCAGCCTCCTAAAATGCTGGGATTACAGGCATGAGCCACTGCGCCAGGCCTCAAATATACTTTAGTAGCAATACTTCCCTACTAGAAGTTAGAATTAAATTCTGAAGTTATTCAGCATGCAAAGAGTCTAAAACCATTCAGACTGGATAGATATTGTTATGGCTGTTAGGTTACATTAGTAAGTATATATTTTCTAAATGAGAACTGGCAGGACATGGTGGCTCACACCTGTAATTCCAGCATTTTGGGAGGCTTAGGTGGGAGGATCACTTGAGCCCAGGAGTTCACGGCTGCAGTGAGCTATGATGACACCACTACACTGCAGCCTGGGTGACAGAGCAAGACTATCTCTAAGAAAATAAAAAGAGCAATAGGAAAAAGAAGGTGAGATCATAATTACAGTCAGTCCTTCTAAGAGCCTGAGTGATTTGAGGGCTCTTTTTAGTTATACTTAAGTCCTTTGGCCCATGGTCTGACAGCGAATCAAAGCATTTAATTAGAGTCAACATTCCCCTCCTCTCCTCCCTCCCTCCCTCCTTTCTTTTTCTTTCTTTCTTTCTTCCTTACTTTCTTCTTTCTTTCTTTCTTTCTTTCTTTCTTTCTTTCTTTCTTTCTTTCTTTCTTTCTTTTTCTTTCTCTTTCTTTCTTTCTTTCTTTCCTTCTTTCCTTTTTTCTTTCCTTCTTTCCTTCCTTCTCTTTCTCTCTTTCTTCTTTCTCTTCCTTTCTCCCTTTCTCTCTTTTTCTTTTTCTCTTTCTGTCTTCCTTCCTTCTTTCTTTCTTTTTCTTCCTTTCCCTCTCTCTCTCTCTTTCTTTCTTTTTTTTTTTTGTGACAGAGTTTCACTCTGTCATCCAGGCTGGAGTGCAGTGGTGCGATCTCAGCTGACTGCAACCTCCACCTCTCTGATACAAGTGATTCTCCTGCCTCAGCCTCCTGAGTAGTTGGGATTGCAGGTATGCACCACCACGCCAAACTTACATATATATATGTATTTCTTCAGTAGAGATGGGGTTTTGCCATGTTGGCCAGGCTGGTCTCAAATTCTTGACCTCCAGTGATCCACCCACCTAGGCCTCCCAAAGTGCTGGGATTACAGGCGTGAGCCACCGTGCCCGACCGAGAGTCAACATTTCTAATGAAGGCCTCACTCTCTCCCTTAGATAACTGGCATTTTTAAATGCCAGTTAATAAATGTGTCCCTTAACAGTGACCACATTTTGAGATCACAGCCAGTAAATAGATCTTGCTGGCCTCCTATCTTATAGGTCTAGCCTGGAGCATTGAGAACTATACATTCTGTGAGATCTGGAATTTCAGTTGCCGTAGTTGGAAAAGAATGCCAATGTTGGCAATTTAAAATATGACAAATGCAGGCGATTGAAAACAATCGTGGCTGTTAGGCTAAAAGTAGGAGGACACAGAACCCTGACAGCTGGCTTCAAACCACGGGAAGGGCTGTCACAGGGAGGGAAGAAGAGAAAGAACTTTTTTTTTTTTTCGATGCACACTCTTTTTTTTTTTAAGTTATACTTTAAGTTCTCGGGTACATGTGCACAATGTGCAGGTTTGTTACATATGTATACATGTGCCATGTTGGTGTGCTGCACCCGTTAACTCGTTATTTACATTAGGTATATCTCCTAATGCTATCCCTCCCCCCTCCCCCCACCCCACGACAGGCCCCGGTGTGTGATGTTCCCCTTCCTGTGTCCAAGTGTTCTCATTGTTCAATTCCCACCTATGAGTGAGAACATGCGGTTTTCTGTCCTTGAGATAGTTTGCTCAGAATGATTGTTTCCAGCTTCATCCATGTCCCTACAAAGGACATGAACTCATCATTTTTTATGGCTGCATAGTATTCCATGGTGTATATGTGCCACATTTTCTTAATCCAGTCCATCATTGATGGACATTTGGGTTGGTTCCAAGTCTTTGCTATTGTGAATAGTGCCGCAATAAACATATGTGTGCATGTGTCTTTATAGCAGCATGATTTATAATCCTTTGGGTATATGCCCAGTAATGGGATGGCTGGGTCAAATGGTATTTCTAGTTCTAGATCCTTGAGGAATTGCCACACTGTCTTCCACGATAGTTGAACTAGTGAAAGAACACTTACTAAATACTGATGTTTGGGCTTTATGTCTCTTATCTATTTTATATTATATATATTTTTTGAGATGGAGTCTCACTCTTGTCACCCAGGCTGGAGTGCAGTGGTGCCATCTTGGCTCACTGCAACCTCCACCTCCTGGGTTCAAGCAATTCTGCCTCAGCCTCTCGACTAGCTGGGATTACAGGTGTTTGCCGCCATGCCCAGCTAATTTTTGTATTTTTTTTAGTAGAGACAGAGTTTCACCATGTTGTCCAGGCTGATCTTGAACTCCTGACTTCTAGTGATCTGCCCACCTCAGCCTCCCAAAGTGCTGGGATTACAGGCGTGAGCCACCATGCACCCAGCCTCTTATGTAATTAAATGATCACAACAATCCCATGGAAGTCTGCTGTACGATTGCCAGTAAACAGAGGGGGAAGAAGTAAGTGACTTAGTCACCTCCCCTAATTGGCGTGTGCTACAGTCAGCCCAGGAATCCTGGCTGGTCAGATCTTTCAACCTCCTCTCAGCACCACCATAACACGATTGCATTATGTGCATACAAGGCAGAGCTTTCTAAAATTTAGAGCTGGTGGGATGGTGTGGAAATTATGTAGTGGTTTCCTATTCTCAAAGATGTTCGAGCAAATGCTTGATGACTGTTATCAAAAATACTGAATAAGTGGCTCACACCTGTAATCCCAGCACTTTGGGAGGCTGAGGTGGGCAGATCACCTAAGGTCAGGAGTTCAAGACCAGCCGGCCAGCATGGTGGAACCGCATCTCTACTAAAAATACAAAAATTAGCCAGGCATGGTGGCGCCTGTAATCCCAGGTACTTGGGAGGCTGAGGCAGGAGAATCGCTTGAACCTAGGAGGCGGAGGTTGCAGTGAGCCAAGATCACCCCAACCCAGCTTGGGCAACAGAGCAAGACCATGATTGAGGAGAGTGGAAATGGATAATCTATGAAGGCACCTACCAACTTTAATGTTCTGAGTTCTGTACTTTGGGACTGGACATACAGCTATATTAAGTGATTTTTTTTTTGGTCCCCCTGTATTTTCTTTTCTTTTTTTTTTGAAAGGGAGTCTAGCTTTGTCTCCCAGACTGGAGTGCAGTGGCGTGATCTCCGCTCACTGCAATCTCCACCTCCTGGGTTCAAGCGATTTTCCTGCCTCAGCCTCCCTAGTAGCTGGGATTACAGGTGTGCACCATCATGCCCAACTAATTTTTGTATTTTTAGTAGAGACAGGGTTTCACTATGTTGGCCATGCTGGTCTCGAACTTCTGATCTCAAATGATCCACCCGCCTCAGCCTCCAAAAGTGCTGGGATTACACGCATGAGCCACCGCACCCAGCCTCTTTTCTTTTTGAGACATGGCCTTGGTCTGTTGCCCAGGCTGCAGTGCCTTGATGCCGTCACAGCTCACTGTAGTCTCAACCTCCTGGGCTCAAGCGATCCTCCCACATCAGCCTCCTAAGTAGCTGGGACTACAGGCATGCTCCACCCCGCCTGGCTATTTTTTAATTTTTTTATAGAGATGGGGTCTCGCCATGTTTCCCAGGCTAATCTCAAACTCTTGGGCTGAAACAATTGGCCTGCGTTGGTTTCCCAAAGTGCTAGGATTATAGGCATGAACCACCGTGCCTGGCGGTATTATATTTCTTAACACCCAGGTGTGTGAATAGAGACCTCTTTTTTTTTTTTTTGAGATGGAGTCTCGCTCCCATCGCGCAGGCTGGAATGTAGTGGCGCGATCTCGGCTCACTGCAACCTCCACCTCCCAGGTTCAAGCGATTTTCCTTCCTCAGCCTCCCAAGTAGCTGGGATTACAGGCGTGCGCCACCGTGCCCGGCTAATTTTTGTAGTTTTAGTAGAGATGGGGTTTCGTCGTGTTGGCCAGGCTGGTCTTGAATTCCTGACCTCAGGTGATCCACTCGGCCTTCCAAAGTGTTAGGATAACAGGCGTGAGCCCCTGCGCCGGGTCTAGAGACTTCTTCAAAGCTGGGAAGGTACAGGGTGTGCCCTCTGAACAGCAGCAGAGCTTGTTGCAAACCTGAACTTTCTGGTCCTCTGCTGCCCCTTTGTGGACTACCTGGAAACAACAGCCCAATATATCGCTGTAGGAGCATGAAATTGGACTTGGGAGAATAGCACCAGAAGAACTGGTGGAGGTTTGAAGGCTGGTGGAGGATACGAGGGAGTCACGACTGTTCTTTTCTCCAGCAAGGTTGGGGTTCCCAGGAGAGAGGCCTAGAACTCTTTCAAACTGTCAATGACTTCAAGAAACTCTCTTCTTTTTCATGATCTTTATTTATCCTCGAGACGCTTGGATCCAGTAAGCGAGTGACAATTTCAAGACTGCCAGCCATGCACCTCTGTATGTTTTTGGCCCAAGCAGCAGCCGTGGGCCTAGTGCCAACCCTCACACGCTAGCTACCTCCTCCTGTGCTTGGAGTGGAAAGTCTGTGGGGTTCTCTGTCTGGTTCTGCAAGCTTTTCACACCATCTCTTCGCTGTCTGTCTCTATGCTAGGGGTTTCACACAACTCTACACCATTGCATTCATGCTTGCCGTATCCCTGACTTTCTGCACAAGTGCAGGGCAGAGATGGCCCTTTTGTTTTGGTGAGGGAGAGAGGGAAACACTTGGGCACAAAGAGGGGAAGGGACTGTGAATCCCAGGGAGCACCCTGGCCAGATCCCAGCGGTGTTCGAATCCCAGGACCATCTTCCATCTACAGCCTAGCTGCCTCCTTCCCTGGTCAACCCTTCCTGGGTGCCCATCCACCACACTGCCCAACCTCACTCCCCGTCCCCTCCCACAAAGAGTGACAGTGGCCTGGGGCTCGGCCTCTCCTGACCCCAGGGGAGGATGGGTGATCTGGGCCTCCTGCTACCTGCCACCTGGGCCTCCTATCTCCAGCTGGGAGCCAGGGACCTACCCACGGGCCTGGCCTGACCTCTCTCCCCCTCCCCTCATGCTTCCAGACCCTGCCGCAGCCTGCGGTCCAGGGCCAGGAGCTGCCTCAGGAAGCCCCGGTTGGGGATGATGCCTCGGTGGTCTTTGACTTTCTTGATGGCCTCCACGAGGGTAAGGTGGTGGTACAGCATGAGGTAGGCCAGTACCAGGGTGGCGGATCGGCTCACGCCCACAGCACAATGCACCAGGATCTTCCCTGAGAGGAGAGACACAGAGAGAGCTTTGAGACTGCTTGTGGCAGCTTGGAGGAGGCTGGGGAAAGGGTGACATGGGGCCGGGCATGGTGGCTCACGGCGGTAATTCCAGCACTTTTGGAGGCCGAAGGGGGAAGATTGCCTGAGGTCAGGAGTTCGAGACCAGCCTGGCCAACATGGTGAAACCCCATCTCTACTAAAAATACAAAAATCAACTGGGCGTGGTGGCCCATGCCTGTAATCTCAGCTACTCAGGAGGCTGAGGCTGCAGTGAGCCAAGATCGTGTCATTGCACTCCACCCAGGCAACAAAAGTGAAACCCCATCTCAAAAAAAAAAAAAAAAAAAAAAAAAAAGGGTGACATGGACAGGGAAGAGGAAGACAGGTAAGTACAGGTGCATGAAGACAGGAATGGGTGCAGATGAGTGGATGTTAGGAATGCAGATCTCTGGCAAAAGGGGAGAGGCCTGGACAGAATGAGAGGAAGGGGACATGCAGTGGCTCAGTGTCCATAAACCTGAAAGGGGTCAAAGGTGGAGACTCACCACTGATGTAAGAGCCAGCTTTGCATAGAGTAGCGTGAATGAGTCCATTGAAAACACTGTCATTACTGGCCCCTTCCTCAATCTCTCCACCATTCTAGCTTGTTATTCTCAACCATTGAATATATATATATGTATATGGAGACAGGGTCTTGCTCTGCCTCTCAGGCTGAGTGCAGTGGCACAATCATAGCTCACTACAACCTCTAATTCCTGGGCTTAAGAAATCCTCCTGCTGGCTGGGTGCAGTGGCTCATGCCTGTAATTCCAGCACTTTGGGAGGCCGAGGCGGGTGGATCACCTGAGGTCAGGAGTTCAGGACCAGCCTGGCCAACATGGTGAAACCATGTCTCTATTAAAAATACAAAAATTAGCTGGATGTGGTGGCGGACACCTGTAATCTCAGCTACTTGGGAGGCTGAGGCAGGAGAATCGCTTGAACCTGGGAGGCGGAGGTTACAGTGAGCTGAGATCACGTCACTGCACTCCAGCCTGGGTGACAGAGAAAGACTCCATCTCAAAAAAACAAAAAAGAAAAAGTCGATCACATATAATCTTGCCACCCAGGTGTAACTTGCCACTCTTAACATTTTTGATAATTTCCTTCTTGTCTTTTTCTGTATTGCTTTAAAAAAATGGTTGAGATAATATTTTTTTCTTTCTTAACAAGATCCTGAGCATTTTGTCATGTCACTAAAATCTCACTCCACTCTCAGACCCTTGGACTTCCCCAAATTCCAGGCACCCTGTTCTTTCCTGCTCCCAGCATTCCCCTCCTACCTCCTGGCTGGCTCAGCGCCCGGTGGATGAAGTCGGCAGCCGTCTGGAAGTGGATGCTCATGTCAAAGGCTGGCGAGTCGTGGGCCTCAACACCCAGGTAGCGGATGCCCAGCCCCTCATAGGCCTCGGGCGTGCCTCGCCACCGGCTGTGTGAGGCATTGAGGACGTGCGTGATGCCCAGGCGGCGAAGCTCCCGGCGGTTGTTAGCCATGTCCCTGCATTGAGTAGAGGTTAGAGGAAGGGTGGGAAAGCCAGGTTGTTGGGGAAGACTCCCTTGTCTACACCCTGTTAACTTCCTGAATCCTATTGTTGATTTTTTTTTGAGATGGAGTCTCGCTCTGTTTCCTAGGCCAGAGTGCTCACTGCCACCTCCATCTCCTGGGTTCAAACGATTCTCCTGCCTCAGCCTCCCGGGTAGCTGGGATTACAGGCACATGCCACTATACCCGGATAATTTTTGTATCTTTAGTAGAGATGGGGTTTTATCATGTTGGCCAGGCTGGTCTTGAACTCCTGACCTCAAGTTATCCTCCCGCCTCGGCCTTCCAAAGTGCTGGGATGACAGACGTGAGCTACCATGCCTGGCCTCCTGGATCCTACTATTGGCCTAAGGACACTACTTTACTTACTAGTGATCCAGAAGGGAGGAACCAAGATGGGCAATGACTTGGAGTCTTGTCCTGTGAGCCATGGTTGAAGGTATAGGGGATGTTTTGCCTGGAGAAGAGAAGACTAAGGGGATGGGGTAAAAATAGCCATAATAAAACTGAAAGTGTGCGGCCGGGCGCGGTGGCTCACGCCTGTAATCCCAGCACTTTGGGAGGCCGAGGCGGGCGGATCACGAGGTCAGGAGATCAAGACCATCATAGCTAACATGGTGAAACCCCATCTCTACTAAAAATAGAAAAAATTAGCTGGGTGTGGTGGTAGGCGCCTGTAGTCCCAGCTACTCAGGAGGCTGAGGCAGGAGAATGGCCTGAACCTGGGAGGCGGAGCTTGCAGTGAGCCGAGATCGCACCACTGCACTCCAGCCTGGGTGACAGAGCAAGACTCCATCTCAAAAAAAACAAAACAAAACAAAACAAAACTGAAAGTGTGTTTTCTGGAATTGAGATTGTCTTGGATCTGTAGGGTTCTCAAGGGTACAATGAGGATCAAGGAATTAAAGCCCCAGGGAAGCAGATTTCATTTTTTTTTTTTTTGGGAGGTGGGACAGAGTCTTGCTATGTCTCCCAGGCTGAAGTGCAATGGTGCAATCTCAGCTCACTGCAACCTCTGCCTCCCAGGTTCAAGCGAATCTCCTGCCTCAGCCTCCTGAGTAGCTGGGATTACAGGTGCCTGCCACCATGCCCGGCTAATTTTTGTATTTTTAGTAGAGATGGGATTTCATCGTGTTGGCCAAGCTGGTCTCGAACTCCTGACCTTGTGATCCACCTATCTAGGCCTCCCAAAGTGCTGGGATTATAGGCGTGAGCCACTGTGCCTGGCCAGCTGATTTCAATTTCATACAAGGAAGTACATTCTAATGGTGGAGTCTAGCTGAGGAAAGGGTGGAGAACCTCGAGAGAGAGTGGTTTTCCTGTCCCTGGGGTATTCAGGCAGAAAGAGGAGATGGCCATGTAGCCATGGATGCTGCAGAGGGGAAATGAATGTCAGGCAGATTGTTCTGCTCATTTCATCGGTCCTGCTCACTCTGAGATAGTATGGTTCTGACATCCACTTCCACACCTAACTCCCCTATGTCTCTACTCTTGTTGACACCCAGAACCGTCTTGTGTTTTTGCCAGATATTCCATGGCTCACATTTACTGTGACTGTGTTTTTTTTTGTTGTTGTTGTTGTTGTTTGTTTTTTTTTTTGAGATGGTGTCTTGCTCTGTCACCTAGGCTGGAGTGCTAGAGTGCAGTGGCGCGATCTCGGCTCACTGCCACCTCTGCCTCCCGGGTTCAAGCAATTCTCTGCCTCAGCCTCCCGAGTAGCTGGGATTACAGGTGCCCACCACCATGCCAGGCTAATATTTGTATTTTTAGTAGAGACGGGGTTTCACTATCTTGGCCAGGCTGGTCTTGAACTCCTGACCTCGTGATCCATCCGCCTAAGTATCCCAAAGTGCTGGGATTACAGATGTGAGCCACCATGCCCGGCCACATTTACCCTGTTTTATGACGTCACCTTCAGGTGTTCATCCGGCCCAGACCCCTCAGCTTGGTGGCAGACACCCCTGGGCACCACAGTCATATCTCAGGGCAAACTGAGTTGCCCTGTCCAGTGCAAACTCCTTAAGCAGAAAGAGCACTGAACTTGAGCCTCCAAGCCCGGGCTCTGCTACTTACAACCCGTGTGACCTTGGCCAGGCACAACTTCTCTGAGCTTCAGTCTCCTCATCTGTAACCCAGGGAGAGTGATACCTATCTCACAGGGCTGTTGTGAAGATTAAGAGAGATAATGTGTGTGAAAAAAATCCTTGTAGGCCAGGCACGGTGGCTCATGCTTGTAATCCCAGCACTTTGGGAGGCTGAAGCAGGTGGATCACTTGAGGCCAGGAGTTCAAAATCAGCCTGGCCAACATGGCTAGACGCCGTCTCTACTAAAAATACAAAAATCAGCTGTGTGTGGTGATGGGCGTCTGTAAGCCCAGCTACTTGGGAGGCAGAGGCAGGAGAATTGCTTGAACCCGGGAGGCGGAGTTTGCTGTGAGCTGAGATTGGGCTACTGCACTCCAGCCTGGGCAACAGTGAGACCCTGTCTCAAAAACAACAACAATGCTGGGCACGGTGGCTCACACCTATAATCCTAGCACTTTGAGAGGCCGAGACAGGTGGACTGCCTGAGCTCAGGAGCTCAAGACCAGCCTGGGCAACACGGTGAAACCCCGTCTCTACTAAAATACAAAAAAATAATTAGCCGGGCAAGGCGGTGTGTGCCTGTAGTCCCAGCTACTCTGGAGGCTGAGGCAGGAGAATCGCTTGAACCCGGGAGGTGGAGGTTGCAGAGAACCAAGATCGCGCCACTGCACTCCAGCCTGGGTGACAGAGTGATACTGTCTCCAAAAAAAAATAAAAGAAAGAAACCAAAACCAAAACAAACCAAAGAAGCAAAAGAAATCCTTGTATAACTTTGAGGGAGAGAAGTGGGGATGGCTCTTCCTTTGATGTTTTTCTCTCCATAGCCTTCAAATTGCAGAATCTCTGTAGGCACTGCCGCTTTGCTTGGTCTCAAGAGAAACCACTGCAGCTTCCTACCTACTGCTCCTGGCTTCCAGTGGCTGCCTTTTCCCAGAGACATTGCACAATAGATGGAAGGTCAGAGAAGTCATCTATTGTGCCTGGTATGTAGCACTGGCATGTAATAATAAATATGTGATACATGAATGATATTATTACTGGAACAGAGTCTTTCTGTCCAGACTTGGGTATTTTTATTTTATTTATTTTATTTTAAAATAATAAGTAGAGATGGGGTCTGGTTTTGTTGCTCAGGCTGGTCTAGAACTCCTGTACTCTAGATACTCCTGCCTCAGCCTTTCAAACTGCTGGGATCACAGGCAAGAGACACTGTGACTGGCCAGAGTTGGGCATTTCAATAATCCTGGCCAAACTCTCCCAAACCTGCAGCCTCTACTCTTGGCCCATGTGCCCTATCCCCTCAATCTTCAACCAGGAACCAATGACACCACTGCATACCTGTCTGCCACCCTTCTCCTTTCTTACACACACAAACACACACACGCTCTACCGTGGGCCCAGTCTGCCCGATACATACTGGTCTCCGAGATAGAGGCCTGGCCAGACCTCGTCGGCATGGTTACAGGCTGTCTTGCCTGTGTAGAGGAGCCGCTCCAACTCGAAGACATTGAGGAAAGGATGTTGAACGGTTGGCATCTCCTCCAGGGTCCCTCGAGTTCGAACAGGAGACCTTGAGCTACTCCGGGAGAAGCGGGCCATAAAAGTCATAGAAGCCCAAAGCCAGTTACCAGGGCACATCTTAGAGGTGGCAGAAACCGTGGCAGCTGCAGGAGTGGCTGTGGTGATGATGGGTTCAGTTGCCAGGTAGCTGCTGCTGGAAGAGGAAGGGGTGTGAGACACACTTGAGTGAGTCCAGAGCAGCTGCTTCCCTTCCCTGGGCTGGTCCTTCGGGAGAAGATTCTCGAGGGAGAGAAGGTAAGCCTGGCTCTGGCAGGAGCCTTCAGGGGTGGCTTTTTCTTCAAGCTGCAGCAGCTCCTTTTGCTCAGCTCTTTGGCTCTGCCACGAAACGAGGTGGGAGAGTCACATGTCCTTGTTTACGGGGAGAGGGAGCTGCCCAGCTGCTAGGTTTCAGCTTCATCACCCCACCCCCACTGCCAGCACGCATACACACACACACACACACACACACACACGGCACTTGGGTGGTTGTCCCCACTGCTGGGGATCTTGCCAGCTGGAATCTGAGTCTCATCTGCCTGGGGCTATCGGCAGAGAGCCTAGGGAGCTGGGATGGGGTTGGGGGTACCTTTAGACCCATCCAAAGAGAATTAGCAGGGAGACAACAGCAGCTGAGGCCATGACACATGTCAGGCCTGCCATCTCTGTGCCAGAGTTAGACTTTAACCCCTTCGTGACCTGCCACTGCCTCAGAGATAAACCTGCTATGGGAAGGGTGTGGTGGGGGTGGGATGGGGTGAGTGGAGAATAGCAATAAAGAGGAAGAGTAAGTTTGCAAAAAATAAATACTTGCTGAATGCATGAGCTTATGGAAGAAGGCACCAATCTATGTGCACAACAGGCAAACCACCCTCCTTGGATCAGCATTAGGAAATTACTGATCAGATCTCAGCTCTAATGTGAGAATTTCTGAATCTAAGCAGGGTTGGAGTGTTTTGTCTGTGTGTGTCTTGAGGGGAGGGTGACAGAGGTGGATGGTGGGGGAATTGACGCAGGGTTGGAGTGTTTTGTCTGTGTGTGTCTTGAGGGGAGGGGGGACAGGGGTGGGTGGTGGGGGCCTAGAAAGCAGGAAGGAAAGGGAAAAATGAGGGATCCTGCCAGGTCCAGGGGCTCAGAGGCTTAGAATTACCAACCGTATGGCTGTTGGAGTCAAGTGACCCTACAAAACACGAGGTCAATAACGAGGGGCTTAGCAGGTGTGTCTCAGATTACCTGTTGAGCTGCAGAGCTGGGAAGGACCAGCGTTTGAGGCTTGCCCTGGGACCTTCAGGCAGGGAGGCAACAATGGCAAGGCCCCTTCCCCCTCCCTCCCCATCCTCTCACACCTGTGGTCCTGCCTGTTTGAAAGCAGGAGGTCCTGGAGCCTGCAGAATCCCCTTCCACTCCCTTCCTGGCCTCCTGCCAGGGGGACTTCAACTCTATGACCAGCAGTGAGAGGCCATCTTTGTCCCTGCCCATGCTCTGTCCCCATCTCACACCCCTAGACAGGGCCCAGCTCTCCCTTGCTCCAGTGCCAAGAGAAACCAAGCACTTACAAGGCATTAGAAGCAGGGGTTTTAGGACCAGGATTGGTGAGGGAAGATTGGATGTTAGGGAGTTTAGGGAGAGAGAGTTTTCAATGGCTGGGTCCGGAAGGAGCACAGAAATATAGCACTACAGCCATCATCACCACCACCATCACCATCATCACTACCACCATCACCACCATCACTATCACCATCATCTTCTTCTACCTTTGCACCCAGGCCTAAAGACCCCATTACTGTATTGCAATACAACCTTTCCTCTTAGAGAGTCTGCTGTCTACGAGATGATGAATGGGATGGGGGAAGCGTGAAGGAGCCCAGGTCTAAGAAGGATCTCCGTGGGGCTGTTTTTCCCGGGGGATGCAGAAGCCCCTTTCTGTCCAGGGATACAGCCCTGGGCATTCTCCAATCCCATCCGTCGGCTCCAGGGGCCCTGGCCCGCCGCTCCCTCCCTCCGCCTGCGGTCGCCTTTGTAACAGGTCCATGGCTGTCGCCCCAGTCCTCGCCAGCCTGGCAGCCGGGCCCCGCGCGCGGAGGGAGGGCGCCCGGGAGAGAGAGGCTGGCTCGCTGGGCTCGGGTGCCCGCTTCCCGGTCCCCTCCCTCCCCCGTCGCCCCTAGCTGGGCGCCTCTCCCCAGCGTGGAGAGCCAGCTGAAAAGGCGAAGGCCCGCCGCAGCCCCTCTACCTCTTTGCAAGCGCTGCGCTGGGCCTCAGTCCGAAAGGCGGATCGCCGGCGCAGACAGCGCCACGGCCATGACGCTCCTGCTGCTGTCGCCGCCGCTGTTTCTGCCCAAGACAGGTTGACAGATTAGCAGCTATTTTTAAGCCATGACACACACGTCGAAGCAGGGTTCAAATCAGCGTGTGCGCTGGTGACATAAAGGGACTCGGTCTCACATTCGGTGGCCCGAGTCGCCAGGCAGCGTGGGCTCCCCAGCCAACCCCCCACGAGCCCGCGCGCCTTGCAGACCAGACACGGCCCCGCCGAGCCCCAGCAGCACCGCCTGGAATGCATGCGTGTGTTCTCAGAGCTGCACCAATTACAAAGCGTTTTGCCTAAAGATTACATTATAAGTCATCCCAGGCACTGTCTTAAACACACACACTCCTCCCAGACAGAATTAACTAATTACATAGACACGATTCTGTGCACTGGCTTGTACATGCCTCGGTCTCAAGAAACCGTGTCATAAAGAACAATGGTCCGAAGCCCCCATTAGCCTTCATTATATGCCATGTGCTTCATTTAGCTTAAGGCATTTTATACTCCCCACAAGTCTATGAGGGAGACATAATTACTATTGTCCTAATTTTAGGGAGGAGGCGACCTAGGCACAGAGAGGCTAGGTACTCTGCCCTGGTCACACAGCTCGTTACTGGCAGAGCTGAGCTTGTTCAAACAATGCAGCCTGGCTTTGCAGTTTATGTCCTTAACCACTCTCTAAACCAGTGCCTCCCACAAAATGGAGAAGGCACCATGGATTTCCTTCATTCAGGAAGCCATTTCCACCAGCTCAGCTCATAGTGAACTTCACTTTCCCCAGACTCTCAAAACATTCATCTTCATATTTCTTTCTTTCTTTTTTGAGATGCAGTCCCACTCTGTCGCCCAGGCTGGAGTGCAGTGGCGCAATCTTGGCTCATTGTAACCCGCCTCCCAGGTTCAAGCCATTCTCCTGCCTCAGCTTCCCAAGTAGCTGGGATTACAGGCGCCCGCCTCCATGCCTGGCTAATTTTTTGTATATATTTTTTCTTTGTTTGTTTGTTTTTTAGTACAGATGGGGTTTCACCATGTTGACCAGGCTGGTCTTGAACTCCTGACCTCAGGTGATCCACCCACCTTCTCTCAAAGTGCTCAGATTACAGGCATGAGCCACTGTGTCCGGCCATCTTCATATTAATTTCTCATGTGCTGCCTTCTAGTGACATATTCACTTGATCGGCATTTTTATTGTAAGCACCAAGATTGTAAGCACTTTGAAGGCAGGGACTGTGCTACCTTCCCCAGTGCCTACCTTATTGTGTGAGAGGGAAGTGGGGGAGATGATAAATGTTAGCAGATGATGCTGTTGAGAACTAGGCTGGCTTGAACTCTCGCTGTCTACTAGAAGAAAGGCAGAAAGTAGATTGGCTCAGATTGAAGCTGATGGTGTCAGCTATAGCTGAAACCAGGACTGACTCCATTCCCAGCAGTGGTGGCAGATCAGGTTTTGATCTCTGGGTTAGAGAAAGTACTGGCCAATGTGACCAATCCCCAGGTTCCATGACAGGCTGCCATCCAAGTTTAATGTACCGCCTAGCCTTTTTTTTTCTCTAGAGAAACAAAATTCTTTTCACTTTTCCTTGTCCCTTGTGTTACAGCAGTTTAAATATGAAATGAAATCCTTGTCATTTAAAACAAAGAGGCAGGGCATGGTGGCTCACACCTGTAATCCCAGCACTTTGGGAGGCCAGGGTGGGCAGATCACCTGAGGTCAGGAGTTCGAGACCAGCCTGGCCAACATGGTGAAACCCCATCTCTACTAAAAAACAAAAATTAGCCGGGTGTGGTGGCAGGCGCCTGTAGTCCCAGCTACTTGGGAAGCTGAGGTGGGAGAATCACTTGAACATGGAAGGTGGAGGTTGTAATGAGCTGAGATCATGCCACTGCACTCCAGCCTGAGCGACAGAGCGAGGCTCCCTCTCAACAAACAAACAAAAGCGAAAATAAACAATCAAACAAACAACAAAAAACCCCAAGGAATTGACCTGAGAAATTTGAGATTTTAATTTGCGCATCCAAATTAAAATTTGGATTTAATTTGCAAACCTAGTTAAAACATTATCATAAAAGGAATTGTGAAAGAGCACTTACAAGATCAATATCTTTTTTTTGTTTGTTTGTTTGAGACGGAGTTTTGCTCTTTTTGCCCAGGCTGGAGTGCAATGGTGCAATGTCAGCTCACCGCAACCTCCACCTCCCGGGTTCAAGCGATTCTCCTGCCTCAGCCTCTCAAGTAGCTGGGATTACAGGCATGTGCCACCATGCCTGGCTAATTTGGTATTTTTTAGTAGAGACAGGGTTTCTCCATGTTGGCCAAGCTGGTCTCGAACTCCCGACCTCAGGTGAAGATCAATGTCATTTTAAGTGAAAAGTCTTCAAGATTGGTAGGTTGAGAGGATGTTGTAGGTAAAGCTGATCTCAATCTTTGACAAGACCTCTGTTTCAACCCTGCATTACACTTTTTTCAAAAAGCGGGGAAAATACAGTTTAAAGTACACCACAGACAATGTGTACAGCTGTTTATGGGTAATTATAGAAATTACCTGGGGACTGACATATCCGTGAGGATCATTTTCATGAGTCGATCTATAGCCCACTTGATTTCTTTTGTTTTGTTTTGTTTTGTTTTTTTGTTTGTTTTTTTGATTTTTTTTTGAGGCAGGGTCTCAGGCTGGAGTGCAGTGGTAAAATCATAGCTCACTGCAGCCTCAACCTCCTGGGCTTAAACCATCCTCTTTTAAACGATCCTCTTGCCTCAGCCTCCTAAGTAGCTGGGACTATACAGGTGCATGCCACAATGCCTGGCGATTTTTTTTTCTTTTTTTTTTTTTTAAGACAGAGTCTTGCTCTGTCTCCTAGGCTGGAGTGCAGTGGTGTGATCTTGGCTCACTGCAACTGCTGCCTCCCCAGTTCAAGCAATTCTTGTGTGTCGCCTCCTGAGTAGCTGGGATGACAAGTGCATGCCACCACACCTGGCTAATTTTTGTATTTTTTGTAGAGATTAGGTTTCACCATGTTGGCCAGGCTGGTCTCAAGCTCCTGACCTCAGGTGGTCTGCCCGCCTCAGCCTCCCAAAGTGCTGGGATTATAGGCCAGAGCCACCATGCCCTGCCAATCAGCTCATTTTATCTCACCCATATATTAAATTGGTGTCATCATTCTGATTGAATACCTGAGAGAGACTGACATTTGGTCAGATTAGTTAACTCATCCACATCTAGTGTGTGGCAGGACACAGGTTCAAACCCAGGGCTATCTTATTTGAAACTTCAGTGTTTCAAGACTAGGCTGGAGAATCGTTTCCTCTGTAAAGCCTTTTTGGATTCACTCTTTTTTTTTTTCGAGACCAAGTCTTGCTCTGTTGCCCAGGCTGGAGTGCAGTGGCATGATCTCAGCTCACTGCAACCTCTGCCTCCTGGGTTCAAGCAATTCTCCTGCCTCATCCTCCTGAGTAGCTGGAATTATAGGCATGCACCACCATGCCCAGCTAACTTTTTGTATTTTTAGTAGAGACGGGGTTTCACCAAGTTGGCCAGGTTGGTCTCGGGCTCCTGACCTCATGATCTACTTGCCTCAGCCTCCCAAAGTGCTGGGATTATAGGTGTGAGCCACCGTGCCCGGCCTGGATCCACTCTTTTTTTTGTTTGTTTTTTGAGATGAAGTCTTGCTCTGTCACCCAGGCTGGAGTGCAGTGGCTCAGTCTCAGCTCACTGCAACCTCCACCTCTCGGATTCAAGCAGTTCTCCTGCATCAGCCTCCCAAGTAGCTGGGATATAAGAGTGTGCCACCGTGCCTGGCTAAATTTTGTATTTTTAGTAGAGACAGGATTTCGCCATCTTGGCCAAGCTGGTCTCAAACTCCTGACCTCAAGTGATCTGCCTGCCTCGGCCTCCCAAAGTGCTGGGATTACAGGCATGAGCCACTGTGCCCAGCCTGGATCCACTCTTATTTGTCCGTTTCCTTCTTTGTGCTCATATACACTTCCATCAAAGGACCTATGAGCTATATTTGTTTCACTTATTTATACACTTATTTAAATTCATATTGCCCGTACTAGAAGCACGAATGGATACACTATGCTGGGATGAAGAGATTAGAGATGGAAAAATAAGGCTATGGAAAGATAAAGATAGGGCCAGGAACTGCAGCTCGTATGCCTGTAATCCCAACACTTTGGCGGACCGAGGTGGGAGGATTTCATGAAGCCAGGAGTTGGAGACCAGCCTAGGGAACATAGTGAGACCATGACTCTACAAAAAATAAAGAATTAGCTGGCCATGGTGGCAAGCACCTGTAGTCCTAGCTACTCAGGAGGGTGAGGTGGGAAGATCGCTGGAGCCCAGGAGTTTGAGGCTGCCGTGAGTCATGATTGTGCCACTGCACTCCAGCCTGGGTGACTCAAAAAAAAAAAAAAGACAAAAATAGATTTCAAAATAGTTCTGAAAGAAATGATTAAATAAATATACAGACAGGGAGGTGTTCAAAAATAGAATGTGGGAAAAAAGAAAAAACAAGAATGACCATCAAAATATGGCATATGTTAAAGGTCAATTCTAACTGCTACCATTTAATTATGGGCTGGGCTTTACATACATTAGCGAATTCAATCCCATAAATAGATTTAATTAATTCAATTTTACTGTTGAGGAAACAGGTTTAGAGTGCTGGTGGTAAATCCGCTCTGAGGCCAGAGAGCTAATGAGTAGAATTTGAGCATGGATTTCAACCTAGAACTATTTTAAACCAAAGCCTGTGCCTCAAACCACTGTAGTAGACTTAAAGAAAATAGAAGAGTAGTTGTTAAAATGTATCAAGTCCTGCTGCGTGCCAGGCATTTAACAGAAATGGCATGAATCATTCTCAAGCGACTCTCCTGGCTTTGTCCCTTCGGGGATGTGGCTCCCCGTGGCAGGATCTGCGAGGTGCGATGCGTACAGAAGGTTGGGACCAGCAGCCTCTTCAATCTCTGGAGAAGCTCCCTGCTGCTCTGTAATTCTTCCTCCTAAGTAGAGGATAGCGCTTCCTCCCAACCACACACCAGATACCGCCATGCCCATCCCTCCTGGGCTGGTGCACCCTGAAATCTGCTGCTGGGTGAAACAGCACTTTCACTTAATGCTTCAGATAGCAGAGGACCGACAGCTGTGACTTTATTTGGTGATGGAATAAATAAGGTGAGGGGGACGAGGGGCACAGAATGTTCTTCAAGGGTGCCCATTTTCATAATGTTATTTTTCTAAATCTGCATCTTCCCAGTCCCAAACCTTCTTCAGCTTTTTTTTGTTGACTGTTTAACTCCTGCTTTCCTCCACGTCCTTGCGTGTGCTTTGTGTCAGTTCTTTCAGGTACCAAGCGGGTGGTGGTGTTAGTGGGGCTCTTGCTGGCTCTGAACTGGGGAGAGAGGCACGCTGGTCTTTTGCGTAGAGTGAGAATCTGGTTTTGCTTCAACTCCACTTCTGTCCTTCACCTTTCCACCAATGCATTCCCCTCCATTTTCCTACTGATTTACCTGGGGGTGAAACCATCTTAACACTGTTAATATTAAATATTAACTTTCTTCTAAGGACCACACACTGTTGCAAGAGCAGAAATTCTTTCCATTAGCATAACTTTGTAAGGGACACTAGTGCTCCTCTAATGGTAATAAAGTAGAATTATTATTTGCAAAACAGGATACAAAACGAATATACAGTAAATCTCAGTATTGCAACAACAAGGAGATAGAAAAAAAATTCCTAAATACACATCTTGAGAAAGACTGAAAAGAAGCATGTCAAATACTAAAAGAGGTAAACTGTAGCCAGAACAGGATTTCAGATAATTTTGTTTGTTTTCAGATAGGGACTTGCTCTGGCACCCAGGCTAGAGTGCAGTGGTGCAATCCTGGCTCACTGCATCCTCAATCTCCTGGGCTCAAAGGATCCTCTTGCCTCAGGCTCCCAAATAGCTGGGATTACAGGGAGGCACCACCACACCCAGTTATTATTATTATGATTTTTTGTATAGATGGGGTCTCTCTATGTTGCCCAGGCTGGTCTTGAACTCCTGGCTTCAAGTGACCTTCCTACCTTGGCCTCCCAAATTGCTGGGATTATAGGTGGGAGCCACCATGCTTGGCTAGATTTCAGATAATTTTTTTTTTTTTTGAGACTGGGTCTTACTTTGTCACTCAGGTTGGAATGCAGTGGCATAATCTTGGCTCACTGCAGCCTCGACCTCCCAGGCTCAAGCGATCTTCCTGCCTCAGCCCCCCAAGTAGCTGGGATTACAGGTGCTTGCCACCATGCCCAGCTAAGTTTTATATTTTTTGTAGAGATGGGGGTCTGGCCTTGTTGCCCAGGCTGGCCTCGAACTTCTGAGCTCAAGGGATCTGCCCACCTTGGCCTTCCAAAGTGCTGGAATTACAGGTGTGAGCCACCACACCCCACCTCAGACCATTTCTAATCTTGTCCTTTAAATTGTCTATATTTCCCAAATTCTCTGCAATCAGTACGAATTAATTTTTTTTTTTTTTTTTGAGATGGAGTCTCGCTCTGTCACCCAGGGTGGAGTGCAGTGGCACAATCTTGGCTCACTGCAAACTCCGCCTCCCGGGTTGATGCCATTCTCCTGCCTCAGTCTCCCGAGTAGCTGGGACTACAGGTGCCCGCCACCATGCCCAGCTAATTTTTTGTATTTTTAGTAGAGAAGGGGTTTCACTGTGTTAGTCAGCATGGTCTCAATCTCCTGACCTCGTGATCCACCTGCCTCGGCCTCCCAAAGTGCTGGGATTATAGACGTGAGCCACTGTGCCTGGCCATGAATTAATTTTAAAATGTCAGTTTCATGAAATTGGTTGAGACTTTTTTAGTGGCTTCTTATGTGGCCAATTTTAGTAAATGTTCCATACATGCTTGAAAAGAATATATCATTCCTGTTTTGGGATGCAGATTTCTATCTTTATCTCCCTTCTGTGTAAGTCTTTATTTTTATTATTTATTTTTTATTTTTTGAGATAGACTCTCACTCTGTCTCCCAGGCTGGAGTGCAGTGGTGCGATCCCAGCTCACTGCCACCTCCGCCTCCCAGGTTCAAGCGATTCTCCTGCCTTAGCCTCCTGAGTAGTTGGGACTACAGGCAGGTGCCACCACACCTGGCTAATTTTTGCATTTTTAGTAGAGATGGGGTTTCATCGTGTTGGCCAGACTCGTCTCAAACTTCTGACCTCAGGTGATCTGCCTGCCTCGGCCTCCCAAAGTGCTGGGATTACAGGCATGAGCCACCTCACCCAGCCCCAGATGGTTGAAACTTACATACCCTCTTCATAGGGGAGAGGGAGGTGGGGGAAATGTGAGCAATTGTGAAGAGTAGTAAATAATTTTCAGGGGAAATGAATGGGTCCAAAGAGCAGACAATAGTTTTAAAATGATTGGGTGAGTAAACTGAATGGGATTGGTAAGTTATGGAAAGGTGAGGGGTGGAACTACACTGTGATCAAAGGTTGTCTTATTATGCAGGTAAAGTCTCTTAGGTAATCTCTCAGAGCTGCCCTCAGAAGAATAGACGAGAAGTCTGTCTGAGAGTGGTGATGACTTTTATTCTTGTTTCTTCTCTTGTCTCTTCTCTTCTGGTTAATCTTTCCTGGTTATTTGATGAGATTCTTAGGGAGGGGGTCTTAAGACAATTGCATTTTTTTTGGAAAATATCATCTTATTCAGATAAGAAAATTTCTGAGAGACTCTCCCTGTGCTGGAGGGTGGGTTGGGGGGCAATAAGAGAGGGTTAGGAAGTCCTTTGTTCTGAGGCAGCTCCTGAGGCCTTCTAATTTCCTTTAATTCAAAAGTGCTCAGCATGCCAAAGCACCACACTTTGGGGTATTGTTCTCTGCACCTCTCTTTCTTTCTTTCTTTCTTTCTTTCTTTTCTTTCTTTTCTTTCTTTCTTTCTCTTTCTTTTTCTTTCTTTTTTTCTTTCTTCTTTCTTTCTTCCTTTTTCTGTTTCTTTCTTTCTCCCTTCCATCCTTCCTTCCTTCCCTTCCTTCCTTCCCTTCTTTCCTTCCTTCCTTCCTTCTTCCTCCCTCCCTCCCTCCTCCCTCCTCTCTTCCTTCCCTTCCTTCCTTTTCCTTCTCCTTCCTTCCTTCCTTCCTTCCTTCCTTCCTTCCTTCCTTCCTTCCTTCCTTCCTCCATTCCCTCTCTCTCTTTCTCTTTTTGGAGACAAGGTCTTGCTTTGTCATCCAGGCTGGAGTGCAGTAACACAATCTTGGCTCACTGCAGCCTTGACCTCCCAGGCTTAAGCAATCCTCTTGCCTCAGACCCCACAAGTAGCTGGTACTACAAGTGACCAGCTATATATATTTCTTTCTTTTTTTTTTTTTAGATTTTATAGAGGCATGGTCTTGCTTTGTTGCCTGGGCTGGTGGCCTCAAGCTATCCTCCTGTCCTGGCCTCCCAAAATATTGGGATTACAGGCATAAGCCACCATGCTCAGCCACCTATTTTTTCTTATATAACTATATCATAATTTTGTTATATAAATATTCAGTGTTTAGAATATTAAAAACTATACAATTGTTATTCACAGTTGAATCATGTCATATGCCATGATTTCTTCTCCTGCATAATGTTCTGTCTTCCCATCAGTAAATAATTATTTTTTGTTTGTTCGCTTAATTTTCAATGAATGTCTCAGTAATTCAGCCCCCATATTCTTTCCCAATTGCTTAAATGTTTTCTTGGTAAATATAGTTGTTTTCTTAATATCATTTTTTTCATTAAGTCCTTTCTGGAGCCTTCTGACTTACCCTCATCTGGACTGGTTGCCGTCTACACTAGTATAAAGCTTGATCACCCTGGAGATTAGAATCTTTTACTCTCATGCCGGGAATTCTTTTTGCCTCTGAATGTCCTGTTTCCTGGGCCTTCTCTGGTTTTTATTTTTAAGTTTTTATTTATTTATCTTTTGGGGTATCCTGCTTTAGAATAACATTATGCTCAAATATGCCTAGTATCCCCCTAATCAAGAGATCCTTTGTTTTACTTTTTCAAAGAATAAACCTACAATCATATGCTGGTGTAGGGCAGGAACAGTTGCCTGACTGGGCAGTGATTAGAGATCTGGGGGTTTAATTTAAACAGATTTGCAGATAAGTCTGGGCTACACATCCTTATATGTGCTTCCAGAGGTAACACTGTCGCCAGTTCCTGAGCCTTTTGGATATGTCTGTGGTGTAAATCACATTGATTGTCAATATTCCCCAAGTGACTTTCTTTTTGCTTTTCAGCCTCCAACATTTTGTTGCTATTAAAAGATTTTCTGTTCTTTTCATTCTCATGGAATATATATATGCACATACATTTATATATGTATAAATATATATGGATAAATATATGTATATATAGATACTTATATCTGTCTATATAAAATCTACTGTCATTTTTATGAAGTTTCAGGAAGAAACAGAATTAAATGCTTGCTTTTAATATGCTATCTTCAACTGGGAGAGCCAGCTGGTTTCTGAAAACACTCAAAAAATGATGGCTATTCTAACTTTTTTCCCACTCAGTATTTATTTAGATTTACCAGCATTTTTAAAGAATTCTTTGGCATTTTTATATATATCTTTATACTGTTCATTCCTTGTAGGTTTATTTTCTTATTTAGTAGTTCTTTTTGTAAAGGACTGTTGTTAGTAAATTCTTAAGTGCTTGAATATCTATAAATTTTAAATTTTTTCTGACTTGTGAATGACATTTTGCTGGAGTTTAGAAATTTGGGCTCCCAATTATGTTTTTCAGCACATCAAAGATGTTACCTCATTGTTTTCCGCATTTATTTTTGCCAATGAGAAGTCTTTTCTTCTGGGGTTCTTACCATTTCTTTGTTGTAATCTGCCTTCCCTTTATGTTGGCTGTAGAATTTTCTCATTGTCCTTGTGGAATGCTGGCTTCCCAAGTATCATCAGGATAACCTTTTAATATCACAAAGCTGAGTTTATTGTTTATCACAGTAAGTGAGAATGCTAACTTTGCAGATAGCAACTCTCAGAAGGAATTGCAAGATCTGATTTATTGATATTTTGAAGTTTGGTTTAGGATGGGTCTTTCAATGCACAGACTTCATTAGAATTGAGTAATTATCATCGTACAATAGTTTAGAATTTGTAGAAACAGCAAGGTAAGAATTTTGAGAAGAGGAGCTCAAAGAGTCTTGGGATATAAACTGTATACTGATGCTTTTTGGAGTTGCTGGATCTTTTGATAATTTTTTACAGTGAACGAGAAAGTTATTTGCAACTTTCACCTTCTTGGACAAGTCTCTTGGGGTAGCAAAGTTATGCAAATGAAGACAATGGAATGGTAAAGTCCTGTTAAAGCAGACAGCAAACTATGTAGGGGTAGATAGTTTTGTTTTTTATTTTTCTCCTTTTTACCATTTTTCATTCTGAGCTGAAGGATAGACCATTAGTATTTGGGATTTGATCAATCCAGGTCCTTGCTGATTTGAGGCATCACAATTATGTATCAAGTTTATGGGAATGGCTTGTTCAATCTCCAAGATTCCAAAGGTACATGTTTCAACCTCCATTAGCATAAGGTTTTCCTGCTGTTTTTTTGGATGATTATTTGTTGAATTATTAGTTGGGACAGCTATTGCACCTCAGCATTTAAGACTGTGGAGATCACCATCTGAACACTGCAACACAGACAAATGTACTAAACAAAGGATCATATTCAGAGTTTGTCTTCTACTTCTCAACCAGGAGCCAAGTGTGCCCAAAGTAAATCAAGACCACAGATCACATCCCTAGTCTGAGGATCCCACAAAATCAAATTTGGTATTATTAGCCAAATTACCTAATTTTTCTGAAAATATTGACTATTATAGGAAAGATTCCAGAGGTCTGTAGGGCAGTAAGTACAACATTCTTCCCCTAAAAGAATAACTATTTCTTATGAGAGGTCAATATTAAATCTGAGTCATCTTCATTTTGCACCCCTGCCTGTTCAATTTCTCTCTTTTTTTTTTTTTCTTGAGGCAGAGTCTCACTGTGTCACCCAGGATTGGCTCGCTGCATCACCCAGGATCGGCCCACTGCAACCTCCACCTTCCAGGTTCAAACGATTCTTCTGCCTCTGCCTTTTGAGTAGCTGGGATTACAGGCACGAGCCACCATGCCCAGCTAATTTTTGTATTTTTAGTAGAGCCGGGCTTTCACCACGTTGGCCAGGCTGGTCTTGAACTCCCGATCTCAGATGATCTACCAACCTTGGCCACCCAAAGTGCTGGGTTTACAGGTGTGAGCCACCATGCCTGACCTCCAATTTCATGAACTTCTCAGGTGAGTACTCCCATAGCCTTGATGGCATTGTCTAGCTTCCCTGTCACACTCTAGGATTCACCTTACTTTTCAGGACTATTGTGATGCATGAAGTGAAGAGGTTTGGAGAAGAAAGAAAACAATCCAGAATTCTCCTTAAGTGGGTAGGATTTAGGTTAAAAAATAAAGTCAATGTGGACGGGCACAGTCGCTCATGCCTGTAATCCCAGCACTTTGGGAGGCCCAGGTGGGCAGATCACGAGGTCAGGAGTTTGAGGACAGACTGACCAACATGGTGAAACCTCGTCTCTACTAAAAATACAAAAATTAGCCGGACATGGTAGCGCGTGCCTGTAATCCCAGCTACTCAGGAGGCTGAGGCAGGAGAATCGCTTGAACCTGGGAGGTGGAGGTTGGAGCAAACTGAGGTTGTGCCACTGCACTCCTTCCTGGGCAACAGAGCAAGACTCCTTCTCAAAATAAATAAATTAATTAATTAATTAAAGTCAATGCTTAGTCTCTCTTCTACTTGAATTAAATAATCTAATGATCTGTTTTTTTCTAGAGAAGAAATCAAGCCAAAATTGATCCTAGGTGACATTAGTGTCTCTTCTGAAAGCAGGCATTGGTTGATCAAGGTAATATGTTTCTGTCCAGCTTAAAGAAAATGGTTACTAGGTCTTTGTGCCACAAATTCAATATAGTCATTGGAGGCCACTTAATAATCTATTTTTGGCCAAAATACCCTACAAGATTATCTAATGGTTGTAACATTCTGACACTGCTCATCAAGAATAGTTTGGCACCAGACAAAGAAATCTGTAGTATCAGGGTCATTAGATAGTTTTAAAGCAGAGTTTCTCAAACTTGCATTATTGACATTTTAGGCCTGGTCATTTCTTGTTGTGGATGTTCCATAATAAAAACTTTGACTGGCCTTTATCCCTGGTTCTGAGAGGAGATATTCTTGAAATTTCAGAATGATAAGTGTATCTTTGTTATGATAATGGAGCAACTCAGGGTGGGACCCAAGAAAGCTTCAGGATGCAATCTGGTCATTGGAAAGACCAAACACATAGGCAGAGCATTGGGACTTTCAGTTAACACAATCTCTGGAAAGGAGAGAGAGGTTGGAGATTGAGCTTGATCATTTTGCCAATGATTTAATCTATCATGCCTACATAATGTAACCCCAGTAAAAACTCTGGACACTGAAGCTCAGAGAAGCTTCCTGATTGGTGGACACATGGATGCACTATAAGGGAAATGCACTCTATGCTATGGGGGAAGGGCATGGTAGGTCATCACTCCTTCCTGGGTCTTGCCCTATGTGTATCCTTTACAATAAAAGTAATTGTAAGTATACCACTTTCCTGAGTTCTGTGACTCATTCTAGTGAATTCCTGAATTTGAGGAGGTCAGGAAAGCCCCTACATTTATAGACAATCAGAAGTGTAGGAGGCCTGGGGACCCCAGAGACTGACAGCTCCTGTCTGCAGGTAGAGCAGTCTTGTGGAGGACTTTGAATCTAATCTGTGATGTCTTCATTAACTCTGGGTAATTAGTGTCAGAACTCTACAGCAGAACTTCACTTGGAGTTGAGGCTGAGCGAGGGGGCTCTCCTATGAATTGTAGGGTGTTTCTCAGCATCCCTGGCTTGAACCTGGGAGTCGGAGGTTGTGGTGAGCCAAGATCATACCACTGCACTCCAGTCTGCGCGACAGAGTGAGTCTGTCTCAAAACAAAACAAAACAAAACAATATTAAGAATAGGGGTCTGGCTGGGCGTGGTGGCTCATGCCTGTAATCCCAGTACCTTGGGAGGCCAAGGTGGGTGGATCACCTGAGGTCAGCAGTTCAAGACCAGCTTGGCTAACATGGTGAAACTCCGTCTCTACAAAAATACAAAAATTAGCCAGGCATGATGGCGGGTGCCTGTAATCCCAGCTACTCAGGAGGCTGAGGTGGGAGAATCAGTTGAACCTGGGAGGCAGAGGTTGCAGTGAGCCAAGATTACACCACTGCACTCCATCCTGGGCAACAGAGCGAGACTCCATCTCAAAAAAAAAAAAAAAGAATAGGGGTCTAATGAATAAATAGGTGAAAATAGCCTCAAATCAGCAACAGAGAAAAGAAGAGGGGTAGGAAAACAAAAAACAAAAGAATGTAGATTAAAGAGTAGCAATCTGTGGTCTTAGTGCGTGGACCTCAGGTGGGAATGTCTATATCCCCCACAGTCGTCTTGTTGGGTAAACGTTATCTCTTCCCAAAGACTGTATGTTTCTGTAGGTTCCTAAGAATGCTCAGGTTAAGGTCTCTGATAAAGACAATCTTCCAATAACTCGGGGATAGTTTATGTTTCTTCAGTTGAGAGACAGCCTTCTTAGTTCTCTGTTGCTGCTGTACCAAATTCTCATGGGCTTATGGCTTAAAATAACACATATTTATTTTATTACATTTCTAGAGGTCAGAAATCTAAAATCAGTCCATGGAATGCCTTCCTTCTGGAGGTCTTAGGAGGCAATCTGCTTGCTTGCCTTTTCTGGCTTCTGGAGGTCACCTGTATTCCTTGGCTCATGATCCATTCCTTCATTTTAAAGCCAGCCATATGGTATTTTCAAATCCTTCTCTTTTTCTGCTTCTCTCATTGCATTGCTTTTTCTTTATTTGTGAAACTCCTGTTTCCTTCTTATAAGGATGCTTGTAAATACATTGATTTCACCTGGAAAATCCAAAATCATCTTTCTATCTCAAGGTAATTAATCTTAATATAATTAAGCTTAATTATATCTTCATAGTCCCCTTTTTCACAAAAAGTAACAAATTCACAGATTTCTGGATTTAGGATGTAGTCATCTTGGGGGTGGCTCAGGCATGAACTGGAGGATCAACACCTTACAGTTTTGCTGCTGTGCTAGTTGTTAACAGCACGTGATAGGGTCATTTCCACCATGGTTCAAAGGCTGTTTTTTTCTGAAGTCTGTTCCAAAAAACCGGGTCTCCAGATTTTTTTTTTTTTTTTTTTTGAGATGGAGTCTAGCTCTGTCACCCAGGCTGGAATGCAGTGGCAAGATCTCGGCTCACTGCAACCTCCACCTCCCTCCTGGATTCAAGCGATTCTTCTGCCTCAGTCTCCCGAGTAGCTGGGATTACAGATGCCCGCCACCATGCCTGGCTAATTTTTGTATTTTTAGTAGAGATGAGGTTTCTCCATGTTGGCCAGGCTGGTCTCGAACTCCTGACCTCAGGTGATCCTTCTGCCTCAGCCTCCCAAAGTGCTGGAATTACAGGCATGAGCCACCATGCCCAGCCCAGGTCTCCAGATTTTAAGTCATGCAAGGGTTGTTTAGGATAAAGTTGAAGAACAGCTTCTCCTACCTATTGATGATAAAAATGGGTGTATTGTGCTAGTCCCTTAAAACAGTTGACCATGTCTTCTTGGAACAGGGTAATGTCTACATTTAGAGGTAAACTTTCTAGACTCCCGAGCCAGCCTGTTACTAACTCATGGGTGGAGTTGCTAAGCCCCAGAAACAGTCGATCTCATTAACATTAAAGCCAACGGCAATACCTTAGGCCACAGAAGTTTGAGAGTCTTGAAGAATTTTGGTAATTTGAGTTTTAGAATTTCTTTATTTCTTTCTATCTTTCCTGAATATTGGGAGTGATATGGGACAGTGAAGTATCTAAATGTGTCAGGGCTCTGTAAAGCTCTTTAATAACAGTCCCAGTAAAATGAATATCTCTATCACTAGAAAGATAGATTAGAATTCCCCTGGTTGGAAAGATCATATCAAATATTTTTTTCTTTCCTCTTTGCTATTTCTCTCTATCCTGTCTAGCCTTTCTAAAGATTTTGACAATGACTCTCAACTAAAAGCAAGATAAGAGCTTAAAATCAACCATAAGAACTTTTTTGTGTTCAAAGAAAAGTTTAATTTTAAGAGGCAATTGAGTTTTGAGGGTTGCTAGCTAGCTAGGAAAAAGAGGGGAACAGATAAAAGAAAAAGATGGGGCAGAGGGAGGTTTAAATAACATAAGATGCAGGATAAGGAAGAGTAGGATAAAGACTCTTCAGTTTGGAGTTGTGATTTAAGGAGAAAGAACATTTTAAGTTTTCATTTTTTCCTCTTGGCCGGCCAAGAAATCACTTCAGGAAGCTATTTTGGAATTTGAATTTCCTTCCTTCCTTCCTTCCTTCTTCCTTCCTTCCTTCCTTCCCTCCTTCCTTCCTTTCTTTTTTTTGAGATGGAGTACAGTGGTGCAATCTCAGCTCACTGCAATCTCTGCCTTCCGAGTTCAAGCAATTCTCTTGCCTCAGCCTCCCGAGTAGTTGGGATTACAGGCAGGCGCCACCATGCAAGCTAATTTTTGTATTTTTAGTAGAGACGGGGTTTCGCCATGTTGGCCAGGATGGTCTCGAACTCTTGACCATAGGTGATCCGCCTGCCTCCACTGCACTCCAGCCTGGACGCCAGAGTGATACTCCATCTCGAAAAAAAAAAAAAAAAAGGAAGTGAAAAACAGAATGGTTGTATAGGTACTCAAAATATAGTTTCTACTGAATGTGTATTGCTTTCACACCATTGTAAAATTGAAAAATCCTACGTTGAACCATTGTAAGTTGGTGACTGTATATATACACATATATTTATATGTATATAAATCACATATATTTATGTGATTTACATGTATTTATGTAAATATGTGTGATTTATTTCTAATTTTCTTCTGTTATAAGAGACACATGCACATAAATACACACTTATTTTTGAAACTAACTTGCAGATGCAAAAATACTTTCTTCCTTTTCTTTTCTTTTTTTTTTTTTTTTCTAAAGATGGGGTCTTGAGAGATGCCCAGGCTGGCCTTAAACTCCTGGGCTCAAGTGATCCTCCTGCCTCAACGTTCTGAGCACACAGGATTATAAAATCAGCCACCGTGCCTGGCCACATTAATTCTTTTTTAAATGTCATGATCACTAATTCGAACAGTTTTTTTTTTTTTTGAGACAGGGTCTCACTCTGTCCCCCAAGCTGGAGTGCAGTGGTGCAACCATATAGTTCACTGCAAACTCAAACTCCTGGTTTTAAGCACTCCTCTTGCCTCAGTCTCCTGAGTAGCTGGGACTACAGGCACGTGTCATAGCGCCCAGCCCAAAATACTTTCATCTCAAATACCCTATTATGTATCTCCTAAAAAAACACATTCTCATATATAACCACTATGCCATTATGACCCCTAAGGAAATTGATAATAATTCCTTAATCTTTTTTAATATGCAGTCCTTTTTTTTTTTTTTTTTTTTTTTTTTTTTTTTTTTTTGAGACAGAGTCTTGCTCTGTCGCCTAGGCTGGAGTGCAGTGGCATGATCTCAGCTCACTGCAACCTCTGCCTTCTGGTTCAAGTGATTCTCCTGCCTCAGCCTCCTAAGTAGCTGGAATTACAGGCATGTGCCACCATGACCAGCTAATTTTTTGTATTTTTAGTAGAGATGAGGTTTCACCATGTTGGCCAGGGGCCAGGCTGGTCTCAAACTTCTGTCCTCAGGTGATCTGCCTGCCTTGGTCTCCCAAAGTGCAGGGATTACAGGCATGAGCCACTGTGCCCAGCCCTTTTGAATTTAGAATATAACCTCTCTACCATGTTCCTCTTCCATTACATTGACTTATTAGATGTAAGTGGCCAGTTGTCTTAAAGGATGTCCCATACACTTGTCTTGTTTGTTTCATCATAGTGTCATTTACATTTTTTCTCTACTCTTGTGTTTTCTGTACACTGAGTTGTGTCAAAACTGAATTCTTTGTCAGGTCATTTGTGGATTTCCATTTCTTGTTACTGGTGCTTTAGTTTGAAACTTTGGTGGTGTCACGTTTCCCTGATTATTTGAGTTTCTATGGCCATGTGTTGGTGTCTGCGCATTTGAAGAAACATGCATCTATTCTGATCTTTTCATTTTTTTGAGACAGAGCCTCGCTCTGTTACCCATGCTAGAGTATAGTGGTGTGATCTTGGCTCACTGCAACCTCCACTTCTCCAATTCTCATGCCTCAGTCTCCCAGGTGGCTGGAATTACAGGCATGCACCACCATGCCTGACTAATTTTTGTATTTCTAGTAGAGATTGGGTTTTGCCATTTGGCCAGGCTGGCCTCAAACTTCTGGCCTCAAGTGATCCACCTGCCTTGGCCTTCCAAAGTGTTGGAATTACAGGCATGAGCCACCGCGCCCACCCACTTATTTTAATCTTTACAGGCTGACTTTGTTAGGAAAAGCCATTTGCCAGTCAGCCTGTCCAGAGTTTCTTGGTGGGCCATCATGGCAGGCTTACTGCTGGAGGCCTAAGGCAGACTGGCCTGGTATTTGGGTCCACAGGGCCTGGGCATCATGCCTGGGTCTGTGGGGTTGGGCCTGGAGCCTGGGTCCGCTGTGTCAACTGATTCTCTGAGGTTGGGCCTGAAGCCTAGATCTGCAAGGACAGGCCTGGATCCTGGATCCATGGGTGCTGACCTGAAGCCTTCTGTGAGTCCACAGAAGCTGACTTGGCACCAAAGTGGGCCTTGAGCCTTAGTCTGTGAGGGCTGGCCTGGCACTGGGATAGGCTTGATGTCCAAGTCCATAAGAATGTTTCTGGAGTCTGAGCCTGTGGGGGCACACCTAGGTCTTGGGTCCATGGAGGCCAGCCTAAAGCCTGGGTCTGCAGGGTCTAGTGTAGAGCCCAGGTTTGCAGGTGCTGGCCTGGTGCCTGGGTTTGCAGGGGCTGGCCAGGAGGCTGGATCTGCAGTGGTCAGCCTGGAGTCTGAGGCCACGGGGCTGTGCTGAGGTGGGCCTGGAGGCTGGGTCTACAGGAGCAGGCTTGTGTCCTGGAGCCACAGGGGCTGGCCTTGAGCTTGGGTCTCAAATCCCCATTTATTAGAGCCTGTTATGTAATATGGCATTAGCTTAGGCATTGCATTTTGCATGTAGTAGACTTTGAGTGATGTTTTATGGCTTACCCACTCCAGTCTTCTTTATTCATAATGCAAATTGCAAGGATTAGAAAAATTCCTGGTCACTGAAAAAGAGCTTAAATAATTTGTAATTTGGCCACAGAAGAAAATATTTGAGGGAAATTTAGAGATTGAATTAAGAATTTTAAAAAAGTTTAAAAATTTTTTAAGCCCAGGAATTCTGGGCTAGCCTGGGAAACAGAGTGAGACCCTGGCTCTCAAAAAACGAAAAACAATTAGCTAGGCATGGTAGATGGTGGTGCGTGCCTGTAGTCCCAGCTACTCAACTACTAAAAGTCTACTACATGCAAAATACAATGCCTAAGCTACAGGCAGTGGCTCACGCCTGTAATCCCAGCACTTTGGGAGGCTGAGGCGGGCGGATCAGAAGGTCAGGAGATCAAGACCATCCTGGCCAACATGGTGAAACCTTGTCTCTACTAAAAATAAAAAAATTAACTGGGCATGGTGGCACACACCTGTAGTCCCAGCTACTCGGGAGGCCAAGGCAGGAGAATCGCTTGAACCCGGGAGGTGGAGGTTGCAGTGAATCGAGATCGAGACACTGCACTCCAGCCTAGTGACAGAGAGAAACTCCGTCTCAAAAAAAAAAAAGTTTATGATAGTGGCCTTTATCTTTGATGAGGTCAGATATACTTCCTTATTAAAGTGTAACAGTAGACAAAAAAAAGACTTCAAGCAGTGTTGTGTCTGTTACAAAATGGTCCTAGCTCATTCTCTCTCTCTCTCTCACTCACTCTCTTTCTATATATATATTTTGAGACAGAGTTTTGCTCTTGTCACCCAGGCTGGAGTGCAATGTCATGGCATGGTCTCAGCTCACTGCAACCTCCACCGCCCCGGTTAAAGCAATTCTCCTGCTTAGCCTCCGGAGTGGCTGGGATTACAGGCGTGCACCGCCACACCCAGCTAATTTTGTGTTTTTAGTAGAGATGGAGTTTCACCATGTTGGCCAGGCTGGTCTTGAACTCCTGACCTCAGGTGATCCACCTGCCTTGGCCTCCCAAAGTGCTGGGATTACAGGAGCGAGTCACCGTGCCTGGCCTATATTTTTAATTAATAGATAAATGGTATAGCTTCAAGCCATGATTGATTTTCCTCAGTCTGTAGTAGTTTCACTTCTGTCATACATCTGGTTGATGGTCTCAGTGATATCATTAGGGCTTCTCCATATTTATGATTCCACATTCAAAATAGGTCACGAAAGTTAAATTAGCGAAATTTTAATTATTCATGGGAGAGGAAAAGTTTGGGATTAAATGTACAGCAGATTAAAGATCTTTATAATGGCCACATTCTTTACCAGGGATCTTGAGAAATTGTATCTCATGAACTCGTTGGGATACTTCTAGCTAGAGATAGTAAAAGGTTGGTGAAATGTATATGGAAGTTCCTTGTACTGTTTTTGCAGTTTTTCTGCAAATTTGAAATTATTTCATCATAAAACGTTAAAAATAAAGACTCTGCTGGGTGCAGTGGCTCACGCCTGTAATCCCAGCACTTTGGGAGGCTGAGGTGGGTGATCACCTGAGGCCAGGGGTTCGAGACCAGCCTGGCCATCACAGTGAAATCCCATCTCTACTAAAAATACAAAAAATTAGCTGGCATGGTGGTGGGTGCCTGTAATCCCATCTATTAGGGAGGCTGAGGCAGGAGAATCGCTTGAACCCTGGAGGTGGAGGTTGCAGTGAGCCAAGATCGTGCCATCACACTCCAGCCTGGGTGACAACAGCGAAACTTTGTCTCAAAAAATAAATAAATGAATAAATAAATAAATAAATAAAGACTCTAGGTTGGGTGTGGTGACTCATGCCTGTAATCCTAGCACTTTGGGAGGCAGAGGCAGGAGGATCACTTGAGCTCAGAAGTTTGAGGTCAGCCTGGGCAACAAAGTGAGACCCCCATCTCTACAAAAATAAAAATTAGCTGGGCATTGTGGTGCATGCCTGTGGTCCTAGCTACTCAGGAGGCTGAGTTGAGAGGATTGCTTGAGTCTGGGAGGTTGAGGCTACAGTGAGCTGTGATTGTGCCACCGCACTCCAGCCGGATGACAGAGGGAGACCCCATCTTAAAAAAAAAAAAAAAAGACTCTGGTTCCCAAAATAAATGAAATAGATACATTGAGTATATTGTATATACTGTATATTTCTATTTGGGTACCACACATGTATTATTACTAATATATTTTATTTATATGTCCTTATCAGAACATAGTTACCTTTTTCTGGCTGGGCACGGTGGCTCACGCCTGCAATCCCAGCACTTTGGGAGGCCGAGGTGGGTGGATCACTTGAGGTCAGGAGTTTGAGTCCAGCCTGGCCAACATGGTGAAACCCCATCTCTACTAAAAATACAAAAATTAGCTGGGCGTGGTGGCGGAGTCTGTAATCCCACTACTTAGGAGGCTGAGGGAGGAAAATCAGTCACTTGAACCTGAGAGGCAGAAGTTGCAGTGAGCCGAGATTGTGCCACTGCACTCCAGCCTGGGCGACAAGAATGAGACTGCATCTCAAAACACACACACGCATGCACACACACACACATGAACATAGTTACATTTTTCTAGATGTAATTCCAAAGCTATTGGTTTATCCTTCTGAGTCTATAGGAGATTAGGGCTAGGTGCAATGGCTCATGCCTGTAATCCCAGCATATTGGAAGGCGGAGGCTGGAGGACACCTTGAGGCCAGGAATTCGATACCAGCCCAGGCAATTTAGGGAGACCCTGCCTTTACACACACACACACACACACACACACACACAAAAGTCGTGGCGCGTGCCTGTAGGTTCAGCTCTTTGGTAGGCTGAGGTTGGAGGATTGCTTAGGTTGCAGTGAGCCATGATTGTGCCACTGCACTTCAACCTAGCGACAAAGCAAGACCCTGTCTCAAGAAAAAAAAAAAAAAAAAACTGTAGGAGATTAAAGGAAGCAAATCAGAAATCTGGAGAGGTAGTATTTAGCAATCTATTAGAAATGGAAGTTGCAGGAAAAGGGAGAGATCTAAGAACTAAAAAAAGGTAGAAATAATTATAAATCCTTCAATACCTCCTGGAGCATTGCTGTTTTACAGCTTTGCAAAATAATGGAATGAATGAGTTAATACTGATTAATGAATTTATATATGTAAAGCAATTAGAACAGTGTCTGTCATATGGTAAGCACAAAATAAATATTAGCTCTTATTTGTTTATTATATTTTTGTGTTGTCACCCAAAGGGTAAATTCAGCTCCTTTATTTCTAAGAAGGCAAGAAACTGTGTAATATGTTGTGCTGGATGAACTGTTGAAGGAGATAATGAAACCGCAATGCCTCCCATGTACCCATGAGAAACATAGACCCACTGTTCCCCACTTTCCACCTCCCTGCCCCCAGTCTGAGTTGCGATTGCTTATGGAGTGTGTTCTGCTAGGGAACTTGTCCCAGTGGCTAGAATATTTTCTTTTCTTTTTTATTTATGTGTTTAATTTCATTTATTTAAATTTTTTTTTTTTTTTTTTTTTTTTTTAGAGACGGGGTCTTTCTCTGTCACCCAGGTTGAAGTGTAGTGGAGCAGTAGCTCACTGCAGCCTCAAATTCCTGGGCTCAAGCGTCCTCCTGCCCCAGCCTCCTGAGTAGCTGGGACTACAGGCATGCACCATCATCTACCATGCCCAGCTAATTGTTTTTTGTTTGTTTTTTTTTTGAGAGTCAGGGTCTCGCTCTGTTTCCCAGGTTGGCCCAGAACTCCTGGGCTTAAGCGATCTTTGTGCCTTGGCCTCCCAAAGTGTTGGGTTTACAGGTGCAAGCCACCACGCCCAGCTCCAGTAGCTAGAATAGCCATGTGGATAAAGGTGGGCATTGTGGCTCACCGTAGAAGGCAGTCATGTAAATAGACGATTCCAAATGGTTTCACAGCAACAGAGGCAGACAGAGGTGAGAAAAAGGGATAATGGAAGGAGTGGAAATGGATGGTGGAGAAGCACGTCCTTAGCTATGTAGAAGTCTCAGCTATCCACAGTGAATCATTTCCTTAAAGTTCAGCTGGCATCTAGAACTTTAATAATGGAATGAAATGTTTTGTAGCTGGAAAGGGAATTTCAGAGCATAGGAAAGCAGAAGTCGAGAAAGTAACACAGTGTTTGAACATTGGTTCCAGGCCTTTTTCGCTGCCTGTGACAAATCACTTAATCTCACTGGGCCTTAATTCCTCTCCTATAAATGGAGAATTAATATTCCACCAGGCCCTGTTGATGTCTCGGGGCTGTTATGAGACTTATGGATCACACACACGCACACACAGGCATGCACACATCCTAAAGTGCTATGCAAATTGAGGGGTTATGGCTGGGTGTGGTGGCACATGCCTGTAGTCCCAGCACTTAGGGAAGGAAGCCCAGGTGGATGGATCACCTGAAGTCAGGAGTTTGAGACCAGCCTTGCCAACATGGTAAAACGCTGTCTGTACTACAAATACAAAAATTAGCGAGGCGTGGTGGCACACACCTATAATCCCAGCTACTTGGGAGGCTGAAGTAGGAGAATCACTTGAACTTGGGAGGGGGAGGTTGCAGTGAACCGAGATTGCACCACTGCACTCCAGCCTGCGAGACAGAGCAAGACCCTGTCTCAAAAAACAAACAAACAAACAAACCAAATTGAAGTGGTTTAGCTAATTTAAGGACATATTTTGAAGGTGAGTGGTGGGGTTCAGTAAGCCTGTCCCAGGCTCCTCCAAAATTACCCCTCAATGGCAGTAAAGCATATTTATTAAGAGCATGTGCTTTGGAGTCAGATACCTGAGTGTGAATACTGGCTCTCTGCCTGAGTGTCTCTAAATCTCAATTTGTTCATTTAGACTGTGATATGACTTCTTGTGATGATTAAATTAAATAAAATATGTAAATCCTTTATTGTTACCAGAAAGGGGTCTGGATCTAGACCCCAACAGAGGGTTCTTGGATCTCGCACAAGAAAGAATTCGGGGCAAGTCCGTAGAGTAAATGAAAGCAAGTTTATTAAGAAGGTAAAGGAACGAAAGAATGGCTACTCCATAGGCAGAGTGGCAGCTTGGACTGGTGGGCTAAGAATACTTACAGTTATTTCTTGATTATATGCTAAACAGGGGGTGGATAATTCATGAGTTTTCTGGGAAAGGCGTGGGCAATACCCGGAACTGAGGGTTTCTCCCTCTTTTAGACCATATAGAGTATATAGGGTCTAAACATCTAACTTCCTGACGTTGCCATGGCATCTGTAAACTGTCATGGCGCTGGTGGGAGTGTCTTTTAGCATGCTAATGTACTATAATTAGCATATGAGCAGTGAGGACGACCAGAGGTCACTCCTGTCATCATCTTGGTTGTGGTGGGTTTTTGCCAGCTTCTTTACTACAACCTGTTTTATCAGCAAGGTCTTTGTGACCTGTATTTTGTGCTGACCTCCTATCTCATCCTGTGACTAAGAATGCCTTAACATCCTGGGAACACAGCCCAGTAGGTCTTAGCCTTATTTTTACCTAGCTCCTATTCAAGATGGAGTTGCTTTGGTTCAAACACCTCTGGCATTACCACAGTACCTGGTTCATGATAAGCACTCAACAAATGACTATTTTGATTACCCCACTGTGTGTAAGCATATACTAACATTGTCCTCATGAAAACTTTATTTGTTCATTCACTCCTTTATTTTTTGTGTGTGATGTGTATCATGTCTTGAGTCTCCTTTCATTTAAGTTGACATAAAGGAAATGAGGCAAGTATTAGGAATAATTTGAAGAGGTCATCTATGGTGACCACATTTTCTGAACTAAGAATCTGAACATATTATCTGACAAAGGCATGAGTGTATGGAAGAAGATAATGGGACAGGATCTTTGAAATTGGGTTGACTTAGAAAATCTGGGACCTGTTGGAGGGGTAAATGAACAGGAAGAAAGAAAGCAGGGAAGGCCGGGAGCTGTGGCTTATGCCTGTAATCCCAGCACTTTGGGTGGCCGAGGTGGGCGGATCACCTGGGGTCAGGAGTTCTAGACCAGCCTGGCCAACATGGTGAAACCCTGTCTCTACCAAAAAATACGAAAATTAGCTGGGTGTGGTGGCAGGCACCTATAATCCCAGCTATTTGGGAGGCTGAGGCAGGAAAATCGCTTGAACCTGGGAGGCAGAGGTTGCAGTGAGCTGAGGCTGTGCCATTGAACTCCAGAGTGTGGGCAACAAGAGCTAAACTCCGTCTCTGCTTCAAAAAAATAAGAAAGGCCCGTAATCCCAGCACTTTGGGAGGCCGAGGCGGGCAGATCACCTGAGGTCAGGAGTATGAGACCAGCCTGGCCAACATGGTGAAACCCCATCTCTGCTAAAAATACAAAAATTAGCTGGGCGTCGGCCACCACCCCGTCTGGGAAGTGAGGAGTGCCTCTGCCCTGCCACTGTGCAACCCTCCAAGTGTGAAGTGACAGCCTTGTGTGTGATCTTTCTGCCTTCCCCAAGTTTGCATTTTCGACATTAAAGTATACTTTTTAATTAAAAAAAAAATTAGCTGGACGTGGTGGCGCATGCCTATAATCCCAGCCAGTCGGGAGGCTGAGGCAGGAGAATTGCTTGAACCCGGGAGGCAGAGGTTGCAGTGAGCTGAGATTGCGCCATTGCACGCCGGCTTGGGCGACAGAGCGAGACTCTGTCTCAAAAAAAAAAAAAAAAAAAAGCAGGAACGAAAAAGGGCTGGGGGAAAGAAAAAGAGAGGAGGAATTCACATCTCAGCCACTGGAGGCTGCTCTGGTTTTTCTTATTAAGTGGCTCTGTATCGCAAACAGTTTACTAGCCAGGAAATCTCACACACAACACTAGAGATCCCAAATATGAGGGAAATGTGATCACCAAAAGAGGAAACCGTAGAGTCAGAGCTATTAGTCGCTGGTAGAAGGATGGATGGATGGATCATGAAGAAGGGATCTCCTTTGAGGACTAAACTGTTATTTCTGAAAGTCTGGTGAGGAAGTAGGTGGGCTAAACCACAGGACATCTGAACTTTATAGAACTCAGATTTCCTCCTAATTAGAGAGCATAACAGGTAGGTAAATACCTCTGGGGAAGAAGTGTCAAATTCACATGGAGGTGCAAATGACTAACATCAGGCCCTTTCCTGAAAGTGAAATTTTATGGGACAGAGGAAGGAAATAAATGTTTCCTCCTATTTCCTTTTTTATTTTTGCATCTTCCATGAGATCTGAAAACATTTCTTTCTAAAAGCGTTTCTAATTATTAACCTTTCTATTATGGAAACAATTAACAAAAGAAAGAAATAATATGTATTACTCTTATTCCCACAAGGCAAAGATAACTTCTGCTGACTTGGTGAATTTATTTTCAGTTTTAAGGTTTGACACTGGAAGTATAGAATAAATTTATAAGACAAAACATTTGGAAACCGTATTAATTTTTAAACTCTAGTATATTAAATATTCATTGTTTTGAATTTAGCAAATGCATAAAAACACAACAAGACAATTTAAAAAAATCATCCCAAATCCCAGCACTTAGAGATAGACATAATTATATTTTGCTGTTTTGCTTTCCATTTGTCCCTGTGCATACACAGATGCACACATATTTTTATGAAAATTAGAATCATAGTGTATATAACTATTTTGTAACTTGCCTTTTTTTCTGCTAAGGAGTATTTCATGACTATTGCTCCATTTACTAAATTTTTTTAATACAAACTGTTTTAAACAGTTGCATATTATTTTGTTGTGTGAATGTATTATCATGTAACCAATTAGAAAGGGACATTTAAAAAATTGCAAGGAAAGAAGTTATTTTCTAATACCCTTAAGCAATTTGAAAATAACCATTTAAATCCAAACAATTATAAAATTCTTATTTGTCTACAAGAGAAGATTCAATAAAGCAACTGAAGTAGGAGACAATAAAAATAAAAATAAAACAAAGCAAAATAAAAAATAATAAGAAAAGAAAAGAAAGCAAAACAAAAACACAGCACAATCTTATAATTTTTCAGCTTTAGTCTATAATTTAGTTTTCTGTTAACTCAAATGAATCTTCCTAGTAAGACTAAACCAGAGGGGCTTCCATGTTAGCATTTATCCTACAAGGACTCTTTCACTCGCGTCCGTGTGAAGAGACCACCCTTTGTGTCAGCTTCGTGTCAGCAACAAGGCTGTTTATTTCACCTGGGTGCAGGCGGGCTGAGTCCGAAAAGAGAGTCAGCGAAGGGAGATAGGGGTGGGGCCGTTTTATAGGATTTGGGTAGGTAAAGGAAAATTACAGTCAAAGGGGGTTGTTCTCTGGCGGGCAGGGGTCAGGGGTCACGAGGTGCTCAGTGGGGGAGCTTTCTGAGCCAGGATGAGCCAGGAGAAGGAATTTCACAAGGTAATGTCATCAGTTAAGGCAAGGACCGGCCATTTTCACTTCTTTTGTGGTGGAATGTCATCAGTTAAGGCAGGAACAGGCCATTTAAATTTCACTTCTTTTGTGATTCTTCAGTTACTTCAGGCCATCTGGATGTATATGTGCAGGTCACAGGGGATATGATGGCTTAGCTTGGGCTCAGAGGCCTGACAGACTCCAACTCAATCTGCTCCAAACCCAAACTGGTTTCATTTTGCTCCCCTATCTCATTAGGAATGTTTCTCCCTTTCCTTCAGTTGCCTTATTCTAAAACCTCAACTCGGGCTCCCTTGGTTCCTTCCTCACCCCCACCCGATCCAGTGTATTGAACCAAGTTACTAATGTATCAATTCCTTACCTTCCAGTCTTTCAAACCACCCCTCTCCTTCACCATCACTGTCACTCCTTGGGTGTTCCCTCCTCATTTCCTTATTTTTATTATGTTTATTAAGATGGAGTCTCGCTCTGTCACCCAGGCTGGAGGGCAGTGGCACGATCTCAGCTCACTGCAACCTCCGCCTCCCGGTTTCAAGCGATTCTCCTGCCTCAGCATCCTGAGTAGCTGGGATTACAGGCGCGCCGCACCATGCCTGGCTAAATTTTGTATATTTAGTAGAGATGAGGTTTTGCCATGTTTGCCAGGCTGGTCTCAAACTCCTGACCTCAGGTGATCCACCCACCTAGGTCTCCCAAAGTGCTAGTATTACAGACATGAGCCACCATGCCAGGCCTTCCATTTTGTTTTTAAATTTTTAAATTTTTTTATTTTTTGTAGAGATGGGATCTCACTATATTGCCCAGGCTGGTCTTGAACTCCTGGGCTCAAGCAGACCTCCCTCTTTGGCCTCCTAAAGTGCTGGGATTACAGGTGTAAGCCATTACACCCAGCTTCCAGTATTTTGAATTTACTCTAGGCCAGGTGTGGTGGTTTGCGTTTGTAATCCAGCACTTTGGGAGGGCAAGGCAGGTGGATCATGAGCTCAGGAGTTTGAGACCAGCCTGGGAAACATGGTGAAACCCTGTGTCTACCAAAGATACAAAAATTAGCCGGGCGTGGTGGCGCATGCCTGTGGTTCCAGCTACTCAGGTGGCTGAGGTGACAGGATTGCTGGAACCTGGAAGTCGAGGTGGCAATGAGTCATGATGGTACCACCGCACACCAGCCTGGGTGACAGAGTGAGACCCTATCTCAAAAATAAATAAATAAATAAATAAATAAATTTACTGCAAATATATTTTCTACATTACTGGGTAGTGACCTTTTATTTTTAACTAATTTTTTTGAGGCAGGGTCTTGCTCTGTTGCCCAGCCTGGAGTGCAGTGGTACAATCATAGCTCACTGCAGCCTCAAGCTCCTGGGCTCAAGTGATCATCCTGCCTTGGCCTCCTGAGTAGCTGGGACTACAGGTGTGCACCACCTGGCCAAGCTAATTTTTAAAAATTATTTTTTATACAGCTACTCAGGAGGCTGAGGCAGGAGGATCGCTTGAATTTGGGAGGCGGAGGTTACAGTGAGCCAAGATCATGCCACTGCACTCCAGCCTGGGCAACAGAGCGAGACTCCATCTAAAAAAAAAAAAAATATTTTTTGTAAAGACAGGAGTCTTGCTATATTGCCCAGGTTGGTCTTGAACTCCTGGCCTCAAGTGATCCTTCTGCCTCAGCCTCCCAAAGTGCTGGGATTATAGGTATGAGCCATTGTACCCAGCCAGAGTTAATCTTTTTTTGTTTTGTTTTGTTTTTTACCTGTCACCCAGGATGGAGAGCAGTGGCATGATCTCGGCTCACTGCAACCTCCTGCGTTGAAGTGATTCTCCTGCCTCAGCCTCCCAAGTAGCTGGGACTACAGGTGCCCACCACCATGCCCAGCTAATATTTTTTGTATTTGTAGTAGAGACAGGGTTTCACCATGTTGGTTAGGCTGGTCTTGAACTCCTGACCTCAGGCAATCTGCTGTCCTCGGCCTCCCAAAGTGCTGGGATTACAGGCGTCAACCACTGCACCTTACCTAGTAGTCACCTTCTAAGTGCAAATTTTTCCTGGGCGCGGTGGTTCACTCCTGTAATTTAGTGCTTTGGGAGGCTGAGGAGGGCAGATCACCTGAGGTCAGGTGTGAGGGTGTGTGCCTGTAATCCCAGCAACTCAAAAGGCTGAAGCAGGAGAATTGCTTGAACTGGGGAGGCAGAGGTTGTAGTGAGCCGGGTTGAACCACTGCACTCCAGCCTGGGTGACAGAATGAGACTCTCTCTCAATTAAAAAAAAAAAAAGAAAAATTTAAAAAAGCAAACTTGCTTTTGTCCCAGCTGCTTAAAGTAGTTTGATGGCTCCCAGCTGACTGTAGAGAAATTCCAGATTCTTTAGTGTGGGGCCCCTGTCTAGCCTCATTTCTGGCTATTTCCCACCTTGAATTCTATTGCACACCAGTCCTAAGAAACAATGTAAAAATTCAAAATATTCCATGTTTTTTTTCATCTTCATGTCTTTGAATGGGCCTAGGATCAATTAGCCTGTTCTTCTCTTCCATTTTGCTTGGCTAAATCTGCTCATCATTTAGAGCTTATCTCCAAGGTTATCTCACAAGTTGTATGTGTCTCTCCTTCTCACTCTCCAATCTAGGTAGTTATCTCTTTTATGCACTGGATAGCCCCCGAAGCATAATTCTATTATAGTGCTTATCATACTGCATCATAATACCTGTTTTTCTCATACTAAACAGTGAGCCATCTGAGCTAGGGGCACTGGTTTTTAGCTCTATGTTCCATTTTTTTTTCTGCTTAGTACTTGGGACATTGATGGTGCTCTGTAAATATTTTACTCAATAGTTAATGATTGACACTTTGGAGTGAAGAAGGGCTCAAACCATTCATCAACAGGTATTAGAGTCAAGAAAGTAATTAATTTCTGATGTGTGGGAATTTATCAGGACCTGGGATATAGCTTAGGGCACTTCACTGAGAGAGGTAAAATGCCCCTTATAAGTAAGGAAGGAGTTTGTGTTTGTGAATCTATTCTTTGTTAAGTGCATGGGTGCAGTGATTTAAAAACATGTTTATATGGGGATGGTGGCGCATATTTGTAGTCCCAGCTACACGGGATGATTGTGAATTTGAGCTGAGCCCAGTTTGGGCAAAATAGAGAGACTGTAGTCTCAAAAAACAAAACCAAACCAAAGAAAACTTATAAAAAACATGTTCACAAATACTTTGATAGTTCTTTTAAAAAGTAAAGCCCAATACTGTTTTTGAATGTGGGTTGTACTTCCTGACTTTTAATGAATAAGATGTTGTGGAAATGATGATATGTGACTTCTGAAACTAGGTCATAAAAGATAATGAGATTTCCTCCTTGTTCTCTCTCTTGGATAACAGGCTATAGGGCTATAGGGAAATGTGATACTCAAGCAACCCAATGAATATACCCAAATGGCAAGGAACTGAGGCCTCCTGCCAAAAGCCAGCAAGACACTGAAGTCTTTTCATAACAGCCAGGTGAATGAGTTGTTTAAGAAGTGGTTCTTGGCTGGATGTGGTGGCTCACGCCTGTAATCCCAGCACTCTGGGAGGCCGAGGTGGGTAGATCACCTGAGGTCGGGAGTTCGAGACCAGCCTGACCAACATGGAGAAACCCCGTCTCTACTAAAAATACAAAATTAGCCAGGTGTGGTGGCACATGCCTGTAATCCCAGCTACTCAGGAGGCTGAGGCAGGAGAATCACTTGAACCCAGGAGGCGGAGGTTGTGGTGAGCCGAGATCGCACCATTGCACTCCAGCCTGGGCAATGTGAGTGAAACTCTGTCTCAAAAAAAAAAAAAAAAAAAAAAAAGAAGTGGTTCCTGGCCAGCCAGGTGCAGTAGCTTGTAGCTGAAATCCCGGCACTGTGGGAGGTTGAGGTGGGAGGATCACTTGAGGCCAGGAATTCAAGACCAGGTTGGGCAACATAGCAAGATTCTGTCTCTACAAAAGATTTAAAAATTAGCTGGTGTGGTGGTGTGCACCTGTAGTCCTGGGTATTCCAGAGGCTAAGGCAGGAGGATTGGTTGAGCCTGGGAGTTTGAGGCTGCAGTGAGCTGTGATTGCACCACCCTGCACTTCAGCCTCGGCAACAGAGCAAGACCCTATCTCAAAAAACAAACAAAAAAACCAAGAATAGTGGATACTCCATCTCCAGTTAAATTTTCAGATGACTGCAGCCTCAGCCAATGTCCTGACTGCAACCTCAGAAAAGACCCTGCCCCAAACTATCCAGCTAAGTCGTTTTTAAATTCCTGATCCACAGAAACTGTGATAATAAAAATTTGTTAAGCTTTTAATTTTGGAGTAGTTTCTTACACAGCAATAGATAACCCACTCAATGGGCAAGGCCAAGATGGCTCTGAGCTCCTTATGTTGAAGCATGGCTGCTTTCTAGCAGGCACCACTGAGAACTTTCAAAGCCTGATGATACTTCTGTTCTTTGTGAAAATATTCTCATCTTGAAATATAACTGTGGCTTTTATAGGTACCCCCAGAGCCCTAAAGAGCTCCAGACACAGCATAATTAGGTGGGCAGCTCAACCAGTTCACTGAATTGGCTGTTTTTCTATATCAGCGAAAAGAGAAGTATCTTAGTTCATTTTGTGCTGCTGTAACAGAATCCCACAAACTGGGTAATTTATAAAACACAGCAATTTATTTCTCACTGGAAGCTGAGAAGTTCAAGATTGAGATGCCTGGCCAGGTGCAGTAGCTCACACCTGTAATCTCAGCACTTTGGGAGGCCGAGGCAGATGGATCACCTGAGGTCAGGAGTTCGGGACCAGCCTGGCCAATATGGTGAAATCTCATCTCTACTAAAAATACAAAAATTAGCCAGGCATGGTGGTGTGCATCTGTAATTCCAGCTACTCAGGAGGCTGAGGCAGGAGAATTGCTTGAACCTGGGAGGCAGAGGTTGTAGTAAGCCAAGATCATGCCACTGCATTCCAGCCTAGGTGACAGAGTGAGACTCGTCTCAAAAAAAAAAAAAAAAAAAAAAATAGATTGAGATGCCAGCATCTGGTGGGAGCCTTCTTGCTGTGTCCTAATGAGAGGTGACAGCCTGCTGGCAGCCCTCACAGCCCTTGCTCCCTCTTGGTGCCTCCTCAGCCTCGGCGCCCATTCTGGCCATGTTTGAGGAGCCCTTCAGCCCACCGCTGCACTGTGGGAGCCCCTTTCTGGGCTGGCCAAGGCCAGAGCCAGCTCCCTCAGCTTGCAGGGAGGTGTGGAGGGAGAGGCATGGGCAGGAACTGGGGCTGCACACGGTGCTTGTGGGCCAGCTAGAGTTCTGGGTGGGCGTGGGCTTGGCAGCCCCGCACTCGGAGCAGCCGACCAGCCCCGCTGGCCGCGGGCTCTAACGGGCTTAGCACCCAGGCCAGCAGCTGCGGAGGGTGTGCCGGGTCTTCCACCTGTGCTGGCCCACCGGTGCTGCACTCAATTTCTCCCTGGGCCTTAGCTGCCTCCCTGTGGGGCAGGGATCGGGATCTGCAGCCTGCCATGCCTGAGCCTCCCCCCATACCCACCGTGGGCTCCTGCGTGGCCGGCGCCTCCTTGATGAGCCCCGCTCCTTGCTCCACGCCGCCCAGTCCCATCGACCACCCAAGGGCTGAGGAGTGCGGGCGCACTGCCCAGGACTGGCAGGCAGCTCCACCTGCGGCCCCGGTGCAGGATTCACTGGGTGAAGCCAGCTGGGCTCCTGAGTCTGGTGGGGACTTGGGGAATCTTTATGTCTAGCTAACGGATTGTAAATACACCAATCAGCACTCTTTATCTAGCTCAAGGTTTGTAAACACACCAATTAGCACCCTGTGTCTAGCTCAGGGTTTGTGAATGCACCAATCAGCACTCTGTGTCTAGCTCAGGGTTTGTAAATACACCAATGGACACTCCATATCTAGCTAATCTGGTGGGGACTTGGAGAACCTTTATGTCTAGCTAAGGGATTCTGAATACACCAATCGGCACTCTGTATGTAGCTCCAGGTTTGTAAATACACCAGTGGACACTCTGTAGCTAGCTAATCTAGTGAGGGGGGCGGGGGTGGAGAACTTCTGTGTCTAGCTCAGGGATTGTAAATGCACCAATCAGCACCCTGTCAAAACAGACCAATCGGCTCTCTGTAAAATGGACCAGTCAGCAGGATGTGGGTGGGGCCAGATTAGAGAATAAAAGCAGGCTGCCCGAGCCAGCAGTGGTAACCCACTCGGGTCCCCTTCTACACTGTGGAAGCTTTGTTCTTTTGCTTTTTGCAATAAATCTTGCTACTGCTCACTTTGGGTCCACACTGCCTTTATGAGCTGTGACACTTACCGTGAAGGTGTAACACTCACTCCTGAAGCCAGTGAGACCACGAACCCACCAGGAGGAAGGAACATCTCCAGACACGCCCACTTAAGAGCTGTAACACTCGCCGCGAAACTTTGCAGCTTCACTCCTGAAGCCAGCCAGACCACGAACCCACCGGGAGGAACGAACAACTCCAGATGCGCCACCTTAAGAGCTGTAACACTCACCGCGAAGGTCTGCAGCTTCACTCCTGAGCCAGCAATGTGTCCGCAATTGGTGGGTTCTTGGTCTTACTGACTTCAAGAATGAAGCCGCGGACCCTCACGGTGAGTGTTACAGCTCTTAAGGTGGTGCCTCTGGAGTTTTTGTTCCTTCTGATGTTCGGATGTGTTCGGAGTTTCTTCCTTCGGTGGGTTCGTGGTCTCGCTGGCTCAGGAGTGAAGCTGCAGACCTTCCCGGTGAGTGTTACAGCTCTTAAGGTGGCGCGTCTGGAGTTGTTCCTGGACTTGTTCTTCTGGTGGGCTCATGGTCTTGCTGGCTTCAGGAGTGAAGCTGTAGGCTTTCATGGTGAGTGTTAAAGCTCATAAAAGCAGTGTGGACCCAAAGAGTGAGCAGTAGCAAGATTTATTGCAAAGAGTGAAAGAACAAAGCTTCCACAGTGTGGAAGGGAGCCCTGAATGGGTTGCCACTGCTGGCTCAGGCAGCCTGCTTTTATTCTTATCTGGCCCCACCCACATCCTGCTGATTGGTAGAGCCCAGTGGTCTGTTTTGACAGGGCGCTGATTGGTGCGTTTATAATCCCTGAGCTAGACACAAAGAGTCTCCTCCTCCCCAACAGATTAGCTAGATACAGAGTGTCCACACAAAGGTTCTCCAAGGCCCCACTAGAGTAGCTAGATACAGAGTGTCGATTGGTGCATTCACAAACCCTGAGCTAGACACAGGGTGCTGATTGGTGTATTTACAATCCCTGAGCTAGACATAAAGGTTCTCCACGGCCGCACCAGACTCAGGAGGCCAGCTGGCTTCACCCGGTGGAACCCGCACTGCGGCTGCAGGTGGAGCTGCCTGCCAGTCCCACGCCTTGTGCTGGCACTCCTCAGCCCTTGGGTGGTCGATGGGACTGGGCATCGTGGAGCAGGGGGTGGTGCTCATTGGGGAGGCTCGGGCCGCACAGGAGCCCACGGAGGGGGTGGGAGGCTCAGGCATGGCGTGCTGCAGGTCCCCAGCCCTGCCCCGCCCTGCAGGAAGGCAGCTAAGGCCTGGGGAGAAATCGAGCGCAGCACCGGTGGGCTGGCACTGCTGGGGGACCCAGTACACCCTCCACAGCCGCTGGCCCGGGTGCTAAGCCCCTCATTGCCTGGGGCCGGCAGGGCGGTCCGGCTGCTCCCAGTGCGGGGCCCGCCAAGCCCACGCCCACACGGAACTCCAGCTGGCCCGCAAGCGCCCCATGCAGGCATGGTTCCTGCTTGCGCCTCTCCCTCCACACCTCCCTGCAAGCTGAGGGAGCCAGCTCTGGCCTTGGCCAGCCCAGAAAGGGGCTCCCATAGTGCAGCGGTGGGCTGAAGGGCTCCTCAAGTGCCTCCAAAGTGGGAGCCCAGGCAGAGGAGGCTCCCAGAGCTAGCGAGGGCTGTGAGGACTGCCAGCACGCTGTCACCTCTCAGCGAGACCACGAACCCACCAGAAGGAAGAAACTCCGAGCACATCCAAACATCAGAAGGAACAAACTCCGGACACGCTGCCTTTAAGAACCGTAACACTCACGGCAAGGGTTGGCAGCTTCAGTCTTGAAGTCAGTGAGACCAAGAACCCAACAATTCCGGACACGCTAAGATGGCAGAAGGTATCACATGGCAGAAAGGCAAAGAGGAGAGGGAGGGGGGCAGAGAGAGGGGAAAAGGTGGGCAGAATTTGTTCTTTTATAAGGAATCCACCCCCATGATAAGGATATTATTCTATTCATTAGGACAGGGTCTCATGGCCTAATCGCCTCTTAAAGTTTTCGCCTCTTACTACTGTTACAAGGATAATTAATTAATTTTATTTTTTTATTAAAAAATTTTTTTAAAAATACAGACGGTGTCTCACTATGTTGCCCAGGCTGGTCTTGGGGACTCCTGAGCTCAAATGATCCTCCCGCTTTGGCCTCACAAAGTGCTAGGATTACAGGCATGAGCCTCTGTGCCAGCTGGTAATTAAATTTTAACATGAGTGTGGGAGGGAACAAACATTTAAATCATTGTAGGAAGGTTTCCAGCAAAATTCTCAGGCCTTATTATTTGTCATTAGAACCCCAAAACATACAGCTGAAAGAGGAAAAAACATTGGGAAAAGGAGATGCCATCTTTTTCTCAACTTCCCTTGCCCCACCTCGTAAGTGTAGCCTCTGTCTTTGAGTTCTGTTTATAAATCTGAGCCGTAAGGGTGTTTTTTCGTTTTGTTTGGTTTGGTTTTTGAGACAGTCTTACTCTGTCGCCCAGGCTGGAGTTCAGTGGCATGATCTTGGCTCACTACAAACTCTACCTCCCAGGTTCAAGCGATTCTCCTGCCTCAGCCTCTTGTGTATCTGGGATTACAGGTGCCTGCCACTGTGCCTGGTTCATTTTTGTATTTTTAGTAGAGATGGGGTTTCACCATGTTGGCCATGCTGGTCTTGAACTCCTGACCTCAGGTGATCGCCCACCTCAGCCTCCCAACGTGCTGGGATTACCGGCATGAGTCATCTCGCCCAGCTTGATCTGTAAGGGTTTTCACTGGATAGTGAGGGTGAATTTTGGTGGAATATTATGGTAAAATAAAGGAAGAACTGATGACTCCAATGGGACATTTTGAATAATCATTGATGAAATTCTCACACACTTTGGTAAAGGGATTCACTTATATTTTGAACTCTTGAGCCGGAAGGAACTGGGCTCAAATCTAGGTGTTCTGCTTGTAAGCTCTGTGTCTCTGGACACTTTGTTTTGTTTTGTTTTGGAGACAAACTCTTGCTTGGTTACCCAGGCTGGAGTGCAGTGGTGTAATGTTGGCTCACTGTAACCTCTGCTTCCTGGGTTCAAGAGATTCTCGTGCCTCAGCCTCCCAAGTAGCTGGGAGTACAGGTGTGCCCCACCACACTCGGCTATTTTTTTGTATTTTTAGTAGAGACAGGGTTTCATCATGTTGCCCAGGCTGGTCTTGAACTCCTGAGCTAAGGCAGTGTGCCCGCCTTGGCCTCCCAAAGTGCTGGGATTATAGTCGTGAGCCACCATGCCAGCTGTGGTCACATTCTTAGACTTCCTTAGTTCCAGCTTCCTCATGTCTAAAATACAGGAAAATAATACTGATCATGGCCGTTGAACAGATATTTGTCGAATGTTGATCATGCGTCAGATAATTAATGAAGTTCTGGGTACACAAATGGCCCCTTCCCTTATGGACTGCTCAGTCCAGTAGAGAAAACAGACAAGTTAACACACCCTTACATTTTAAGAGCCTGGGTAATGCCCCCAGAGGGATAGTTGGTCCCAGGGTATCCTGAAGGTCCGGTAGTTAATTCAGTCTTGGCAGCATGAAGCTGGCATGGAAAGTTTTCAAGAGGGAAGGACTTCTGAGATAATGTCTGAAAGATAAGTAGATGGTAGCTAGAAGAATGTTGGGAGTAGGCAGGGGTCCTTGCAGAAAAAAACACCATTTATAGAAGATTGGAGGGCTGGGCGCAGTGGCTCACGCCTGTAATCCCCGCACTTTGGGAGGCCAAGGTGAGCAGATCACCTGAGGTCAGGAGTTGGAGACCAGGCTGGCCAACATGGTGAAACCCCGTCTCTACTAAAAATACAAAAAATTAGCTGGAGGTGGTGGCGCGCACCTGTAGTCCCAGCCACTTGGGAGGCTGAGGCAGGAGAATGGCTTGAACCGGGGAGGCAGAGGTTGCAGTGAGCTGAGATCATGCCACTGTACTCCAGCCTGGGCAACATGGTGAGACTCCGTCTCAAAAAAAAAAAAAAAAAAAAAAAAAAGAAGATTGGAGAGGAGAGTTAGCTGGTACGTTCAGGGACTGGAGGTAGCTTTGTATGGTTGGAAAATGGAGTGCTGGGTTAGATGGATGAGAGAGGCTAAGAGGTCAACAGAAGCCAGACTGAGAAGGACTTCACTGGGTTGGTGTAAAAATTAAATGAGATATGTGGAATGTGTATAAATAATGGTTCCTTCTTGACTTAATCTTGTGCTATGAAGAAAGTATTCTGCAATAGGGAGCAGTTTTTAGTGAAGAATTCTTGTACAGAGATGTTTAGCTCCTTGAGGGACAAGGATTACATGTTATTAATCCTTTTTTTTTTCTTTTTTCTTTTTTTTGAGGCAGAGTCTATTGCCCAGGCTGGAGTGCAGTGGCCCGACCTCAGCTCACTGCAACCTCTGTCTCCTGGGTTTGAGTGATTCTCCTGCCTCAGCCTCCCAAGTAGCTGAGACTACAGGCTCCCGCCACCATGCCTGGCTAATTTTTGTATTTTTAGTAGAGATGGGGCTTCACCATGTTGGCCAGGCTGGTCTCGAACTCCTGGCCTCAAGTGATCCACCCGCCTTGGCCTCCCAAACTGTTGGGATTACAGGCATGAGTCACCGCACCCGGCCTGTTAACCCTTTTTAATATGGTGAACAAAGCCAGTTGCTGTGTTGCATTAAAGCCTGGTTCCAGGCTATTTTCAGTCTTTGGTGCCATTTACATCTTACCCTTTTCAGGATTTGTCAGCGTGTGCTTATACTTGAGGTTTTGTAGTGGTGACGAGTGGATGTCTTGGGGGTAGGTAGGAGTTGATAACAACTGAGTTTGCAGTAAATAAAATAGATAAAAGGCAATTATTTGTGAGAAAAAATAATTGGCAAAACCATTCTGCTGTCAGATTTGATAGAGCTTGGACATGCAGTAGTCATGGCAAACATTTTCTAAGGGTGTGGCAGATGGGTGGGAGTAAGAGTTGGGTGATGAAAGGAGGAAGGGAAAGGGAAAGAGAAAGGTTCTTGCCTTTAGGTCCTCATGCTAAATGAGCTGCATGCATATGTAAGCCTACATGGGGTAGATTGCAGAAATGCCATAAAAAGCCTTGAAATATCAGATGTAAAGAAATTAATTCTGATCAAGGCATCAAGAAGAATGCAGAGAGTAGAATCTGGGCTTAAAGGAGGGACCAAGAACACACACAAATGACTTGGCATTGAGGGTGCTCACTGAGTGTTCTCCTCCGATTCATTCCCTCACTACATTCTTTCTGTGCCTATCCTTTCTAAGACTAAGCAGTAATCTGCACCGAGAAGTGGCTCCAAGAGAATGTCGTGCAGGGACAGCAGGATTTTGTTGATGATGCTTCTGTGCCTCGAAGGATAACATGGGCCAGAAGAAGCCTCAGCACATGAGTTGAATGCAAATGTGCCAGGCCTTGAAACCTTAATTTCTTAGAAAATGAAGTTTAATCACCAAATATAGTCAGTTAGAAAAATATCATTCCCAAATCTGTAGTTGATCTTGAATGCAATATTGGTCTAAATCCACTCAATCACTTTTTTTGTATTTTTTATTGCGATAAAATATACACAGTATTTACCGTTTTTACCATTTTATTTATTTATTTTTTGAGACAGGGTCTTGCTGTGTCACCCAGGCTGGAGTGCAGTAACCTCTACCTCCTGGGTTCAAACGATTCTCATGCCTCAGCTTCTGGAGTAGCTGAGATTACAGGTGTGCACCACCACACTCAGTAATTTTTGTATTTTAGTGGCGACAAGGTTTTGCCATGTTGGCCAGGCTGGTCTCGAACTCCTGACCTCAAGTGATCTGCCTGCCTCGGTCTGCCAAAGTGCTGAGATTACAGGCATGCACCATCATGCCTGGCCTATTTTTACCATTTTAAAGTATACAATTCAGTGAAATTAATTACATTCATTATGCTATGCAACCACCATCATCTATTTGCAAAAATTTATTATACTGAACAGAAACTTTGTAAGCATTAAATAATAACTTCCTATTCTCACCCCATCCCCCCAGCCTCTGGTAACCTCTAATCTGCTTACTGTCTCTGTGAATTTGCCTATTCTAAGTAGCTCACAGAAGTGGAATCATACTATATTTGTCCTTTTGCGTCTGGCTTATTTTACTTAGCATAGTGTTCTCAAGGTTTCCGTGTTGATCATGTATCAGAACTTTACTCCTTTTCATAGATGAATAGTATTCCATTGTATGGATATGTCACATTTTATCCATTCATCTGTTGATGAATACTTGGGTTGTTTCTATCTTGGCTATTGTGAATAATGCTGCTATGGACTTGGTTGTACAAATTATCTGCTTGGACCTCTTCTTTCAAGTCCTTTAGGTATATACTTAGGAGCAGAAGTGCTAGAACATAGTCTATGTTTAGCTTTTTGAGGAACCACCAAACTTTCTCATAGCAGCTGCATGATTTTACACTCTCACCGGCAATGCACAAGGGTTTCATTTTTTCCTACTTCTTTGCAAACATTTATTTTCCAACATTTTTTTTCCTTTTTTATTTGTTTTCTGTTAGTAACCCTCCTAATGGGTGTTTAGTGGTATCTCATTGTGGTTTTGATTTGCATTTTCCTAATGACTAGTAATGCTGAGCATCTTAGGGCTTGGGATCTCACGTACATTTTCTCACTTGGTTTTCCAAATAACTATTAGCATCACCACTTTAGGGATATTGAAACGGATTGTAACTTGACCAAAATCTTACAAATCTAAGAGTTGGAGCCAAGGTGAAAATCCAGGACTTGTGACTCCAATATCCTTTCTACTACACCTTGTTTTGTAAATTGTTACACATCTTATAACGTAAGGCAGTTTTAATGTTATTTTTACATGGCAAGGTAAAAATAACATTCTGGGGAAGCCCTTCTGTTTCAAGCCTGAATGATATTTCCGGCTCATGAAAAAGAGTAACCTTTTGGGGTGGGCATGGTGCCTCATACCTGTAATCTCAGTGCTTTGGGAGGCCAAGATGTGAGGATTGCTTGAGCCCAGGAGTTTAAGACCAGCCTGGGAAACATAGCAAGACTCCTGTTTCTACAAAAAATTAAAAAATTAGCCTGGTGTTGTGGTGTGTGCCTGTAGTCTCAGCTACTTGGGAGGCTGAGGAGGGAGGATTGCTTGAGCCCAGGAGCTCGAGGTTACAGTGAGCTATGGTTGCCCCACTGGACTCCTGCCTGGGGGACAGAGACCTTACCTTAAAGACAAAAAACCATAAAACAACAGTAACCTTTCACCTGTTAAAAACAAACACTATTCCCCCCATACCACAAATACTTCCACACTTAGTACATAAAGAAAACAGGTGACATCACTGAAATGCTTAACAACCACTTACTGATGAGGAAGGGCCAGGGACAATCTCTACTTCCAGTTCAGCAGCGGTAATTCCTGAGAGCAAAAAGGCAGAAGCCTGGGGAAAAAACAGAAAAAAAGAAAATTTTCCATATTTTTGGACCTGAATTTGATTTTCTTTCTCCTGGGATAAGCCTCACATTCCTAGAAAGCAAAGTTTCTATTTGTGCTGGGAAGGAAATACAAGCCACTCAAGCAATATCTTTTTTTCAAAGATTTTTTTTTTCCCAAAGGCTCAGCACACGCCACCTGGTGGAAAGAACGTTAAAGCACAAGGTTCCATTTCTCCACCCTTTAACTGGGCATTTACTGGGTCTTGAAGGACCCTAACGGAGCAGGAGTCAATATCTTCTCTCTGGAGACTATTTATCTGTTTTTTTTTTTTTTTTTTTTTTTTAAATTCTTGTTTACTTTCAAATTTTACTTTCATGACCTTGGGTTTGGGGAGGCAAAGGTTTTCTGAGGATACAGAACTGATATTCCCTTGTCTCTCAAATGTAATTGGGATCAAAGTTCCAGATCTGGTTCAGAGGCAGCAGAGTTCCAGCCTTGCTACTGGGAAGGGCTGGGGGTGTTTTGGGAGGTGACCATGACATACTCAGTTCTGGATGTCTTCAACATAGATCACTTTTAGGGACCCAGAGGCTTGGGGAGACCCAGACATCATGGAAGTTCAAAGTCCAGGGTGAAGTGGGAGTGGGGCCAGAGTGGCCACTGGAGGAACAGCTTTTGTGGCCACAGGGCACCCTCTCCACCATGCTTCCGGCTTCCCACTGGCTTTGGGGGACCCGGATCATGAGCAGTGCAAGGACAGGCAGAACCAAGTCCATGTATGTTTGAGTCTTTCCACAAGGTTAGACTTTTACTGATGCTGTTTTAATCATAAAAGCCACAAGCTACACAGGCAATTCTCCTAAATACCACCTGCTCACTCAGTCAGAGCCATGGGCACACAGGTTCAAGCCACTCCACAAGTCAGTCAATATTGCAGACCATTCTTAACAGTATACTTAATCGATATGTAAACGTTATAGATTAAACATTACACATCAAACAAGATTTAACATCAAGAGAAAAGGGGATAGGAATAAGGGTTAATGAACCAGTCCAGGGAGAGCTATGTGGACAAGGAAGATGTCCTGGGCTGATCCAGACAGTTGTCAATGTCTTGCAGGAAGAGTTTTTGATTTGAGCACAGCCTTGGGTGGCAGATGCCAGGTGTCGATCACAAGCACCAGCAAGACGGGGTCTCTCAAGATGGCTAGGGCTGGCTGGTGAAGTCCGGCTCATCTTATCACCCTTGAGTCCTCGGATGAGGGCTGATAATAAAGGGTCATATGCCCTTATCTAGTTGGGTGTTGTCTCCATTGATTAGGCAAACATCTGGTCCTGTTGGCATAATGCCTTTTGAAATGTAAAATAAAGTATTTTTCTAAGATGAAGTCACTTATGTCAAGGGTGCCCTAGACAACCTGGCAGATGCAGTTGGTTCCAAAGTTGGTATCCTGAGTCTGAACACACCACAGGCAGCACAAAGCCTTGTAACTGTCTCTTTTCCACTTGGCAGTCAGGTTTGGATCTGCATAATCTTCTTTCAGATAATACGCACACAGTTCTCTGCTGATGGCTTTCTGCTAATGAAACATCTCTAAGATGTAGCAGGATTTCCAATGAGGAATCCTGAAGGTGGGCCAGAGACACTCCCCTGGCCTCTTTTCTTCCTGAAGTTCTCTCTCAGCTTCATCTTCTGATCCAACTCATCCAATGTTGCCTCAATTGGCTACCAATTATCACAGGGCATTTTCTGACTTTTTTTTTCTTTTTCATTTGCCATGTGTAGGATGTTTGCATTGAGCTGAGTCTGGAGGGTTTGACATGGATAAGTCATTTTGAGGATCCTCTCTCCTTTGCTGTCTGTATCTCTAAACCTCAGGGAGTTCCCATGGGCTATTTAAACAGTTTCCACTTGCTTGGGTCAGCCCAACCCACACCTTATCTCTCATGATTAACTCAAGGATTTTGGGCTTTGTTTACGTCTGCCAAATCCCCTTAAAGCCGCACCTCAACTAGGGTTTGATTGGACAACTGGGAGAAGGTGTGCTACAGACCATCCTGAGAACAAGAGTCAGCGTGCCCAAATCATCACAAAGCTGCAATCGAATCAGTCACAATTCCAGGCTATAAATATGTTTATAAATTTAACTAAAGGACAGACCGAAAATGTTTTCACAAGATTGGTTCTTGATAGGTGAAGCACTTCTTTATACGGCAAGAGTGATGTCATCTTCTGCATAATGTATAGAAAATGAATTCAGCGTTTCCTCTAGCACAGGTGATCCTAGTGAGCTCTCCATGGTTGATGGTTTAGAAGAGTTCTGCTTGGGGCCAGGCGCGGTGGCTCACGCCTGTAATCCCAGCATTTTGGGAGCCAAAGGTGGGTAGATCACTTGAGGTCAGGAGTTCGAGATCAGCCTTGCCAACATGGCTAAACCCCTTCTCTACTAGAAATACAAAAAAATTAGCCGGGTGTGGTGGTGTGTGCCTGTAGTCCCAGCTACTTGGAAGGCTGAGGCAGGAGAATTGCTTTAATCTAGGAGGCGAAAGTTGCAGTGAGCTGAGACATTGTGCCACTGCACTCCAGCCTGGGCGACAGAGTGAGACTCTGTCTCACAAAAAAAAAAAAAAAAAAAAAAAAGCTCTGCTTGGCTTCAGAGCCCTCATTGGTAGAGCTCCTTCTCTAATTCCTCCACAGTTTTGACCTGGCAGGTGCTGTCTGTAGTGGAAGCTTCTGGCAACCTTCTCTCCTAGTTATGGAGAGGAGCCTATGTATGTGAGGGCCCTTTTGGTAGGCTCAAAATGGTCCTTCTAAAGATATTCATGGTGGAGTGTGGTGGCTCACAACTGTAATCCCTGTGCTTTGGGAGGCCGAGGCAGGAGAATTGCTCAAGCCCAGGAGTTGGAGATTACTCTGGGCAGCATAGCAAGGCCCCATCTCCACAAAAACAAAACAAAACACAACACAACAAAACAAAAACTGGCCAGGAGTGGTGGTGTGTGCCTATAATCCCAGTTACTTGGGAGGCTGAGGAGGGAGGATTGCTTGATCTCAGGAATTTGAGGATGCACTGAGCTATGACTACACCACTGCACTCCAGACAGAGCGAGACCCTTTGATTTTTTTAGTTTTTATATATTTTTTTTTATTAGAGACAGGGTCTCACTGTGTTTCCCAGGTTGGTCTCAAACTACTTGGCTGGAGTGACCCTCCTGCCTCAGACTCCTGACTAGCTGGGACTACGGGTGTGCACTGCTGCACCTGGAAATCTCCTTGACTTCATTCAGTTCCAGTGCCCTTTACATTATATTCTGTATGAACAGTGCCTCTCTGGAGTCCAGCAACCCTGTGGTCCTGACTCTTAAAAAATAATATAGAATCACAGAATCTGATCGGGCATGGTGGCTCATGCCTGTAATTCCAGCTCTTTGGGAGGCCAAAGCAGGCAGATCACCTGAGGTTAGGAGTTCTAGACCACCTTGTCCAACATACTGAAACCCTGTCTTCACTAAAAATACAAAAATTAGCCGGGCGTGGTGGTGCTCGCCTATAGTCCCAGCTACTTGGGAGGCTGAGGCAGGAGAATTGCTTGAGTCCAGGAGGTGGAGGTTGAAGTGAGCCGAGATTGTGCCACTGCACTCCAGCCTGGATAATGAGAATGAGACCCTGTCTCAAAAAAAAAAAAAAAAAAAAAATCACAGAATCTTTCTGAAGATTTATTAAAATTGTTTTATCATTTTACTTACTCTATGATAATAGGTGATTTTACGTAGAAAGATTTTTTTATTTTTTTTTGAGATGGAGTCTTGCTCTGTAGCCCAGACTGGAGTGCAGTAGCATGATCTTGGCTCACTGCAACCTCTGCCTCCTGGGTTCAAGTGATTCTTTTGCCTCAGCCTCCTGAGTAGCTGGGACTATAGGTGTGCGCCACCACACCCAGCTAATTTTTTTGTGTTTTTAGTAGAGATGGGGTTTCACCATGTTAGCCAGGCTGGTCTTGAACTCCTGGCCTCAAGTAATCCACCTGCCTCCACCTCCCAAAGTGCTGGGATTACAGGTGTGAGCCACTGTGCCCAGCCAATATTATTTTAGATTTATTTATCTTGAAAAATTGTATTATAAGCCAGGCATGGTGGCTCACACCTGTCATCCCAGCACTTTGAAAGGCCAAGGCGGGTGTATCACGTGAGATCAGGAGTTTGATACCAGCCTGGCCAACATGGTGAAACCCTGTCTCTACTAAATACAAAAATTAGCCTAGAGTGGTGGTGTGCGCCTGTAATCCCAGCTGCTTGGAGGCTGAGGCAGGAGAATTGCTTGAATCTGGGAGATGGAAGTTGCAGTGAGCCAAGATCACACCACTGTACCCAGCCTGGGCAACAAGAGCAAAACTCTGTCTCAAAAAAAAAAATTGTATTATAAAGTTTAATATAATCTTAACAATATATGTTCATTTATTCCAGGAGTCCCCAACCACCTGGCCACAGACCAGTACCAGTCCATGGCCAGTTAGAAACTGGGCTACACAGCAGGAGGTGAGCGGAGGGCAAGTGAGCATTACCACCTGAGCTCCACCTTCTGTCAGACCAGTGGCAGCATTAGATTCTCATAGGATCACGAACCCTATTGTGAACTGCACATGTGAGGGATCTAGGTTGTATGCTCCTTATGAGAATCTAATGCCTGATGATCTGAGGTGGAACAGTTTCATCCCTCCCTACCCTACCCTCCCATCCATGGAAGAATTGTCTCCCATGAAACCCGTCCCTGGTGCCGAAAAAGTTGGGGGCCACTGTTTATTCAACAAATGTGGTTTGAGGCCTTTATATATAGCAAATACTGCTCCCTTAGCTTATCCTCATTTAATTCTTGACATGTTTTTAAATTTATCTTAAGTCACTTATGTGTAAAATATATTTTTGTTGACAAACATAAATTCCAAACTGGCATTGTATCCCATATGGTTTGAAGACTAAATTAATATAAAAATATTCAAGTTAAACCTATGTTATGCCATCAAATCTAGAAAAAAACTGCCTTTACGCTGTAAACTTTTGAATTCATGCATTATACATTAAATTATAAAATAGTTTGTTTTAGTATTTGTGTGTTTTATTTCTTTTCTTTTTTTTTTTTTTTTTGAGATGGAGTCTTGCTCTGTTGCCCAGGCTGGAGTGCAGTGGTACAATCTTGGCTCATTGCAACCTCTGCCTCCTGGGTTCAAGTGATTCTCCTGCCTCAGCTTCCTGAGTAGCTGGGAAGGTGTGTGCCACTGCACTTGGCTGATTTTTGTATTTTTAATAGATATGGGGGTTTTACCATGTTAGGCTGGTCTCAAACTCCTGACCTCAGGTGATCCACACACCTCGGCCTCCCAAAGTGCCGAGATTGCAGGCACGAGCCACCACACCCAGCCTGTATGTTGTATTTATAACTGACAAGATGAGAAGTTTAAAGCTGATATTTGCAAGTACTTTACTGCAAGTAAAACATTTTTGATATGGATAGCATTCACTCCGATTTAATGAAGATGCAACCACTATATTTTTGTTTAACCTATATTTTAGGCAGAGATATTCAATGAGTTCCTAAAGCATTGCATAAGCAGAAGGTAACTCAAACCTATGAGAAAGATCTATTTGAAAGGAATTTGCAGAAATATTTTCACCTTACTCTCCAAACTTACTGTTTTCATTTCTGTTTCTTATATTTCCTTTTTTCAACCAATGTTACATTACTGGAATATATTAAATGATAATTGAGAGTAAAAATCAAAAGGTTATAAAGATCACCATGATAGCTAATGATGTTCAGCTGAATTGTAACTCATCAGCCAAGTGGCAGAATCATAAAGCACTCATTGAAAACACACTCAGTATTGGAGGCCAGGTGCAGTGGCTCACACCTGTAATCCCAGCACATTGGAAAGCTGAGGCAGGTGGATCACTTGAGGTCAGGAGTTTGAGACCAGCCTGGCCAACATGGTGAAACCTCGTATCTACTAAAAACACATAAAATAGCCGGGCGTGGTGGCATAAGCCTGTAATCCCAGATGCTCTGGAGACTGAGGCAGGAGAATTGCTTGAACCCAGGAGGTGGAGGTTTCAGTGAGCTGAGATCGTGCCACTGCACTCCAGCCTGGGCAAAAGAACAAGATTCCATCTCAAAAAAAAAAAAAAAAAAAAAAAAAAGGAATAAAACATGAATACTAGAACCATTTTACAATATTTTTTTTTTTTTGAGATGGAGTCTCCCTCTGTTGCCCAGGCTGGAGTGCAGTGGCATGATCTTGGCTCACTGCAAGCTCTGCCTCCCGGGTTCACACCATTCTCCTGCCTCAGCCTCCCAAGTAGCTGGGACTATAGGCACCCACCACCACACCCGGGTAATTTTTTGTATTTTTAGTAGAGATGGGGTTTCACCGTGTTAGCCAGGATGGTCTTGATCTCCTGACCTCGTGGTCCGCTTGCCTCAGCCTTCCAAAGTGCTGGAATTACAGGCGTGAGCCGCCGCACCCAGCCATTTACAATTTAATGTAAAATGCATGAATTCAAAGTTTAGGGAGTAAAAGTGGTTTTTTTCTAGATTTGATGGCATAACATAGGTTTAACTTGAATAGATAATTTGATATGAATTCAGTCTTGAAACCATATGGGATATGATACCAGTTTGGAATTTATGTTTGTCAACAAAAATATTTTTTACACATAAGTGACTTAAATTAAACAACATGTCAGGAATTAAATGAGGACAAGCCAAGGGAGCAGTATTTGCTACATAAAAGGCCTCAAACCGTATTTGTTGAATAAACAGTGGCCTCCAACCTTTTTGGCACCAGGGATGGGTTTCATGGGAGACAATTTTTCCATGGATGGGAGGGTGGGGTAGGGAGGGATGAAACTGTTCCACCTCAGATCATCAGGCATTAGATTCTCATAAGGCGCATACAACCTAGATCCCATGTGTGCAGTTCACAATAGGGTTCGTGCTCCTATGAGAACCTAATGCTGCTGCTGGTCTGACAGGAGGCGGGGCTCAGGTGGTAATGCTCACTTGCCCTCCACTCACCTCCTGCTGTGCAGCCCAGTTCCTAACTGGCCATGGACTGGTACTGGTCTGTGGCCAGAGGATTGGGGACCCCTGGAATAAATGAACATAGGTCATTAAGATTATATTAAAGTAAAGTTGTTAATATAATTTTTCAAGATAAATAATCCTAAATAATATTCTTGGCTGGGTTCAGTGGCTCACACCTGTAATCCCAGCACTTTGGGAGGCAGAGGTGGGTGGATCACTTGAGGCCAGGAGTTTAAGACCAGCCTGACCAACATGGCAAAACCCCATCTCTACTAAAATATAAAAAATTAGCTGGTTGTGGTGGTGCACGCCTGTAGTTGCAGCTACTCGGGAGGCTGAGGCAGAAGAATCGCTTGAACCCGGGAGGCAGAGGTTGTAGTGAGCTGAGATTGCACCATTGCACTCTGGCCTGGGCGACAGAGCAAGACTCCATCTCAAAAAAAACCCCAGAATATACATAAAATCACCTTACTATCATAGAGTAAGTAAAATGATAAAATAATTTTAATAAATTTAATAAATCTTTGGAAAGATTCTGTGATTCTATATTCTTTTGCCCAGGCAGGAGTGCAGTGGCACAATCTCTGCTCACTGTAACCTCCGCCTCCTGGGTTCAAGCAATTCTCCTGCCTCAGCCTCCAGAGTAGCTGGGATTACAGGCTTATGCCACCATGCCTGGCTATTTTATGTGTTTTTAGTAGATAACGATGTTTCACCGTGTTGGCCAGGCTGGTCTCAACCTCCTGACCTCAAGTGATCCACTGGCCTCAGCTTCCCAATGTGGTAGGATTACAGCACATTTATGGGTCAGGGCCACAGAGTTGCTGAACTCCAGAGGGGCACTGTTCATACAGAATACAATGTAAAGGGCACTGGAACTGAATGAAGAAAAGGGGATTGCCAGGTGCAGTGATGCACGCCCATAGTCCCAGCTATTCAGGAGGCTGAGGCAAGAGGGTCACTTGAGCCAAGTAGTTTGAGACCAGCCTGGGAAACACAGTGGGACCCTCTCTCTTAAAAAAAAAAAAAAATCAAATTGACAAACATCTCTACATGGATTGCATCATTAAATCCTACCACAATCTTTCAAAAGAGGTATTATAAATGTGAGGAAACTAACAAGTTCATTACCTTTTTCAAAACTACTTGGTAAGTTAGTGGAAGGACTTGGATTTGAGCACAGGTTTTCCTGGGTCAAGCACCTGCCCCGGCACCCCCTAATCCTATCTTAGGGGCTTATCCTATCTAAATGAGCAACAAGGAAGGCCTGAGAAAGGTAGTGAGGTGGAGGAGGAACACAGTAGAAAAAATTGGGAGGGATCCATGGAGTATGAGGTGTGAGGGAACAGCCTGGTGCTTGCACACTGGGTGGGTGGAAGCTGGTGTGATCATGTTGGGAGGATGGGAGTCGGTTTAGTTTGGGACAGCTTATGCTTGTGATTCTGTAGGACACCGAAATGAACAGGCCCAGCTGGATGTTAGTTTTGTCTGATTGGAATAAGCATTTTCTGGGTCCCTAAGATGATTTTGAGCAATGGTTATGGGGGAAATACCAAAGATAATATTTACCTCCTTCCAGAATTTGTCAGAGGACAGCCCTGGAAAGGAACCCTTGATGTCTTGACTCAGGCTTGTTAACTGAAGAATCATGCAGGAAATTCATACATTTTGAGAAGAGACTTTATTTCTTATAAAAGGTTATAGCTTGAAGGTTGGCCATGCTGTAGGCTGGGAAGTGAAGCCTCTGTAAGAGACCAAAAGCAAGCACTTTGAGGGAGGAAGGATGAAACAGGAATATTATGCTGAAGGGGTTGGCCAAGTATACATATTCAACGGATTATAGGAGGAGCTATGAATATTCATGAAGGGGGTCCTAATGCATGTGTAGTGAATAAAGATGTATATTGTATACCACCCATGTTCACTTTGTGGTGGTGACAACATTTATTTCTTTTTTTCGAATAGAGATGGGGTCTTGCTATGTTGCCCACGCTGGTCTCAAACTCCAGGGTTCAAGTGACCCTCCCTCCTTGGCCTCCCAAAATGCTGGGATTACAGGCATGAACCACTATGCATGGCAGATAGAGACAACTTTTAAATGCAGTAAAGTTAGGCTCTATATATTATTAGTAGAAAGTGAAGCAGGGATACGAAGCACTCAGTGCTCAGCCTCTGTAAACTGGCCAGAACCAGTTCATGGTCGGTGGTCTTTTGTCAGGAGAAAATGAACCCAGTCTTTCGTCAAATCAAAGCTTTGGTTATGGCTGGTGGAACAGGGGTAAGTTGGTCAGTGAGCTGCAATTGCTTTAATACTGTGTATCTGGAGGCCAATTCTTGTTTGTCTGCTAGAGAAAAAGAAGAAAACCTTGTGGCAGTTAAAACATAGTTTACTCTTTAAGTGTAGGGGGTGCATGACTTAATCCTTTTCTGGCATGGCCTTAGATCTTTATAATTTGGTATCACGTTATTACAGTGTCTGTCCTGTCTCACCTGGGGGCCTGGGGCTTTATTTTTGCTTTACAAGGTTTATGTGGATGTGGAGTCAGATGAAGGCCTGCACTATAGGAGTGCAGGTGGGTCCATCATAGCCTCATCTCCCACCTGAGCCACCTGTATCATATTTAATCAGGCTTTGAGCCAGCCAGTCACCCCTGGGTGCAGGAGGCATCTGCTAGGTCTTGCTGTCTATACAACCCCTCATAGTCCAAGTTTATGTTCAAGGTGCTTTCTTAATGTACTAGCCCAGGGAATACCAGAGAACACCACTGGGCCAGCAGCTTAGCTTTGCTGCAAGGAACTTGAATAGGACCTGTGGTTGTTCCCTAGTTTAAGCCTTCCAGGCATACCCAGTCTAAGATTCTGCCTGTGGCTGTGGTTATGGCAGTATTGTGGGGCTAGGTTTGATGGGAGAAGGTATCTTTACTTGATCTCTGCTTTGAGGTAGGGCTTGAAATGTTCAATAGTGTCTATTACCATTAGTTTATTGCTTAATTTTTTTTTTTTATTTTTTTTTTGCAATGGGATCTTGCTCTGTCACCTAGGCTGGAATGCAATAATGTAATCATAGCTCACCCCATCCCCAAACTCCTAGGCTTAAGCGATCCTCCTGCCTCAACCTCCTGAGTAGCTGGGGCAACAGGTGTGCACCACCATGCCTGGCTACTTTTTTTCACTTTTTGTAGAGATGAGATCTTGCTATCTTGCCCAGGCTAGTCTTGAACTCCTGGCCTCAAGTGATCCTCCCACCTTGGCCTCCCACAGTGCTGGGATTACAGGTGGGAGCCACCATGCCTGACCCATTTATCACTGTTCTGTTTTTTTTTTTTTTTTTGAGATGGGGTCTCGCTCTGTTGCCCAGGCTGGAGTGCAGTGGCATGATCTTGGCTCACTGCAAGCTCTGCCTCCCGGGTTCATGCCATTCTCCTGCCTCAGCCTCATGAGTAGCTGGGACTACAGGCGCCTGCCACCACACCCAGCTAATATTTTGTATTTTTAGTAGAGATGGGGTTTCACCGTATTAGCCAGGATGGTCTCAATCTCCTGACCTTGTGATCCACCTGCCTTGGCCTTCCAAAGTGCCATTTATCACTTTTTATGGAAACACAAAAGCTGTATGCAGCATCCCCCTCTGATATGGTTTGGCTGTGTCCCCACCCAAATCTCATCTTGAATTGTATTTCCCATAATCCTCATGTGTTGTGGAAGGAACCTGGTGGGAGGTAATTGAATCATGGGGGCAGTTACCTCCATGCTGTTCTCATGATAGTAAGTGAGTTCTCACAAGTTCTGATGGTTTTATAAGGGGCTTTTCTGCCCCTTCACTCTGCACTTCTTGCTTTCACCATGTGAAAGATGTGTTTGCTTCCCCTTCCAACATGATTGTAAATTTTCTGAGGTCTCTGAGCCATGCTGAATTGGGAGTCAATTAAACCTCTTTCCTTTATAAATTACCCAGTCTTGGGTATGTCTTTGTGGCAGTGTGAGAACAGACTGATACAGTAAATTGGTACCAGAAGTGGGGTGCTGCTGTAAAGACAACCAAAAATGTGGAAGGGAGTTTGGAACTGGGTAACAGGCGGAGGATGGAACAGTTTGGAGGGCTCAGAAGAATACAGGAAAATGAGGGAAAGTTTGGAACTTCCTAGAGACTTACTGAATGGCTTTGATCAAAATGTTGATAGTGATATGGACAATGAAGTCCAGGCTGAGGTGGTCTCAGACGGAGATGAGGAACTTGTTGGGAATTGGAATAAAGGCAACTCTTGCTAAGTTTTAGCAAAGAGACTGGTGGTATTTTGCCCCTGCTCTAGAGATCTGTGGAACTTTGAACTTGAGAGAGATGATTTAGGGTATCTGGTGGAAGAAATTTCTAAGCAGCAATGCATTCAAGAGATGACTTAGGTGCTGTTAAAAGCATTCAGTTTTATGTATTCACAAAGATATGGTTTGGAATTGGAACTTATATCAAAAAGGGAAGCAGAGCATGAAAGTCTAGAAAATTTGCAGCCTGACAATGCAATAAAAAAGAAAAACCCATTTTCTGAGGAGAAATTCAACCTGGCTGCAGGAATTTGCATAAGTAACAAGGATCTAAATGTGAATCTCCAAGACAATGAGAAAATGTCTCCAGGGCATGTCAGAGATCTTCATGGCAGCCCCTCCCACCACAGGCTTGGAGGCTTAGGAGTAAAAAATGGTTTCATGGGCCAGGCTCAAAGCCTTGCTGCTTTGTGCAGTCTTGGGACTTGGTGCCTTGCATCCCAGCCATGGCTAAAAGGGGCCAATGTAGAGCTCAGACCATTGCTTGAGAGGGTGCAAGCCCCAAGGCTTGAGGGCTTACACGTGGTATTGGACCTGTGGGTGCACAGAAGTCAATAATTGAGGTTTGGCAACATCCATCTAGATTTCAGAAGATGTATGGAAATGCCTAGATGGTCAGGCAGAAGTTTTCTGCAGGGGCAGAGCCCTCATAGAGAACCTCTGCTGGGACAGTGTGGAAGGGAAATGTGGGGTTGAAGCCCCCACACAGACTCCCCACTGGGTCACTGCCTATTGGAGCTGTGAGAAGAGGGCCACCACCCTCCAGACCCCAGAATGGTAGATCCACCAACAGCTTGTACCATGCACATGGAAAAGCTGCAGACACTCAATGCTAGCCCATTAAAGCAGCTGGAAAGGGAGCTGTATGCTGCAAAGCCACAGGAGTGGAGCTGCCCAAGGCTGTGGGAGCCCACCTCTTGCATCAGTGTGACCTGGATGTGAGACATGGAGCCAAAGGAGACCATTTTGGAACTTTAAGGTTTAATGATTATCCTATTGGATTTTGCCTGTAGCCTCTTTGCTTTGGCCAATTTCTCCCATTTGAAATGTGTGTATTTTCCCAATGCCTCTACCCCCATTATATCTAGGAGGTAACTAACTTGATTTTGATTTTATAGGCTCATGGGCAGAAGGGACTTGCCTTGTCTCAGATGAGACTTTGGACTGTGGACTTCTGAGTTAATGCTGAAATAAGACTTTGGGGGACTGTTGGAAAGACATGATTGTTTTTTGAAATGTGAGGACATGATATTTGGGAGGGGTTGTGGTGGAATGATATGGTTTGGCTGTGTTCCCACCCAAAATCTCTTCTTGAATTTTAATAATCCCCATGTGTCAAGGGCAGGATCAGGTGGAGATAATTGAACCATGGGGGTGGTTTCCCCCATACTGTTCTCATGATAGTGAGTGAGTTCTCATGAGATCTGATGGTTTTATAAGGGGCTTCCCCTTTTGCTCGTCTCTCATTGTCTCTCCTACCACCATGTGAAGAAGGATGTGTTTGCTTCCTCTTCTGCCACAATTGTAAGTTTCCTGAGGCTTCCTCAACCATGCAAAACTGTGAGTCAATTAAGCCTCTTTCCTTTATAAATTGCCCAGTCTTGGGTATGTCTTTATTAGCAGCATGAGAGTGGAAGAATACACCCTCTTTTCCTGAGCTGACAGGTTAAGCCTTTATAGGTAAGAGGGGTGTGTGTGTGTGTGTGCGCGCACCTGTGTGTGCAGGAAGAAGGCTGGGTGGTGGGGGTGGCAGACAGTAGAAGGACAGGAGATTAAAGCAAATAAAAAGAATCAAAAGGATAGGAGAGAGAGAGAGAAAGAGCTATAGTAGAGGTAAATAATATCCAAGTGAACAATGGTAATTTACTTTAGGAAAGGGCAGCAGGCATCAGCTGATAGCTAACATTGTCTGCCTATGAAAGGAGTAACCTTTCTAGAGAGCAAGAGATTCACACAGGGAAGGGAGGAAATGAAGTTGTTCTTTGCGGTGCGAGATAGAGTGTGGCTTTCATTAAAATAAGAAAGGTCGAAGAAAGCAGGTGTTGAAAGTTGGCAGAGTTCTAGCAAAACCATTCATGGTGCCCTGAAGCAGGGGCCTTGCCACCAGCAGGAATAGGCTGTTCAGCTCCATAGCTGAGCTGCTCCTCCCTGCCCTGGCCTCCTCATTGTAGATAACCAGTCTCGTGCATACTTTGGCAGAAATATGCAGCACAAAATCTTTTTGGTCTCTGTGTGAAGATTAGTTAAATTACAAGTACTCAGTTTAGACAATGAGTTCAACTTGACAAAGAATCCTTACAGATATTTGTGTTGTTACAGAATTTGTTCATTCCACCAGTGCTCGGTGTGCTGGTTTCATCTGTGCACTAAAAAGACTTGGTTCATGGTTCTCCTTTCTACACATGAAAGGCTGTGGGGTGGGAGACAGTGTCCCCAGCTTTACGATTCTTTGTTTTTTCTCTGAAAACAAGTCATATGTATGTATGTATATGTATGTATATATATGTTTTTCCATCAGGACTCAGCTAGCTAGAGCCAGATCTCTTAAGGGTTTTATTGTTGACTTTTATGGGTTAAATAAGGTACCCCACCCCCACCAGTTCATATGTTGATGTCCCAACACTTGGCATCCCAGAATCCCAGAATATGATCTTATCAGGAAATAGGGTCAGTACAGATGTAACTAGCTGAGATGTGGTTATACTGGCGCAAAAGAGCCACTAATGCAATATGACTGGTGTCTTTATGAAAAGGGAAAATTTGGGCACAGATACATACACAAGGAGAATGCCATGTGAACATGTAGACAGCCATTGAGAAGCCAACAAGTGATGTCTAAGGCTGAATACAGTGGCTCATGCCTGTAATCCTAGGGACTTGGGAGCCTAAGGTAGGAAGATTGCTTGAGTCCAGGAGTTGGAGATCAGCCTGGGCAACATAGTGAAACCTCCATTTCTAAAAAAATTTTTTAGAATTAGCCAGGTGTGGTGGTGTCTGCTTGTAGTCCCAGCTACTAAGGAGCCTGAAGCAGGAGGATTGCATGCGCTCAGGAGTTGGAGGCTCTAGTGAGTTTTGATGGCACCACTGCACTCTAGCCTGGATGACAAAGTGAGACCCTGTCTCTCAAAAAAGATTATATCTTTATATAACAAAAATTGGCCAGGTGCAGTGGCTCATGCCTGTAACCCCAGCACTTTGGGAGGCTTAGGAGGGTGGATCACTTAAGGTTAGAAGTTCAAGACTAGCTCATCTCCACTAAAAAAATACAAAAATCAGCCAGGCATGGTGGCTCATGCCTGTAGTCCCAGCTACTTGGGAGACTGAGGCATGAGAATCCTTGGACCCAGGAGGCGAAGGTTGCAGTGAGCTGAGATTGACCACTTCACTCCAGCCTGGGTGACAGAGTGAGACACCGTCTCAAAAAAAAAAAAAAAAAAAGAAATGAGGCTTAGAACAGATCCCTCCCTCAGAGCCCTCAAAAGGAACCAATCATGCTAACACCTTGACCTTGGATTTCTAATCTCCAGAGCTCTGAGAGAATACACTTTTTTTTCTTTGTTTAAAAAAATTTTTTGTAGGTACATAGTAGATGTATATATTTATGGGATACATGAGATGTTTTGGTACAGGCATGCAATGCATAATAATCACATCATGGAAAATTGGATGTCCATCCCCTCAAGCATTTATCCTTTGTATTACAAACAATACAAATATACACTTTTAGTTATTTTAAAATGTACAATTAAACTATTACTGACTGTAGTCCTCTTGTTGTGCTACCAAATACTACGTCTTTTCCTCCTTTCTAACGATTTTCTTTTGTACCTGTTAATCGTCCCCACCTACCCCCATTCCCTCCACCACCCTTCCCAGCCTCTAGTAACCATCCTTCTATTCTCTATTCCCATGAGTTCAATTGTTTTGATCTACAAATAAGTGAGAGCATGCAATGTTTGTCTTTCTGTGCCTGGCTTATTTCACTTACGAAAATGACTTCCAGTTCCATCCATGTTGTGGCAAATGACAGAATCTCATTCTTTTTAATGGCTGTATAGTACTCCATTGTGAATAGTACCATATTTTCTTATCCATTCATCTGTTGATGGACTCAGGTTGCTTCCAAATCTTGGTTTTTGTGAATGGTGCTGCAACAAAACATGGGAGTGAAGCTATCTCTTTGATATACTGATTTCCTTTCTTTGGGGTTTATGCCCAGCAGTGGGATTGCTGGATCATATGGTAGCTCTAGTTTTAGTTTAGTTTTTTTTTTTTTTTTTTTTTGATACAAAGTCTCTCTGTCTTCCAGGGTGGAGTGCAGTGGTGCAATCTTGGCTCACTGCAACCTTTGTCTCCTGGATTCAAGTGATTGTCCTGCCTCAGCCTCCCAAATAGCTGGGACCACAGGCACACACCACCATGTCTGGCTAATTTTTGTATTTTTAGTAGAGACAGGGTCACATGGTTTGGCTTTGTCCCCATTCAAATCTCAACTTCAATTGTATTTCCCAGAATTCCCATGTGTTGTGGGAGGGACCCAGGGGGAGGTAACTGAATCATGAGGGCTGGTCTTTCCTGTGCTATTCTCATGATAGTGAATAAGTCTCACAAGACCTGATGGGTTTATAAGGGGTTTCCACTTGTGCATCTTCCTCATTGTCTCTTGCTGCCACCATGTAAGAAGTGCCTTTTGCCCTCTGACATGATTATGAGACCTCCCCAGCCATGTGGAATTGTAAGTCAAATTACACCTCCTTTTCTTCCCAGTCTCAGGTATGCCTTTATCAGCAGCATAAAAATGGACTAATACATGGGGTTTTACCATATTGGCCAGGCTGGTCTCAAACTCCTGACCCCAAGTGATCTGCCCACCTCAGCCCCCTAAAGTGCTGGGAGTACAGGCATGAGCCACCATGCCCAGCCTCTATTTTTAGTTTTCTGAGGAACCTCCAAACTGTTCTCCATAGTGGTTGTACTAATTTACATTCCCACCAACAGCATACATGGTTTCCCTTTTATCCACATCCTCACCAGCATTTGTTGATGATACACTTGTGTAATTTAAGGCACCTAGTTTGTGGAATCTTGTTATGGTGGCCCTAGTAAATGAATACACTGATCACTGTGAGTATTTAATTAGAGATAACAAACGTTTGGATATTGCAAAGGTAATTATGTTTCCAGAATCTGAAAAAGTCTTCACCAGAGTGCCTTCTGGGTGTTCCTCAGCTTTCGCCTTTAATTAGATCTTTATTCCAAATAGCCTAGAAAATCTCATTTGAAATTACTCCAAGTTATTATAATAGATGATAAAATGTATTATTTGTTCAAATGATATATCCATTTCCCACCCCTGCTGTGCTTCCCTGAAGCAGGACTACACCCACTTCACTGGCTTTGAATTTGGTCCTGTGACTTGATTTGACCAGAGGTGTGTGGGTGGATGGGATGTATGCCACACAACAGAAGCTTCAAATGCCATTGCTTTAAATGCAGTCACTCCTTGCATGCTGCTGTCTGCCATGAGCATATGCATGTCTCAGATAGGAGCGTCTCCATTGACTTGGGTCCTGAAATGAGAAGACATGTAGAGCCCAGCCTAGCCCAGTGGAACCGAGTGAAGTACTGTGGGTGAGAAGCAAATGATAGAGGTTTCATTTATTATTATGATAAAATCTGACAGATATCCAAATGAACAACCATAGTGATAGCAGCAGGAGGCAGACAAGCTCCTAGGCAGGCAGGGGTGGGTCCCTGGTGAAACTGGACCTTCAAACCAAAGACAGTTTAAAGCCTGAAAATCAAGGTACGAGTCTCAGATAAATCCATGGGCCGGATGGAGAACCTCTCTTCCTGTTTAGTGTGCTTTCCTCTGACTGATGCCACCCTTCCCCTATTTTGCATATACCTACCCTTCCCTAATTGGTTTTTTACACTGTTATGCCCATCTTTGAGTGGTGCCTTTTTTTTAAAATTTTTTTATTTTTTTTTATTGATCATTCTTGGGTGTTTCTCACAGAGGGGGATTTGGCAGGGTCATGGGACAATAGTGGAGGGAAGGTCAGCAGATAAACAAGTGAACAAAGGTCTCTGGTTTTCCTAGGCAGAGGACCCTGTGGCCTTCCGCAGTGTTTGTGTCCCTGGGTACTTGAGATTAGGGAGTGGTGATGACTCTTAACGAGCATGCTGCCTTCAAGCATCTGTTTAACAAAGCACATCTTGCACCGCCCTTAATCCATTTAACCCTGAGTGGACACAGCACATGTTTCAGAGAGCACAGGGTTGGGGGTAAGGTCACAGATCAACAGGATCCCAAGGCAGAAGAATTTTTCTTAGTACAGAACAAAATGAAAAGTCTCCCATGTCTACTTCTTTCTACACAGACACGGCAACCATCCGATTTCTCAATCTTTTCCCCACCTTTCCCCCCTTTCTATTCCACAAAACCGCCATTGTCATCATGGCCCGTTCTCAATGAGCTGTTGGGTACACCTCCCAGATGGGGTGGTGGCCGGGCAGAGGGGCTCCTCACTTCCCTGTAGGGGCGGCCGGGCAGAGGCACCCCTCACCTCCCGGACGGGGCGGCTGGCCGGGTGAGGGGCTGACCCCCCGACCTCCCTCCCGGACGGGGCGGCTGGCCGGGCGGGGGGCTGACCCCCCCACCTCCCTCCCGGACGGGGCGGCTGGCCGGGCGGGGGGCTGACCCCCCCACCTCCCTCCCGGACGGGGCGGCTGGCCGGGCGGGGGGCTGACCCCCCCACCTCCCTCCCGGACGGGGCGGCTGGCCGGGCAGGGGGCTGACTCCCCCACCTCCCTCCTGGACGGGGTGGCTGCCGGGCGGAGACGCTCCTCACTTCCCAGATGGGGTGGCTGCCGGGCGGAGGGGCTCCTCACTTCTCAGACGGGGCGGCTGGGCAGAGACGCTCCTCACCTCCCAGACGGGGTCACGGCCGGGCAGAGGCGCTCCTCACATCCCAGACGGGGCGGCGGGGCAGAGGCGCTCCCCACATCTCAGACGATGGGTGGCCGGGCATAGACGCTCCTCACTTCCTAGATGGGATGGCGGCCGGGCAGAGACGCTCCTCACTTCCTTGATGGGATGGTAGCCGGGAAGAGGCGCTCCTCACTTCCTAGATGGGATGGCGGCCGGGCAGAGACGCTCCTCACTTTCCAGACTGGGCAGCCAGGCAGAGGGGCTCCTCACGTCCCAGACGATGGGCGGCCAGGCAGAGACGCTCCTCACTTCCAAGACGGGGTGGCGGCCAGGCAGAGGCTGCACTCTCGGCACTTTGGGAGGCCAAGGCAGGCGGCTGGGAGGTGGACGTTGTAGCGAGCCGAGATCACGCCACTGCACTCCAGCCTGGGCACCATTGAGCACTGAGTGAACCAGACTCCGTCTGCAATCCCGGCACCTCGGGAGGCCGAGGCTGGCAGATCACTCGCGGTTAGGAGCTGGAGACCAGCCCGGCCAACACAGCGAAACCCCGTCTCCACCAAAAAAATACGAAAACCAGTCAGGCGTGGGGGTGCGCGCCAGCAATCGCAGGCACTCGGCAGGCTGAGGCAGGAGAATCAGGCAGGGAGGTTGCAGTGAGCCGAGATGGCAGCAGTACAGTCCAGCTTCGGCTCGGCATCAGAGGGAGACCGTGGAAAGAGAGGGAGAGGGAGACCGTAGGGAGAGGGAGAGGGACGTGCCTTTTTTTTTTTTTTAGCCAGTTTTGCATACTTACAAACCAGTGAGCATGCACTCCCCCATTCTGATCCATAAAAGCCCCTGCTCAGCCACACTGGGGGACTACCCACCTTCGAGGGGATCTACCTGCTTTAGGTGGGGGACCACCCACTTCCAGTCCCCTCTCTGCTGAGAGCTGTTCCGTCACTCAATAAAACTCTTCTCTGCTCTTCACCCTTCAGTTGTCAGTGTAATCTCATTCTTCTTGGACATGGGACAAGAACTCAGGACCTGTGAACCCAAATCTCATCTTGAAATATAGCTCCCACAATTCCCAAATGTTGTGGGAGGGACCTAGTGGGAGGTAATTGAATCATGGGAGCAGGTCTTTCCCATGCTGTCCTCATGATAGTGAATGTCTCACGAGATCTGATAGTTTTATAAAGGGGAGTTTCCCTGTACAAGCTCTCTTCTCTTGTCTGCCTCCATGTGAGACATGCCTTTCGCTTTCTGCCATGATTCTGAGGCCTCCCCAGCCACATAGAACTGTAAGTCCATTAAACCTCTTTCTTTTGTAAATTGCCCAGTCTCAGGTATATCTTTATCAGCAGTGTGAAAATGAACTAATACATGTGGGTACGAAAAAGGCTATAACACTGTAGCTCCAGTTTTCCACCAGTGCCAGGTAGTCACTCCATGTGACAGGAAGCAGTGGGAGGGCTGGGCCAGCCCTGGAGCTGGGGGCTGGAGTGGGGTAGCGAGACCAAACAAGTTGTAACACAAACAGGCTGAAGCAAGCCAAGTGCAGCCACATGGCTGAGCAGGCGGGGTACCTCCAGCTGTGAGCTCAGAGCTGAGTGGAGCCCCAGTGGGGGCGTTGCCAGCTGGGTAGGTCTCCAGCTGGTGAAACAGCACTGAAAAAGTCCTGCATCAATAGTTTTCATTTGTGTGTCAGATTCTGTGCTAGGAATTCCCATATGTTATCATGGGTAGGGCCTTTATATGGTTTGGATGTTTTGCCCCCTGCAAATCTCATATTGAAATGTGACCTCCAAGGCCAGGCATGGTGGTGCATGCCTGTAACCCCAGCACTTTCAGAGGCAGAGGCAGGTGGATTGCTTGAGGCCAGGAGTTTGAGACCAGCCTGGCCTATGTGGTAAAACCCCGTCTCTACTAAAAATACAAAAATTAGTCCGGCATGGTGGTGAGCACCTGTAGTCCCAGCTACTCCAGAGGCTGTGGTGGGAGGATTGCTTGAACCCAGAAGGTGGAGGTTACAGTGAGCCAAGATGGACTCCAGTTTGGGGGACAGAGTGAGACCCTGTCTGAAAAAAAGGAAATGTGACCTCCAGTGTGGAGGTGGGGCCTAGCAGGAGGAGTTTGGGTCATGGGGGTGGATCCCTCATGAATGGCTCGTGGTTGGTAATGATTGAGTTCTTGTTCTGAGTTCACATGAGGTCTGGTTGTTTAAAAGAATGTGGCCCTTCCCCGATCCTTTCTTGCTCCCACTCTCACTATGTGACACCCCAAATCCCCCTTCACCTTCTGCCATAATTGAAAGCTTCCTGGGCCTCACCAGAAGCCAAGCAGATGCTGGTACCATGCTTCTTGAACAGCCTGCAGAACTGTGAGCCAAACAAACCTCTTTTCTTTCTAAATTACCCAGCCTCAGGCATTTCTTTATAGTAACGCACAAAATGGCCTAATGCAGGCCTCTACACCCCTGATGTATTTCTATTCCATGTTGAGGAAAGGGGCTCAAGGAGGTTAAGTAACTTTCTAACTCAAGCAGTGGCAGAGTTGGGAAATGAATCCAGATGATGTAGACTCTAAAATCAGTTTTCTTTCCTGCCTGCTAGGATCCTCCTGTCTCAGTCATTCCTGTTGTTCTTCATGATGCTAAAGAATTCTCACTGAGGCCAGGCACGGTGGCTCACGCCTGTTATCCTAGCACTTTGAGAGGGTGAGGTGAGTGGATTGCTTGAGCCCAGGAGTTTGAGACCAGCCTGGGCAACATGGTGAAACCTTTTCTCTACAAAAAAATACAAAAATAAGCCAGGTGTGGTGGCACATGCCTGTAATCCCAGCTATTTGGGAGGCTGAGGCAGGAGGATCTCCTGAGCCTGGGAGGTGGAGGCTACAGTGAGCTGTGATTGTGCCACTGCATTCCAACCTGGGTGACAGAGCAAGATCTTATCTCAAAAAAGAGGAAGAAAAGTCTCATTGGAATTGATTATATTACAGTATCTTTTGTCAAAAGTCTGTTGGAACCCAGAACCCCTTATGTCCATACCTGGCATTGGTTCCTGTAGGAGTTTGGTGAGATTTTACTCTGGGTGGCCTTTCATATATTCTCAACAAATCTCTCTTTTTCTTCCCATAGATCTTTCAAACTTTTACATTCCCTTAAGTCTTTCACTCCTCATGTCCTCCTTATCTTTTTTCTTTTCTTTTCTTTTTTTTTTTTTTTTTTGAGACGAAATCTTTCTCTGTTGCCCAGGCTGGAGTGCAGTGGCACAGGCCTGGCTGCAACCTTCACCTCCTGAGTTCAAGCCATTCTCCTGCCTCAGCCTCCTGAGTAGCTGGGACTACAGGCATGTGCCACCACGCCCAGCTAATTTTTGTATTTTTAGTAGAGACAGGGTTTCACCATGCTGGCCACGCTGGTCTTGAACTCCTGACCTCAGGTGATTTGCCCGCCTTGGCATCCCAAAGTGCTGGGATTACAGGCATGAGCCACCATGCCCGGCCTTCCTTATTCTTACCAATGATTTTTTTCTTTCATTTTAGGAGGGATTTTTAAACTTAAGCAAGTACCAGAATCACTGGAGGGTGATTCTGGTTTCCTTTTTCTTCTTTTTTTAGAGATGGGGTCTCATTCTCTTGCCCAGGCTAGAGTGCAGTGGCACTGTCATAGCTCACTGCAGCCTCCAACTCCTGGGCTTAGATGAGCCCCCCTCCTCAGCCTCCTGAGTAGCTGGGACTACAGGCAAATGCCACCATGCCTGGCTAATTAAAAACAATTTTTTAGAGATGGGGTATTGCTATGTTGACCAGGCTGGTCATGAACTCCTGGCCTCTAGTGATCCTCCTGCCTTGGCCTCCCAAAGTTTTGGGATCACAGGCATACACCACCATGCCTTGCTGCATGACTCTGTTAAGCACAGAGTGCTGGGCCTCACCCCCAGAGTTTCTGATTAAGTAGGTCTGGGGCAGGGCCTTAGCTTAACTTTTCTCACAAGTTCTCTGCTGATGCTGATGTTGCTGGCCCAGGGATGACACTCTGAGAACTACTGGTTTAGAGAAAATAATAGTTATTAAAAGAGAACTTCCTCAGTGACTTGCCACTACTGCCACTTCTTGACACTTCCCTCCTTTCTACCTGCAACGTTAACGTGAAGGCTGGCTGCTTCCACTTGTGATCTGGATCCTAATGCTGTCTGTTTCCTCAGATGTGGTTCAATCAATTTTTCACTTTTTCTTTTTTTGAGATGGAGTCTTGCTCTGTTGCCCAGACTGGAGTGCAGTGGTGCCATCTCGGCTCACTGCAACCTCCCCTTCATGGGTTCAAGTGATTCTCCTGCCTCAGCCTCCTGAGTAGCTGGGATTACAGGGACGCACCACCACACCTGGCTAATTTTTGTATTTTTAGTAGAGACAGGGTTTCACTGTGTTGGCCAGGCTGGTCTCGAAATCCTGACCTCAGATTATCTGCCTGCCTTGGCCTTCCAAAGTGCTGGGGGCATGAGCCACCGTGTCTGGCCTCCTCTGGTTTCTCAATCACTGTTGTGAAGGGACTTTGCAGATGAAATTGAGTTTACTAGTCAGCTGAATTTAAACAGAGAGAGAGCATTCTGGATTATCTGGGTGGACTCAGTGTAATTTTATGAGCCCTTAAAAGCAGAAAAGGAAGGCAGGAGAACCAACCGGGAGAGGTCAGGGAGATTTGAAGTGTGATCAAGATTTGACCTTGCCAGACAAGGTGGCTCATGCCTGTAATCCCAGCACTTTGAGAGGCCTAGGCAGGAGGATTGCCTGAGTCCTAGAGTTTGAGACCAGCCTGGGCAACATAGTGAAACACCATCTGTACAAATAGTTTTAAATTTGGCTGGGTGCGGTGGCTCACACCTGTAATCTCAGCACTTCAGGAGGCCTAGGCGGGCAGATCATGAGGTCAAGAGATTGAGACCATCCTGGCCAACATGGTGAGACCCCATCTCTACTAAAAATACAAAAATTAGCTGGCGTGGTGGTGTGCGCCAGCAGTCCCAGCTACTCGGGAGGCTGAGGCAGGAGAATCGCTTGAATCCAGGAGGCGGAGGTTGCAGTGAGCTGAGATCGTGCCACTGCACTCCAGCCTGGCAACAGAGTGAGACTCCATCTCAAAAAAAAAAAAAGAAAATTAACCCAGCATGGTAGCATGTGTTTGTAGTCCAAGCTACTTGGGAGGCTGAAGTGGGAGAATCGGTTGAGCCTGGGAGGTTGAGGCTGCAGTGAGTCATAATTGTACCACTGGATTCTAGCCTGGGCAACAGAGTAAGATCCTGCCTAAAACAAACAAACAAAATATTTGACCTGCCATTTCTGGCTTTGATAACGAAGCCAAGGATTGTAGGCAGCCTCTAGAAGGTAAGAATAATTTCCAGCTGGCAGCCAGCAAGGAAATGGGGATCTTAGTCCAACAATCACATGGAATTGAATTCTTCCAACAGCCGGAAAGAGAACATTCTTCCCTAGAGCCTCCAGGTAAAAGCCCAGCCAATCCACACTTTGATTTAGGCCAGTGAGACCCGAAGTGACTGTGACTTTCCAACGGGTTCTTCCTGCCCACTGCACAAACAAAATTTAATTCATGGAGATCATGGCATTGCAGTAAAGAGAGAGTTTTGTTGACATGAGGTCAGCCATGCCATGGGGGAGACAAAATTATTACTCAAATAAATCTCCCTGAGCATTTGGGGACTAGGCTTTTTCAAGGATAGTTTGGGGGAAGAGATGGGGGTGGCTCGGCAGTGGGTGCTTGCTGCTGATTGCTTGGGCGTGCAATTATAGGGGTTTGGGAAATAGTCTTCCTGCAGGCTGAGCTGCTTCTGAGTGGGGCTACGGGAGCTGGTTGGCAGGTGTCAGACGTACAAAAAACCTGATAGCATATCTCAAAAGGCCAATCTTAGGTTCTGCAATAGTGATGTTATCTGTAGGAGTAATTGGGGAGGTTGCATATCTTGATCTTGTGACCTCCAGAATAATGACTGGCAGTCGTTTATTTCTACACCTTGGCAGAATTCAGCCTCCTCTATCTTCCTAGGCTGGTGGTCTCTCATTAGCTTTACAAAGGTGGTTGAGTTCTGGGGAAGAGCTATTACCATTTAAACTATAAACTAAATGTCTCCCAAAGGTAGCTTCACCTAAGCCCAGGGATGTCTAAGGGCAGCTTGAGGGCCAAAGGCACGATGGAGGTTTGGCCAGATCAGATCTTCTTCACTGTTATGATTTTCTTACTGTTATAAATTTTGCAAAAGCAGTTTTGCAATCTGCTTGGCTTCTGAACTACAGAACCATGGGATAAAAAGTGTATGAGTTTTAAGGCATTGAGTTTGTGCTTATTTGTTACAGCACCATTAGGAAGCTAATACACCACTTTCTCATCTTTCATTCACTCTTTTGGCAATTGATTTCAGTTTTCTCCTCCATCACTCTACTGAAACAATTATGATCAAGTTTTCAGAGATATTTTGTGGTGTAATCCTACAGATGCATTTCAGGCCTATCTAATTTGATACCTTTGTAGTATTTGAAGCTGCCTGTCACAACTCTCACCTCCTTTAAGTTTCATGACGCCATGCTGTAGGTTTTTCTGTTTTCTTTCTGGTACTTCTCACTTTCCACCAATGGCTTCTTTTTCCTTTGCTGTCACTTTTTCCTTTGCTGATTGATATATTTGCATTCCCTAGAGTTCTAGCTTCTCTTCTCATTTTATGATCTCTCCTTGAGTGAGCTCTTTTTTTTTCATGACTTCTACTAAATAATGATGAAAGAACTTTCTGGGGCCAGGTGCGGTGGCTCACACCTATAATCCTAGCACTTTGAGAGGCCAAGGTGGGAGGATTGCTTGAGGCCCAGAGGTAGAGACCAGCCTGGGAAACATAGGGAGATCCTATCTCTATAAAAAATAAAAATAAGTTGTGAGGGGAGGAAAAACTTTTCCTCCACCCTTGTATGTTCAATGCCTGGGGCCTGTGAATTAAACTAATATAAGACAGATTAACAGGAAAAAGATATATAGTTTGTATTACTAGTTATGTGCACAGGAGTTCACAGACATAAAACTCAAAGAAGTAGTTAGACTTGGGGGATTACATACCATTTTAAACAAAGGAAAAGTGGGTTTGGGCTTTGACAGATGATAAATCATGGAAAAATAATTAGGAAATATATAGAAGAAACTAGTGAAGGTAAGGGTCATTGTGGCAAGGTTTGTTTACCTTACTAAACAGGAGTTGGGATAGCAGGCTCTCCATCTCTGGGGATAAAAATCACTCTCCTCCTCCTGGTTCAGAAGAGGCAGACACCTTCATGAAACACATTTATGCCCTACTTTTAGTTAGATAAGGGGCAGGCAGAGAACTCTTCCAGCATCTGCTGATTCTCAATTACCTTCACCTCAAAATAATTTCTGTGCTGAAGTGGCATATTCCATTGCCAAAGCCAGAAACCTGCAGTCATCTTTAGCTCCTGTTCATCATTTGCATACAATCAGTCATCAACTTCTTTGGTCATCTTTATTCTCACTTCCTTTACTTTATGGTTTCCTTATTTTTAAGCTATGGTGATATTGACAATGATAATATGAATAACTAACATTTATTGAACTGTTACCACATGTGACTATGAAAAGCGCTTTATATGTATTTTCTTTCTCTTTCCTTTTCTTTTTTCTTTTTTTTTGTTTTGAAACAGGGGTTTGCTCTGCCACCTGGGCTGGGGTGCAGTGGTGTAATCATAACTCACTGCAGCCTCAACCTCCTAGGCTCAAGCAATCCTCTTGCCTTAGCCTCCCAAATAGCTGGGAACACAGGCACGTACTACTGTGCCTGGCTAATTTTCTTATGTTATTCTCACAATAACTCTATAACTCTACTTGATGAGTATTATTATTAAATCCATATGCCAGATTATGAAACTGAACCTTAGGAGATTAAGAAAAGTGCTCAAAGTCCTATGATTAGCACGTGGCAGAACTTGAACCAATCCTAGGTCTTTCTACCCCACATTTACTACTTCATACAGAAAGTCTATGGTAGCACTGACAGGAATGGGCCCGCACGCTGGAATTCAATCCCAAACAATGCTCAATTTCAGGTATGCCTACTTCCAGGACATTCTCCACAGTGAGTGGTCACAGAGTGATCTCTCTTAAATACACATTGATTCTCCTTCTTGCCTGATTACTGCTTTCCATGAATTTCTAAATTTTTCAAAATAAATTCTGAAGCCCTTTCTCAGTCCTTCAGCCCTTAATAGTTTCCTATAAACAGACTATGCCTAAACTATACTGCAGTACTGTATTTCCTGGCATGCAATATGCTTTCCTTGGGCTTCAGCACTCATTATTCCCTCTGCTGGGAACTGTTCCCCCTCCCACCCACTTCATCTGGACTCAATTCATACATTACCTCTTCTAAGAAAGGCTTCCTGACCTTCTCCTTCACTCAGTTTAGGCTAATTTTCCTCCCTCTGAGCTCCCTAGGCAACCTGCATAGACTTCTAAACTAAATGGCAGTAAGCACATTGTATTAGTCCATCTTCATGCTGCTGATAAAGACATACCCAAGACTGGGTAATTTGTGAAGAAAAAGAGGTTTAATGGACTCCCAGTTCCACATGGCTGGGGAGGCCTCACCATTATGGCAGAAGGTGAAGGAGGAGCAAAATCACATCTTACATGGTGGCAGGAAAGAGAGCATGTGCAGGGGAACTCCCCTTTATAAAACTGTCAGATCTCGTGAGACCTATTCACTATGATGAAAACAGCACTGGAAAGACCCACCACCACGATTCAATTACCTCCCACTGGGTCCCTCCCATGACATGTGGGAATTATGAGAGCTACAATTCAAGATGAGATTTGGGTGGGGTCACAGCCAAACCATATCACACACTAATTTGTAATTGTCTATTTCTCTCTGTTTTCCTCAGTAGTCTCCAGCTTCTTGAGGGACTGGACCCTGTCTTAATTATCTCTTTTTGCATCTCTAGGACCTAATAGGGTGCTTGGATCTTTTTTCTATTTTTTTTTTTTTTGACATGGAGTCTTGCTCTGTCACCCAGGCTGGAGAACAGTGGCGTGATATTGGCTCACTGCAACCTCCACCTCCTGAGTTCAAGTGATTCTCCTGCTTCAGCCTGCCAAGTAGCTGGGACTACAGGCATGGACCAACATGCCCAGCTAACTTTTGTATTTTTAGTGGAGACAGGGTTTCACCGTGTTGGCCAGGCTGGTCTTGAACTCCTGATCTCCAGTGATCTGCCCACCTCAGCCTCCCAAAGTGCTGGGATTACAGGCATGAGCCACTACACCCAGCTGGTACTTGGCTCTTAGTAAATGTTAAGTTAATGAATACATGTGCTGAATAAAGTAGATTCTAAATAAACATTTCTTGCTCTATGATTAAATCATCCTCACATCAATATTTCTAAAAATTTTAAAAACTAAGAGAAAATGAGCACAATGTCTTGTTTTCTTTTAAATACCAGATCTGATCTACAAGAGTAATTATTAGCTCTTTATCAGAAAACAAATACACACTCAGGGCTAGGTGCAGTGGTTCTCTCCTGTAATCCCAGCCACTCAGGACGCTGAGGTGGGAGGATCCTTTGAGGCCAAGTGTTTGAGGCTGCAGTGAGCTATGATCACACCACCACACTCCAGCCTGGGTAACAGAGTGATATTCAGTTTTTAAATAAATAAATAAAATACACACTCAGGCTTCTGGTGCATTTGAGTGGAAACAGAGATGATCTACTGTCTGAACTATTGTAAGGAATAAGATAAAGTATAACATGAGAGGTCTAATTTAATACTTGCCTCATGCACAAGAAAAACCCCACCATACCTAGGAGTACATATAACCAATGAGGTAAAAGATCTCTACAAAGAGAACTACAAAACACACCTAAAAGAAGTCAGAGATGACACAAACAAATGAAAAAAATTCCATGCTCATGGATTAGAAGAATCAATATTGATAAAATAGCCATACTGTCCAAAGCAATCTACAGATTCAATACTATTCCTATCAAATTACCAATGTCATTTTTCACAGACCTTGAAAAATCTATTATAAAGCTCATATGGAACCAAAAAGAACTCGAATAGCCAAAGCAAAGCAAAAAGAAAAAGCTGAAGGTATCACATTACTGGACTTCAAACTATGCTAGAAGGCTACAGTAACCAAAACAGTATAATACTAGTACAAAAACAGACACATAGAGCAGTGGATCAGAATAGAGAGAACCAGAAATAAAGCCACACACGTACAGCCATCTGATCTTTGACAAAGTCGACAATGACAAGCAATGGGAAAGGACTCCCTATTCAATAAATGGTGCTGGGATAGCTGCCTAGCCACATGCAGAAGAATGAAACTAGAACCCTCATTTCACCATATGCAAAACTTAATTCAAGATGGATTAAAAATTTAAATGTAAGACCTCAAACTATAAGAATCTTCAAAGAAAACCTGGGAAACACCATTTTGGATACTGGCATTGTGAAAGAATTTATGACTAAGTCCTCAAAAGATCTGTAACAGAAACAAAAATTGACAAGTGGGACCTAATTAAGCTAAAGACCGTCTGCACAGCAAAATAAACAACAGACAGAGAAAACAGACAACCTACAGAATGGGAGAAAATATTCACAAACTATGCATCTGACAAAGGTCTATTATCTAGAATCTATAAGGAATTGAAACAATAAGGCTGGCATGGTGGCTCATGCCTGTAATCCCAGCACTTTGGGAGGCTGAGGTGGGACGATTGCTAGAAGCCAGGAGTTCAAGACCAGCCTGGCCAACATGGCAAAACCCTGTCTCTACTAAAAATACAAAAATTAGCTGGGTACGGTGGTGCACACCTCAAATCTCAGCTACTTGAGAAGATGAAGTGTAAGAATCACTTGAACCTGGGAGGCAGAGGTTGCAGTGAGCCGATATCACACCCCCGCCCTCCAGCCTGGGTGACAGAGTGATACTCTGTCTCATAAAACAAACAAGTTCAACAAGCAAAAACCAAATAACCCCATTAAAAATAGGCAAAAGACATGAACAGATACTTCTCAAAAGAAGATACACAAGCGGCCAACAAAAATATGAAAAAATGCCCCATATCACTAATCATCAGAGAAATGCAAATCAAACCCACACTAAGATACCATCTCCCACCAGTCAGAATGGCTATTATTAAAAAGTCAAAACACAACAGATGCTGGTGAGGCCGCAGAGAAAAGAGAACATTTATAAACTCTAGTTGGTGGGAATGTAAATTAGTTCAGCCACTGTGGAAAGCACTTTGGAGATTTCTCAAATAATTTAAAACAGAGCTACCATTTGACCCAGCAATCCTATTACTGGGTATATACCCAAAGGAAAATAGATAGTTATACCAAAAAGACACATTCACTTGTATGTTTATCACCATGCTATTCACAATCGCAAAGATGTGGCATCAACCTAGGTGCCCATCAATGGTAGACTGGATAAAGAAAATGTGGAATACTTCCCAAAGGTGGCATGTGAATTAGTTAAAAATATTAAAAAAGAAAATGTGGAATACTACATAGCTATAAGAAGGAATGAATTTATGTCCTTTGCAGCAACATGGATGCAGCTGGAGGTCTTTATCCTAAGTTAATTAGCATAGAAACAGAAAACCAAATACTGCATGTTCTCATTTAAAAGTGGGAGCTAAACACTGGATACTCATGAACATAAAGATGGGAACGATAGACACTGGAGACTGTTAGAGGAGGAAGGGAGTGAGGGCGTCATGGGTAGAAAAATTAACTGTTGGGTACTATGCTCAGTACCTGGGTGATGGGCTCATTCTTATTGCAAACCTCAACGTCACACAATATACCCAGGTAACAAAGCTGTACATGTACCCCCTGAATCTAAAATAAAGGTTGAAAAAAAAAATACTTGCCTCATACAAGAAAACTAACAAATAATTCCATGCTAATTTCTCCTTCCCACGTTCTCTTTCTCTGCTTGATTCTTCTTTTCTTTCCCCCTTTCCATCTCAGACGGATGCCATGTTACTGGAATAAAGAGCTCTGGATGCAAATATGGGAGTTTGAATCTCAGCCCTGCTGCTGACTGTTTTTTTTTTTTTTTTTTTGAGGCAGAGTTTCCCTCTTGTTGCCCAGGCTGGAGTGCAATGATAGAATCTTGGCTCACTGCAACCTCTGCCTCCTGGGTTCAAGCAATTCTCCTGCCTCAGCCCCCTGAGCAGCTGGGATTACAGGCGTGCGACACCACGCCTGGCTAATTTTTGTATTTTTAGTAGAGATGGGGTTTTGCCATGTTGGCCAGGCTGACCTTGAACTCCTGACCTCAGGTGATCCACCCACCTTGGCCTCCCAAAGTGCTGGGATTACAGGTGTGAGCCACCGTGCCTGGCCTGTTATTCTTAAATTGCATAGGCTCTTGGGACTCTTCGGAGAGTCCCCATCAGCAGGAAGGCCCTCACTAGATGAGGCCCCACAGCCTCCATAAGAAATAAATTCCTTTTCTTTATAAATTAAAAAAATTAGTAATTTTCATTTTATTCCTTGAGTTACATTTTTTTGTTTCACCTCCAGCCCCTAATATAGTGCTAGGCACTGAGTTTATGCAGTAACATTTATTCCTTCAGGAAATATCTATCGGGTCTCTATGATTCCTAGTTAAAGAGCCTGTGCAGGAAGAAGGATTTCTGTAGTTAGGGAGGGATGACAAGTTCTGAATTCCGGGGTGAGGCTGCAGCTGCTGACCTGGACAGCCAGGACTGGCTCCAAGCCATCTGCTTGGCCAGCACGTGATTGGTTGGACATAGAAAGGAATAAAAACCAATCAAGAAAGATGAACTTTAGTGGAATTAAGCAATTTGAAAGCAGCTGCAGAGATCCTAGGACCCCTATAAGAGCAAGCAGATTTGCCTGTCTTTTATGTTGGACTCCCATCAAACTTGTTAATGTCAATAAGAGAGAAATTGAGCTTGTCTTTGTTGTGAGCCTAATGTGGGCATTTGCTGGTTGCACTAAATTTCTCTCTTTGATTTCCTTCTCTTTGCCTTTTTCTGTTCCATTTATTTAGTGTCCCTCTTGGTAGTGGGTCCGTTAGCCTTTATTTTCAAACAAAGGAAGGGAGAGAGAGAAAAAGAGAAGTTTCAAAACCAGGAAGAAACTTTAGAGTGAGTGGTTAGCCTTTCTCCAAGGTGATATGCTTAGATCCTCCCAGTTCAACTCCGGGGAAATTCTACTACAGATTGATGGGTGCTTTGGTGATGCTGGGGTACAGTTATGGAATAGGTTGGAATTCCTACCCAAGGAGAGCTGATTGCCTCCATCCCTGCTGAACCACTACTCAATATGAAATATCTCATTTGGAAAGATTGGTAACTTACGCTTCTAACTTACTTCTAAGTAGTAAATTAGGTTGTAGATAACACAAAACTCATTTCAAACTGAGTTAAGCAAAAGGGGGAGTTTATTAGCACATATGGTATAGCAGAAAAATCCCAGGGGAAAGCTGGCTTCAGGTACTGTCATCTGAAATTAGTTTCTCTCCATCTCTTATTTTTATTTTTTTAATTTTCTTCTTCTTCTTCTTCTTCTTTTTTTTTTTTTTTTGTAGAGACGAAGTCTTGCTAAGTTGTCCAGGCTGGTCTTGAACTCCTGGCCTCAAGGAATCTACCCACCTTGGCCTCCCAAAGTGCTGAAATTGCAGGTGTGAGCCACTGCACCTGGCCCTATCTCTTGGTTTTATAGTCAGCTTCATCCACAGGCTTCATGTGAGACCTCTGGCAATTGTAAGATAATATCTTCCTAAATCTAAGTTCAACAGAAAAGAAAAAATTAAGTCTCTTTCCTATAGCTCCTCCATAAATCCTGGGATTAACTATGATTGGACCAATTTGATATTACTGAACCAATCACTGTATCCAGGAAATGAAGTTTGCCGTTTGACCAGATCTAGGTCACATGTTCACATTGATCAATCACTGGACTAGAGAATGTTGAGGCCACGACTGTCAACCCGAGGTTACATATTCCACTCCTAATCTGGGGTGGATACCCTCCAAATCATGTAGCTTGAGAATAAAAAAAAGCTTGTATTCCTGAGGAGAGTAAAGGAAATTGGGATACTATTGCCATTAAAATAAATCAATAAAGGAATGGATGCAAGGCAACCAAACCAGATAATTATTAATATCCACAAAAACTGGGTAGTGGGTGGAAACAGAATTTCTCCTAAGTAAAATAATGCTATTCAAAGCCATAGTTAGACAACCACCCCTGAGGTTTCTGGACTGAATGCTTTATTCTAATAATTACCATAATCATATGAAGCATTTTATTTTATTTCACTTTATTTTGAGATGGAGTTTTACTTACTCTGCTGCCCAGGCTGGAGTGCAGTGATGCAATCTCTGCTCATTGCAACCTCTGCCCGCCAGGTTCAACCAATTCTCCTGCCTCAGCCTCCTGTGTACCTGGGATTACAGGTGCGCACCACCATGCCTGGCTAATTTTTATATTTTTTGTGGAGACAGGGTTTCATCATGTTGGCCAGGCTGGTCTTGAACTCCTGACCTCAAGTTATTTGCCCGCCTCGGCCTCCCAAAGTGCTGGGATTACAGGTGCGAGCCACAGTGTTCAGGCTGCAGCATTTTAATAATAGGTGCAATGATGTAGAATAGACTATTTTGTGACGTATTGTCTCATTTTATATATATTAGTGCTTTTTAAAAATTGTATTTTATTGTGGTAAGAGCGCTCAACATGAGATCCGATCTCTTTGCAACTTTTTAAGTGTACAATGCAGTATCGTTAACTGTAGGTTACAATACTATTATAGGTTATAACCTACACGTTACAGGCTATAATGTTGCACAGCAGATCTCCAGAACTTCATCTTGCTTAACTGAAACTGTATGCTGTTGATTAGCAGTACCCCATTTCCCTCTCCCCAGACCTGGCAACCACCATTCCACTCTTTGATTCTATGTGTTCGATTATTTGAGATACTCCCTATTGGTGGCATCATGCAGTATTTGTTCTTCTGTGATGAGACCTGTTTCACTTAGCATAATATCTTCAAGGTTTATCTTAGGTTAATGTTGTTGCATATTGCAGAACTTTGTTTTTTTAAGGTAGAATAATATTCCATTGTATGCATATACCACATTTTCTTTATCCATTCATCTACCGATAGATGTTTAGATTGTTTTCACATCTTGGCTATTGTGAACAGCGCTGTAATGAATATGAGAGTGCTAATACCTCTTTGAGGTCTTGATTTCAATGCTTTTGGATTTATGCCAGAGGCGGGATTGCTGGATTATATAGTAGTTCTACTTTTTTTTTTTTTTTTTTTTTTTTTGAGACAGGGTCTCTGTCACCCAGGCTGGAGTGCAGTGGCACTATCTCAGCAACCTGAAACCTCTGCCTCCCAGGGTCAAGCAATTCTCCTCTCTCAGCATCCTGAGTAGCTAGGATGACAGGTGCATGCCATCAGGCCTGACTAATTTTTTTTTTTTTTTTTTGAGATGTAGTCTCACTCTGTCACCCTGGCTGGAGTGCAGTGGCGCGATCTGGGCTCATTGCAACCTCCGTCTCCCAGGTTCAAGTCATTCTCCCGCCTCAGCCTCCCAAGTAGCTGGAATTACAGGCATCTGCCACCATGCCCGGTTAATATTTTTGTATTTTTAGTAGAGACAGGGTTTCACCATGTTGGCCAGGCTGGTCTCAAACTCCTCATCTTAAGTGATCCACCTGCCTCGGCCTCCCAAAGTGCTGGGATTACAGGTGTGAGAGACCACACCTGGCCACCTGCTACTTTTTTTAAACAAAAAGGATTTATTTAAAATAAAGCCTAAGAAAAGGTGTGTTGATTTTTGGGTAACAAGTAATGCCAATGCACTTATGTACAAATGAAGTAACAAAGTTGGCAAGGTCCCTTGCACTGCACTTGCTTATCTAACTATGTGCTTGCTTATAAATTACAGGGGCTAATCTTGAAATAAATCAGGCATAGAGACCCAGCTGCAGAATCCTCCCCATGTAGAGATTACCTCAAGGCAGTTAGTCTGCAACACAGCCATTGTCACCTTGAGATGGCACCAGCCCACGCTCCAGGTGGACAATAACTGAAGATGGCAGTCAGAACAAGACATACAGACCCTGCACCACTCCCGCATGCTTCCCATGCCAACTTCACTTTTTGAACACACTCACTTGCCTAAAGTTTTGAGATGGTTCCTTTGGGACTTGAGCCCAACCATCTCCTAGCTGCTAGCCTTTGAATACAGTTGCTTTCTTTTCAAAGCATCTTGCTTCTTTAATTTTGGTTTTCCAGTGGCAAGCAGCTGGACCTGAGTTTGGTTACGTTGGCAAGTAGAGTCTAAAATTCCAAAAAAGTTTATTTTTATTATTACTAATGTTCAGATAAAGTATATTCTCAATGCTCAATGAATACAATTGGCCCTTGAACAATGTGGTGATTATGGGCACCCCATGCAGTTGAAAATTTGTGTATAACTTTTGTCTCCCCCAAAACTTTACTAATAGCCTACTGTTGACTGGAAACCTTACCAATGACATAAATAGTCGATTATACGTATTTTGTGTTATATGCAGTATGTACTGTGTTCTTACAATAAGGTAAACTAGTGAAAAGAAAATGTTATTAAGAAAATCACACAGAAGAGAAAATACGTTTACTATTCATTAAGTGGAAGTGGATCATCATAAAGGTCTTCATCTTCATTGTCTTCACATTGAGGAGGCAGAGGAAGAGGAGGAAGAGAAAGATTTGATTGGTTTTGCTGTCTCAGGTGTGGCAGAGGCAAAGGAAAACTCACCTGAAATTCAAACCCATATTATTCAAGGATCAACTGTACTTCTTAATTTACCCAGTCTTTTGTGATGAGTGACAGTTTTTTATTAGTTTGAGGGTTAAAGAGAATGTTACCAAAGTAATAATATAGGCCATGATAAAAACAAAATATAATAAAAACAAAAATTAAAAAAAGAAAATAATTTAAATTTTACTTTAGAGATACAACTTTTAGAATACAAAATATTTGTTTAAAAAAGCCTAAAAAAAGGCTTGATGATTTTTGAGTAACAAGGAATGCTGATTCACTTATGTACAAATGAAGTAACAAATTTGATAAGATTATAGAAATTGAGTTAATTGTCACAAGGTGGGTGGTTAAAATAAGACTTCCATGACAAAAATAGTTTACACTCTTAGTGAACTAACAATTTGCTATAGCACACATTTTAACAAATGTAATTTCCTATAACAAACATTCATAGTATCAGAATTATAAATCAGCAATCATTGGCACTATTAAAGCAAATCAATATTACAGGAAAGCTCTTTGCCATTCTTGGTAAACATTCTTAGAAACAACTTTATGCTGACAAGATACAGATAAGTCTCGTTTAATGTAAATTTTATGGTAGGTAAGTTGTACGTAAATATTCACTAAGCTTTTTCTCAACTCTAACAAGATGATCATCTAGTTGAATACTTTGTCTTCTCAGAGCTCCTGTTCAACAGTCTTTGAGTCTTCCAATTCTTCTCAAGGGTTCCTCACTCAGCTGCTAATTAGGTTTTATAGCTTTTGGCTTCAGTTACATTTTCTTTCTGTTTTTTTTTTTTTTTTTTTTTTTTTTTAACACAGTTTTACTCTGTCATCCAGGCTGGAGTGCAGTGCCATGGTCTTGGCTCCCTGCAACCTCCACCTCTTGGGTTCAAGTGATTCTCGTGCCTCAGCTTCCTGAGTAGCTGGGATTACAGGTGTGTGCCACTATGCCAGGCTAATTGTTTTTTTTTTTTTTTTTTGTATTATTAGTAGAGACAGGGTTTCGCCATGTTGGTCAGGCTGGTCTCGAACTTCCTGACCTCAAGTGATCCACACGCTTTGGCCTCTCAAAGTGCTGGGATTACAGGAGTGTGCCACTGCACCCAGCCAAGTTATATTTTCTAGTCAAGGCTGAATTTTAAAAGATGAGGCACTCCTGAAGGAGAAATGTTATCAGTGGGCTGTGATTCCTCTGGTGGGCCCATGATTCAGGCTCTCACCACCACTGTGACCTGTGATTCTGGAATTTTACATCTCAGCCTGATGGGGACTGGGGAAATAGCTTACCACACTCAGTTTAAATGCTTTAAGATCAAGGATTCCCATCCTTTTTTGGGGGGCTCCCCGCATGAAATGCAGTTGTATAATAAATGCATGTGCATTGAAATTGATTCTGCTGCTCTCATCAAATCCAGGAGCAAAACCAAAGAGAATGTAATAGCAAGTAAATAATGTTACAGGTTACGACCCAGGTCTATACCTTGGGCTTTACATTTTTCTTGTTAATACTGTTGTTGTCTGAAGTGTTTCTGCCCAGAGTGATGCTTTCTTCTGGGCTTCATGGTCAAAGCTCAGAGCCCATGATTTTATTTTAACCCCATAACCAACCTTACATGAATCCTATCCTTATCTATTCCAAGTTGGTGAGCAAAAGGTTACTCACCAGAAGAAAATATTAAGTGCTAATATGCCAGTAACATCAACCTCAGTTTAGGAGAGCAAATTCTGTTTTTAAAATTTATTATTATTATTTTTTGAGATAGAATCTCTCTCTCGGCTCACTGCAACCTCTGCTTCCTGGGTTCAAGCGATTCTCGTGCCTCACCTCCCAGAGAGCTGGGACTAGAAGTGTGTACCACCATGCCCGGCTAATTTTTGTATTTTTAGTAGATATGGATTTTCATCATGTTGGCCAGGCTGGTTTGAACTCCTGGCCTTATGTGATCCACCCACCTTGGCCTCCTGAGGTGGATCACATTCTCTTTACTCCTCAACACTGAAGCGTTGGGACTGCAGGCGTAAACCACTGTGCTGGCAACATTTTATTATTATTATTTTTTATAGAGACATGGTCTTCCTATGTTGCCCAGGCTGGTCTCCAACTCCTGCACTTAAGCGATCCTCCTATCTTGGCCTCCCAAAGTGCTGGGATTACAGGCGTGAGCCACCACACCCTGCTCAAGTTCTAAAATACCCACCACAGTATGATTTTAATAAAAGATACCATTTTATGAAATTTTACCAGAGCTGCAAGGAAAAATCCTCTGGCAAAGGGTCCTTCTACATAGTTATCCTACTTAAGTTTGGATTTATTTTTTGGTGGAGGTTGCTACAATGGGGTGGGATAAGTCTTTCAAATGGAGCCATGTTGATATCTAGGAACAACCTCCTGCTTTCAGCATGGAACCTCAGGGAAAAGGTTACGGAACATGAAACCACAGTGATGAAAGCACTCACCTGATATTTCATGCCAAGAATGATTTATGTTTCCCTTGAACTCTGCCCACTTTGCTACCTGAGCCTCTTGTGGGTGTGGGGTGGTGATGAAGTTGTGGAAAAAACATGTGAACTCTAGATCTGACCCCGCTTGCCATCTTCAGGTATGTGATTGGTGTCTAAAGACACTTAGGATGTGTGTTGTGTTTACAGGAGGGTGACATTTTCTCTCCTTGGGGGAGACTTTCTATGTGCAAATGTGTGTGTGTGTGTGTGGGTGTGTGTGTGTATGTGTGTGTCTAGGAAGCCCTAGACCTGGATAAAACAGCTGGCTGCTAATTATATAATATTATTTAAAGATTGTCACTAAGAGTTTTCCCTCATCTGAACCATCTAAATATTCCACCATCAGTATTCACGGTGCCTACAGTTCTGCCAGTTATTCATGTTTTTAATTATGTTATGGGCTGACAGAGGCCTTGGTCAACATGCAAACATTTGAAGGTAGTTAATATATTAAATAATTAGCTGCAGCAACTTGACTTTCTCAGCTTATGTGACTTGCCACAAACAATTAACCACATCATCCAAGAGTGGAAAACTGGAATAATAAGTTTTGTTGAGGTGGTAGTGGGTGGTGGTTGAGGAGGAGTCAGGAAAGTTGTCAAGTCTGGGAGGACCCAGGGGTCACAGTGTGCTTCACTGGGTATCTCAAAGGGTAACCGGGACAACTAAGCCTCCTCAAAAGGTTTTGGCCATGCCATAGTCACCAAAACAGTGTGGTACTGGCATAAAAATAGGCATATTCTGTTCCATAAAAATGGAACATCTCTCACCTTATACAAAAATCAACTCAAGATGGATTAAGGGCTTAAACCTAAGACCTGAAACTATAAAATTTCTAGAAGATAACATTGGAAAAACCCTTCTAGAAATTGGCTTAGGCAAGAATTTCATGACCAAAAACCCAAAAGCAATTGTAATAAAAACAAAGATAAATAGCTGGGACCTAATTAAACTAAAGAGCTTTTGCACAGCAAAAGGAACAGTCAGCAGAGTAAACAGACAACCCACAGAGTGGGAGAAAAATCTTCACAATCTATACATTTGACAAAGAACTAATATCCAGAGTCTACAATGAACTCGAACAAATCAATAAGAAAAAAACAAACAATCCCATCAAAAAGTGGGCTAAGGACATGAATAGACAATTCTCAAGAGAAGATATACAAATGGCCAATGAACATATGAAAAAATGGTCAACATCACTAATGATCAGGGAAATGCAAATTAAAACCACAGAGCGATACCACCTTACCCCTGCAAGAATGGCCATAATCAAAGAAAAAACAGTAGATGTTGGCATGTATGTGGTGATCAGGGAACACTTCTACACTGCTGATGGGAATGTAAACTAGTGCAGCCGCTATGGAAAACAGTGTGGAGATTCCTTGACGAACTAAAAGTAGAACTACCATTTGATCTAGCAATCCCATTACTGAGTGTCTACCCAGGGGAAAAGAAGTCATTATTTGAAAAAGATACTGGTGGCTGGGCACAGTGGCTCATGCCTGTAATCCCTGCACTTTGGGAAGCTGAGGCAGGTGGATCACCTGAGGTCAGGAGTTTGAGACCAGCCTGGCCAACATGGTGAAACCCCATCTCTACTAAAAATGAAAAATTAGCCTGGTGTGGTGGCGGACGCCTGAATTTCCAGCTACTTGGGAGTCTGAGGCAGGAGAATCACTTGAACCTGGGAGGCAGAGGTTGCAGTGAGCCAAGATTGTGCCACTGCACTCCAGCCTGGGCTACAGAGAGAGACTCCATCTAAAAAAAAACAAAAAAAAAACAAAAAAAAAAAAAAAGAAAAAGAAAAAAAAAGGAAAGCATACTTGCACACACGTTTATAGCAGCACAATTCATGATTGCAAAATCGTGGAACCAACCCAAATGCCCATCAATCAACAAGTGGATAAAGAAACTGTGGTATAAACATATTATGGAATACCACTCAGTCATAAAAAGGAATGAATTAACAGCATTTGTAATGACCTGGATGAGATTGGAGACTATTATTCTAAGTGCAGTAAGTCAGGAATGGAAAACCAAACATCCTATGTTCTCACTGATATGTGGGAGCTAAGCTGTGAGAACACAATGGCATAAGAATGATATAATGGGCTTAGGGGACTCGGGGGTAAGAGTGAGAGGGGGTGAGGGATAAAAGACAACATATATGGTGCAATGTATACTGCTCAGGTGATGGGTGCAACAGGATCTCAGAAATCACTGCTAAAGAACTTACTTATGTAACCAAATACCACCTGTAACCCAATAACTTATGGAAAAATAAAATAATAAATAATAAGGGTTTTGGCCATGGAAAGTAGGAGAAAAAGGAAAGTGCATCTCCAAAAGGTTAACAGAAGGCTAAAGATCAACTTTGTTTATGTCATGCATTTTCCGAAATCGGGCTCCATCTCTCTTTTGCTTAATTGCACTTAGGGTGTGGGTGTATTATTTTGGGTGTAAAAGAGTCTGGGCATGTCTGTATTTAAAGGAATATTTTTTGTGTCTACATTCTTTTTTTTCCCGCTGGGGCGAGGTGGCTCAGGCCTATAATCCCAGCACTTTGGGAGGCTGAGACAGGTGGATCACTTGAAGTCAGGAGTTTGAGACCAGCCTGGCCAACATGGCAAAACCCTGTCTCTACTAAAAATGCAAAATTAGCTGGGCATGGTGGCCAGTGCCTGTAATCCCAGTTACTCACGAGGCTGAGGCAGGAGAATCGCTTGAACCCTGGAGGCAGAGGTTGCAGTGAGTCGAGATCACACCACTGCACTCCAGCCTGGGTGACAGAACAAAACTCTGTCTCAGAAAAAAAAAAAAAAAAAAAGAAAGAAAGAAAAAATAAAGGTTTTGGTGATGGAAAGTAAGAGAAAAAGAAAGCTGCGTCTCCAACAGGTGCACAGAAGGCTAAAGATCAACTTTGTTTACGTCATGAATTTTCCAAAATCGGGCTCCATCTCTCTTTGCTTAACTGCACACTTAGGGGTGTGTGTGTACATTTTGGGTGCAAAAGAGTCTGGACATGTCTGTATTTAACTGAATTTTTTTTGTGTCTATATTTTTTTGAAAGACAGGGTCTCCAGGCTAGAGTGCAGTGGAGCGATCATAGCTCACTGCAGCCTCAAATTCCTGGGCTCAAGTGATGGATCCTCTTGCCTCAGTCCCTGAGTAGCTGAGACTACAGACCACTCCCAGCTAATTTTATGTTTTCTTTTTGTAGAGACCGGGTCTTGCTTGTTGACCAGGCTGGCGGCCTCAAGCTCCTGGCCTCAAGCAATCCTCCTGCCTCGGTCTCCCAAAGTGTTGGAATTACAGGTGTGAGCCACCACGCTGGCCTCATTTATATATATCGAAACAGTCTCCTAGTCAGTGTGCACATTTATGTTCCCAGAAAAAAAGGAAATTCCCTAAGCATTTATTATTATCGTGTCCTTGTGTACAGGCTGTCCTGAGAAACGAGACCTTGGGTTCACCATTAAAAAATGTGATGCTGAAAACGATGTTTCAACATTAAGTAATTCACCTTGAGTAAATGAAAGAAAAGAGAAAGCCAAGTTGCTCTATGATAGGGCAAGACAGTGAAACTGTAAATAAAGGATTAAGTTAGCCAGAAAACCAGGTGAGTTAGCTAAGTAGAGGGGTAACTACTTCCATAATGTACTGAGCTACTAGGATAATAGAGTAATTTACCTAAACAGAGCAGCACCGATTTGTCAAGGCATTGATTTTTTGTTTGTTTAATTTCCTCCCTGTAAAGACAGCAACTCCACTTCCATACGGCAGGTGGCATCATTGCCGGCCGCAATCCCTGCTCAGCCATGGCCGGCTGCGTTTTGTGATGAATCTGCCAGGGCAGAAATGCTTGTTTGCATTACAGGAGACTGTAGCCTTTTAGAATTTCATTAAGAAGAGAAAGGCCGCTCTTATTACTATTAGAATCATTTTACACTTCTGATATGTCTCTGGAGCAGGCAAATACAGTAGCAGTGTTGAAGTGCCTGGGTGGCTATTTAAAAAACAGATGTAAGAATTTGTTCAATTCTTGCCCACAGTGAAAATAAATTTACGGCTTTTAATTATATTTGCAAAAGGAGATTGGGGCAAATCTTGCCGAGATTACAGTCTGGGAATGTGCATTGTGTTGACTATAACCACACTCTCAGTTTTCAGCTGGATTTTATTTATTCATTTATTTTTGAGATAGAGTCTCGCTCTGTCACCGAGGCTGTGCAGTGGCGTGATCTTGGCTCACTGCAACCTCCACCTCCCAGGTTCAAGCGATTCTCCTGCCTCAGCCTCCGGAGTAGCTGGTATTACAGGCATGTGCCACCATGCCCAGCCAATTTTTGTATTTTTAGTGGAGACGGGGTTTTGCCATGTTGGCCAGGCTGGTCTCGAACTCTTGACCTCGGGTGATCTGCCCGCCTTGGCCTCCCAAAGTGCTGGAATTACAGCCATGAGCCGCCGCACCCATCCTGGATATTATTTTATATATTTTATTTTCTTGATTCTATCTGTTGAATAATACCTTATTAAACAATAATAATTGGCAAGGTTCTACCATGGGTTTTGTGCAGAACATATACATTTTTAGATATGGGCTCCTTGATAGTAGCCATTGTATTTTAATTATAGTGTGGTCCCTTTACTGATAGAATACATGTAAAAATAATAATATTTAATATTTATTCAGTGCTTACTTTATGCCTGCCACTGTTCCAAATTCTTTACGTGAACTAATGTATTTAATTTTCATCACAGGCCGGCCGCTGTGGCTCACACCTGTAATCTTAGCACTTTGGAGGATCACTTGAGGTTGAGAGTTCGAGACCAGCCTGGCCGACATGGTGAAACCCTGTCTCTACTAAAAATACAAAAAAATTAGCCTGGCGTAGTGGCGGGCACCTGTAGTCCCAGCTACTCGGGAGGCTGAGGCAGGAGAATCGCTTGAACCCAGGAGGGGGGAGGCTGCAGTGAGCTGAGAACGCGCCATTGCACTCCAGCCTGGGGGACAAGAGCGAAACTCCGCTTCAAAAAAAAAAAAAAAAAAATTCTCATCACAGTGCTCTGAGGAATGTATTATTGCTATCCCCATTTTATAGATGAAGAATTTGAGGCATAGAGAGATTAAGCAACCTCTAGTAAAATTTCAGGATATGATAATCCTTGTTTTTATATAATTTACTTTTTGGTTCCTGATTTTTTTGGGGGGGGAGGGGTTGCAGCCCTCAAAATGACAAATGTGTGAGTTTCTGAAAAGTTGATGCAAAACAACATTTCACATATTTTAAAAACTCATATTTTGTCATTATGCAAATAGTACATGGTCCCATTCATATGAGGTATCTAGAATCATCAAATTCATAGAAACAGAAAGTAGAATGGTGGTTGCTAGGGGAATGGTGGTTGCTAGGGGATACAGGCAGGAGGAAATGGATAGTGGTTTAATGGGTATAGGGTTTCAGTTCTGCTGGATGAAAAGCTTCTGGAGATCTGTTGCATATCAATGCAATACTTAACACTACTGAACAGTACACATTAAAAATGGTTGGTTGGGCGAGGTGGCTCATGCTTGTAATCCCAGCACTTTGGGAGGCCAAGGCGGGTGGATTACCTGAGGTCAGGAGTTCGAGACCAGCCTGACCAACATGGTAAAACCCCATCTCTACTAAAACTACAAAAATTAGCCAGGCATGGAGGCAGGTGCCTGTAAATCCCAGCTACTCGGGAGGTTGAGGCAGGAGAATTGCTTGAACCTGGGAGGCGGAGGTTGCAGTGAACTGAGATTGCACCATTGCACTCCAGCTTGGGCAACAAGAGCGAGGCACCATCTCAAAAAAAAAAAAAAAAAAAAAGCAGTTACAGTGGTAAATTTTATGTTATGGAATTTTTAACCACTATTAAAAATTGAAAAAAGAAATCTGTCAAAGAGAAACAAACCAACAAATCCTATTCTGTCATTAAGGAATGAATTCAGTTTGCAGTTAATTAAAATTGTATTTGAGCCTCTTAGCATATTACAATAATATTTGTTGAAACAAGAAGCCCAGTAGTATGTTTGCTTGCTTTTTTATTGTTCCTAACAGTGAACTCTGAAAAAAATAGACATCCATTTGAAATTCCAAAACCTACTGATAAGGAGAGCTACTGATAAGCAAACAGTTTTTAAAGGGAGGAGAAAAGTATCGATACAGGCAAAATATGCTAATTTGTTAAAAATTTGTAAGATTTTGTCATAAACATGGTAAAGTAGGAAGAGTCCTAGACTTTGAAATACAAGACTTAGGTTTAAAGAATTACCTTGCTGTGTGACCTCATGCAAGTCACTCCATATGTCTGAGCCATAGTTTCCTCATTTTAAATGAAGATAATTTCTGTGTGTCTCTTAGAATTCTTAAAGGGATTGAATGAGTTAATGGCAAGAGAGCATTTAGTAATGTTAATGACTATAATTATAAATTATGATCAATATTAATGCTTTATATTTGTATGGCAAATTATATAGAAAGTCTATGCTTTATGTCAGAGTAGACTATTCAAGCTTGAGAAATCCTAGAAGGCAAGTAGCAGTTCTTGGTTAGCTTTTGTATGTGTCATGTAGAATCATAAACAAGAAATTAATGGGCAAACTTTTTGGTGGTGCTGACAGTGATAGCTGAGCTATCATTCCTGAACAGCAAAGGGCAGTTTTTACTTAGGAAATAGGGATATTTTATAGTTTGATTCTCTCAAATAAGTTGACCCAAATTAATTTCAGGGGTAACCTCTTATTATAGGCCTGAACTTTTAGAAAAGTAGAGTTTCTTTCTTTCTTCTTTTCTTACTGTTTTGCTTATCTCACCATTCAAAGATCTAAGATCTAGAGTTACTGCTGTTAACAATATGGGACACTCTTCCTGTTCTTTTTATACAGTTTTTCATAGCTAAGCTCATATTGTACATGTTATTAATATTTATATACATACTTATATATACATATATTTAGAGATGGAATCTTGCTATGTCACCCAGGCTGGAGTGCAGTGTCTATTCACAGGTGTGATCATGGTGCACTGCAACCTTGAGTTCCTGGCCTCACGCGATCCTCCTGCTTCAGTCTCCCAAGTATCTGGGACTACTTGTGCGCATCATCTTTCCTGACTTGTACATGTAATTTAGCATTCTACTTTTTTTTTTTTTTTTGTGAGATGGAGTCTCACTCTGATGCCCAGGCTGGAGTGCAGTGGTGTGATTTCAGCTCACTGCAACCTCCGTCTCCCAGGCTCAAGCGGTCCTCTCACCTCAGCCTCCCAAGTAGCTGGGATTACAGGCACACGCCACCATGCCCAGGTAACTTTTTGTATTTTTGGTAGAGACAGGGTTTTGTCATGTTGGCCAGGTTGGTCTCGAACTCCTGACCTCAGGTGATCCACCTGCCTTGGCCTCTCAAAGTGCTGGGATTATAGGCGTGAGCCACCGTGTCCAGGCACCATCCTACTTCTTACACCAAAAACGTATCATAGCCATTGCTTATGTCTTTAACTGTCTATAAAATGATATTAATGACTATAGAATGTTGTATTATTTGGATTTATACTAATTGATTTAACTGATGGCCTATTGTTGGACTTTTAATATGATTCATTTTATTCATATACATATTTTTTGAGGCTGAGTCTTGCTCTTTTACCTGAGCTGAATGCAGTGGTGTGATCTTGGCTCACTGCAACCTCTGCCTCCCAGGTTCAAGCAATTCTCCTGCCTCAGGCTCCTGAGTAGCTGGGACTATAGGCGCGCACCACCACGCTGGGCTAATTTTTGTATTTTTTAGTAGAGTCAGGGTTTCACGATGTTGGCCAGGCTAGTCTCGAACTCCTGACCTCAAGTAATTCGCCACCTCGGCCTCCCAAAGTGCCGGGATTATAGGCATGAGCCACCATGCCCAGCTGACTTAATTTTATTCAATTTTTGATGTTAGTAATAAGATTTTATTGCCTCCACTGTGGAACTACTAATCTAGACCCAATTTTATTTCTTTGTTAGGAGAAAGAGCCAGACTTTCTGGGTTTAAGAACTGTGGTTCTTATGAGAATTTTTAGTCAACACAAAAATGCCAAGGAAGATGTAGAGGTCTCTCTGACACTCAACAGGGTCTTCATGGGCTCTCTGAAATATCTGTAACCATGTCAGTCCCCCAAGTTTCTTTTGTGAAGATGGGAGCAGCATGTGGTGTTACCATTTCCTCTGTTTAAAACCATCACTGGGCTGTCATTTCAGCAACATCTTAACAAATGAAAATCCTCCTCTGAGTCAATAGTAATTATAGGAATTTATCACAATTGCCAATCAAGGTGTTCTGAAGAGACTCATCTTTCTTGTTAAATTAGCTTTCACTGCACGCAAACAGTGAGTTATCTTTAGGAAATCAATTGCAGGGAAATTACAGCTTTCATGGAGTGATATAACCTTGCCAACCGTCTTGTTATACATAATTCCTCTACCAAGAAATTCAGCTGGGCTCACATGACTTATTTTTTGGGATTGTATTTCAATGCAGTAGATGTGGAAAAGTCAACTTCCAAAGGGGCAGGAAGGAGACAGAGGCAAGGACCTTGGAAATGTCTCAAGACACTTGCAGCCAATTAAACCATCACCTCAGAAGAGGTCAGCAGGCTGAGGTTTGTCATTTCAAAAGATTTTGATCCAAGGTATTTGGAGATAGATGTCACTGGTGGTAGATGTCACTGCTAGTCTTTACATACCCACACTAGAAGAAACTTTGGTTGGAGGATACTTTGGGTAATTATTGAGCTCTTTAAAGAATCAGTAACATAGGAGTTTTTCTGAGAAGACTTGTTGATATCGTGTGAGCAGGGATCATTTTCTGCAGCAGTTGGGGAAAGTCTCTTTTAGCATTTAGTCTCTGCTGTAGGTTCCCACATCAAATGTATGGCTCATTGATGCTATAACAAGATGGTAATTAATATGCTATTAACCCAGAATTACTAGGGAATTACCATGTGGTTTTTAAACGAACTTGATTTAGGAATTTTTATGTTTATTGGCCATGCCCAGTGCATGTTTTCCTCCTGAAGCATTTATGAATACACTAGATGATGCCAGCTATTGTGAAAACCAGACAGAATCCTGACTCTCACTTTAGCATGACTCACCTGAGCATGGCATGTGTGTAAAGTTGATATGTTTCAGGAGGTCATTAGTGGAATTGGCAGACATATCACTTTTAAGTGTCAAGTACTGTGTTAAACACCTCTTCTGTAAGTTACCTCATTTGATCCTCATCTCAGTCTTACAGGGTTGAGCTACTATTGTTCCCGTTTTCAGATGATGAGATTGAAGCACTTGCCCAAGGTGATGAATCTGGGCAATGTCAGAGAGGAATTTCACCCCAGGTGGTGGACTCTTGAGTCCAAATTCAATGCCTCTTTCTCCCTTATATTCTCTAGCAATGGCCCCTGAGGGCTAAGTACTAACAGTAGTGCATGAAAGCACTGTGAAATTTCCTTATTACAGTCTCTTAGGTATTGCCTCTCTTGAGAACATCAAGGACAACTTCTCTGTACAGAAGCTTGGTCTACATTTGGTAGGTGGATAAATGCGGAATCCACGGAGGGGAAGATTGCAAACATTGCACTGTATTCCTATTTTTGCAACAAATACTTTGTGTGGCTTTGGGTTAAGTCACTGTCTTAGTCTGTTTGGGATGCTATAATGAAATAAATAACATAGACTAGGTGGCTTATAAATGATAGAAACTTATTTCTCATAGTTCTTGAGGCTGGGAAGCTGGAAATCAGGGTGATAACATGGTCAGATTTTTTCTTTCTTTTTTTTTTTTTTTTTCCTTTTGAGACAGAGTCTTGCTCTACCAGGCTGGAGTGCAGTGGCGCCATCCTCTGCCTCCCAGGGTCAAGCAATTCTCTTGCCTCAGCCACCCAAGTAGCTGGGACTACAGGCGCCCACCACCATGCCCGGCTAATTTTTGTCTTTTTAGTAAAGACCAGGTTTCACCATGTTGGCCAGGCTGGTCTTGAACTTCTGACCTCAGGTGATCCACTGGCCTTGGCCTCCCAAAGTGCTGGGATTATAGACGTGAGCCACCATGCCTGGCCTCAACATAGTCAAGTTCTGGTGAGGGCCTCTGCCAGGCTGAACACTGCCTGCTGACTTCTAATTGTGCCCTCATATGGTGCAAGGGGAGAACCCTAGTCTCTTCAGCCCCTTATGAAAGCAATAATTCTATTCATGAGGTCTCCATCCTCATGACCTGATTACTTCCCAAAGGCTCCACTTCCTAATACCATGTATTTGAGGAATAGGTTTCAACATATGAATTTTGGTGGGGGGCATGGACTTTCCAAACCATGGCAGCAATCACTTACCATTTCTAGCCTCAGTTGCTTGATATTCCTTTTGAGAGGTAAAATTGCATAAGATGAAGGCTATGATCCTTTCTAGAAACCAGACTTATAATTCTGTGGAGTTAATTATTTTAGGCATATCCTGGAATTCTCTATTATATGGTTTCAGGAGTCAAGCATAGTTCCAAAATTCTGAATTCAGACAGACAGCCTGGGGAGGGCCCATGATGACATTGTTATCAAAGGGTCACTAAAGCTACAGGAAGGTGCTAGGCAAGGAGCACTGAGAAAGAATGGCCAATGAAGTAGCATCTGAATGGGATGGCCAGGGAAAGGGAAGTGGGCGGGGGGCAGGGGCGAGCATTTGTCAAGGATCAAACACAGTGGAAATTGTAAAGGAAAGCTATTAAATACTTTGCAAAAGGAAAGAACCATTTATTATGGGAACTAAAAGGAAAACTTGGTCTGAAAGTTAGATGGGGCCTAGGTAGTCTTTCAGCACCTAAAAAACATATTTTCTTAGAGACAGGGTCTTACTCTGTCACCCAGGTTGGAGTGCAATGGTGGGCTCATAGCTCACTGCAGCCTCAACTCCTGAGCTCAAGTGATCCTCTTGTCTCATCCTCCTGAGTAGTTGGGACTATAGGCATGCATCACCATGCTTGGCTAATTTTTAAATTATTTTTTTTTGAGACATGGTCTTGTTGTGTTGCCCAGGTTGGTCTTGAACTCCTGACCTCAAGCCGTCCTCCCACTTCATCCTCCTAAAGTGCTGGGATTACAGGTGTGAGACACCTCGCCCTGCCATAAAGAACCTTTTATAAGAAAATAACATAAAATACTCAGCTTCCCTACTTGGGTCTTGGATGTACAGTTTACAGGCAGGTTTCTGTGCTATTCAGATGCAAGATACACAGGCACCTCCAGGATGGCTTTCTCAGTTTGCTCAGGTTGGGCCACTGCTAGTGGATACTGTGTTTTGTGTGAATTAGAAAAGGGTACCCCCACAGGGCAGGCAGTATACCCCTTAGCAGTGCAGCTTGGGGAGCAGATCATACCATTGTGAAAAAGGCACTCCTTCCTCCAGGCAGCTGTCCCTGGGCCAGGAACATGACAGGTTGCATGTGCCTTGTGCTGGAGGTCAGCCCCCACTGCTCCTAGCCAGGAACCCTTGTGCACAGACAGGCAGCACAACCATACACAGTCCTTCTGACACGGGAGTGGGGCAGGGAAGTGTTGGGTACAGAAGGTCTGGGTCTTTGGTGGGGGGTCCACCCTCAAGCCTGTGCCTGTGGACCTACATGAGAACAGGAACTCCTGTTTTCAAACCCAAATGTTGCATTTTCTAAGACCACTGTGCCCCCTCCCCCGCCCACTGAAGCCCCCATCTTGTGCCCATATAAACATGAGCCCTTAGTGGGCACAGACACAAGCAGGTGAATATTGGAACCAGCAGACCGGTGATGACAGAACAACGTGACAGAGAAAGAGAGAAGAAAAAGGAAGTCTGGACATCGAGGAGGGTTCAGCCGGGGGGCAGTCGGGGAAGAGTCCGGCCGCTGGGCAGCCCCACTCCAGGGGAAGATCACCTTCCCACTCCATCCCCGCTTCCAGCTCCCCATCCATCTTGCTGAGAGCCACCTCTACCACTCAACAAAACCTTGCATTCATCCTGTGAGCCAATTCTTCTGGTACACTGGGAAAGAGCTCGGGATACAGAAAGCTGTCACATTGGCCCTCTTCCCTTGCGATAAGGCAGAGGGTCTATTGAGCTGATTAACACAAGCCTTCTGCAGCTGGCAAAGCTGAAAGAGCACTCTGTAACATATGCCCACTTGGGCTTGGGGAGTTGCAGACACCCACCCCTAGATGCTGCCGTGGGGCTGGAGCCCCAGAGCAACCCCAGGGCCCCTGCACCTGCCCGTCTGCATGCTCCCACTAGAGGCTTGAGCAGTGGGGCAACTGAAGGGGCAAGCCACATCCCTGTTGCACATCCTGCAAGGGGGATAAGGGAACTCTCCCGTTTCACCTCCACTTTGGGAATGGGGGCCCTCATGCTGGCAGAATCAAAGCTTTGGCTGAAGAGAGCAGCTATGTAGTTACAGGGTTAAGTTTTCTCTCTCTGTGAGAGTGGCCTTCCATCTGCAGAGTGAAATTGAGATGTCCCTCTGATTCTGTTTCCCCTGTTTATAGGCTACAGCTTCTGATGTATGAGAGGGGTGCTAATACATATGGGTCCACATGTTGATAGACTGGAGAGACAGCATGAGGGTATAAAACCAACCTGCCATTCCTAGTTTCTCTCCTTGATCTAGTTATGAGTTTAGCAGCCGAAATAGTTTATGGCTCACTCCCATCTAGAGAAGCAGTTGGGGGAAGACCTGCTCTGAGAAATAATGCCAGCATCTGAGGAAATCAAAATGAACATTGCAAGCTTTCGGAGTCAGCACCTTGTCTTTCAGAATGGGAAGGGCAAGGGCCTTGGAAGCTGCAGCCTTTGAATCAGAGCCCAAGGCCAAACATGATGTGATGGCTTTTCCTGTGCCCTCAGTGTCCCCAGGAGCCCAGAGTCATAAATCTATAGAAGGCAGCAGCTCTTTACCGTGAAGGGGTCTTGGAGCATCCTCCAGTTGTTCTGTGCAAACTTCTGTCATTGCTAGAAGCAAATGCTACCCTCTAGGCCCCCAGGGTTTAAAGGTACTGGGCCTTTGATCACCTTGGAAGTCAGTAATGACAGAGATTGTGGGCAAGTATTCAGCGAGAAATTAGCTGATAAACATTTAAAAAGGGAATAGAATGCTTATTTTCTTGTCCTCATTTGTTATCGCAAAAATAATAAAAAAAATCAAATGAAATTAAAAGAAAAATGTGACCCCTTTGTTTCACTTTTGCATATTGACTTTCAGTTCTTGTTTTTGTATCTGTATATTTACACAGTTATAAATCAGAGTTGTGATTTATAATATATTAGGGGAAGGAAGCAGAATGCTCAATGCCTTCCCATATTTCTTCTCCACATCTTCCTGTTTCTGAATTTTAGTGGCTACATGACACTCCTATACTAGAATAAGAATATAGTTTCAAAATCTCGCTGTTTAACTCCTGTTCCTTATCTGCTCTTTCTTAACTTCATTCAGGCTGGGACAGGAGGGAGTGAAGCCTATCCTGTTTAGAGTTTAGAGAATATCCTGGGCTGAACAATATGGATACAATGTCTAAAGGTCTTTCCTGCCATCATTTTACTTTATATCACTTGTCAGTGAATCCTGCTATAGTTTATAAATCATTTTCAGACATGTTATCTCATCACCACAACTGTATGGTATATCTTTTCCCACCTTTATAGATGAGGAAAAAAGAGCCACGTATCAGTAAGTGGCAGCTCCAGAACTTAAAGTCAGACTTCTGACTCATCATCTAGCGAACTTCTATTCACCCTTCAGAGCCCAGTTCGAAAGTCATGACTTCTAAGTAACTTTTACTATCGGTTCCCTCCTGATATGGTTTGGATCTGTGTCCCCACCAAATCTCCTGTGGAATTGTAATCCCCAATGTTGGAGATGAGGCCTGGTGGGAAGTGATTGGATTATGGGGGTGGATTTGTCCTGAATGGCTTAGCACCATCCCTCTTGCTACTGTCCTCGTGATAATGAGTGAGTGTTCTTGAAATCTGGTTGTTTAAAAGTGTCTGGCACTTCCCCGCTCTCTCTCTTCCTCGTGGTTCTGTCTGTGTGGGGGCTCCCCTTTGCCTTCTGCCATGATTATAGGTTTCCTGAGGCCTTCTCAGAAGCCAAGCAGATGCCAGTACCATGCTTCCTGTACAGGCTGCAGAACCGTTAGTCAATTAAACCTCCTTTCCTAGAGTGAGGTATTTCTGTCAGCGTGAGAATCCCATCCTCATTGAATATAAATTGTTCTTGGTTGTTGTTTTAAAGTTGTGGTTTTAAAATATGTGGTACACACATAACAAAGTTTACTATCTTAACCATTTTTAAATGTACAGTTCAGTGACATTAGGTATATTCATATTGCTGTGCAGCCATAACCACCATTCATTTCTGGAGCTTCTTCATCATCCCAAAAAGAAACTCTGTACCCACAAACAATAACTTCCCATTCCTCTCTCCCGACAGTCCCTGGATAACTCCATTCTACTTTCTGTCTCTACAAATTTGCTTAATCTAGGTACCTCATATAAGTGGAATCACACAAGATTTGTCCTTTTGTATCTGGCTTATTTCAAGTTTTATTCATTTTGTAGCATGTATCAGAATGTCTTTCCTTTTTAAGGCTGAATAATTTTCTAGTGTGTGTATATGTATATTTTGTTTATCCATTCATCTGTTGATGGAGACTTGGGTTGTTTCCATCTTTTGACAACTGTGGATAATGCTGCTATGAGTATTGGTGACATGGGAAAAGTTCCCTTGTCCCCCTCACAGGGTGAGCCACAGGGGTGTGGCTTGCTTCTTCAGTGCTCCACTGCTCAGACCTCTAGGGCAGCATATAGACAGGCAGGCTGTGGGGCTCCGACCTCACGGCAGTGTCTGGGGTGAATGTTCACAGCTGCAGCCCCAGTGGGCGTGTGCTACAAGGTGCTCTTTTAGTTTAGCTATCCGTAGGCAGCTTGTGTTAGCTCAGTTAGACTCCTGCCTTATCACAAGGACAGAGGGCTTTCTGAATCCTGGGGTTCTTGCCTTGGTGTACCGGAAGAATCAGATCACATGTGGGCTTGGAGAATGAGTGCAAGGTTTTATTGAGTAGAAGTAGCTCTCAGCAGATGGGGGAGCCAGAATGGAGATGATTTTTCCTTGGAGCTGGGCCACTTGGTGTCCCGGGCTCTCCTCTGACTGCCCCAGTCAAACTCTGCCTCATTCTGCTGGTCAATGGCCTGCCGGCATGCTCCCCTTGACGTCCTTTCAACGTCCAGCCACTTGTGTCTTCTTCTGCCGATGTGTTCCTCTTGATGTCGAGCTGCTTGTGTGTCTGGCCTGCTAGAGTCTTGGGGGTTTTTATAGGCACAGGATGGGGGTGTGGCAGGCCAGGGTGGTCTTGGGAAATGCAACATTTGGGCACAAAAGCAGGAGAACCTGTCCTCACCTAGGTCCATAGGCACAGGCCCAGGGTTGGAGCCCTAGCCAGGGACCACACTCTTCCCTTCCCAGGACTTCCCTGCCCACCTCCTGTATCATTGGTATACAAGCGATAGTGACAGGAGTCAAAGAAATTCTAGGCAGGCAGGGGCAGGTCCCTGGCAAAACCCCACCTTCAAATCAAAAATCCTGAAACCCGTGGCCCAAGGTGAGAACTTCCATTCCTGTGTGCCTGCTCTCTCCCAGTTGGTTCTTTCTGAATAATGTCTTTTTACCAATCGAATATTGCCTTTTCCAAAACTACCTATGGCCCGCCCTACCCCCATCATGTGCCTATGAAGAACCCAGACTCAACTGGCAGAGAGAAGAAGCAGCTGGATGTCAGAAAGAAGTGGTTGGAGGTTGGGAAGAGGTGACTTCAAGACAGTGGCTGGATAAGGCAACTTGACTTTGGGAGAGAGAGGCAGAGAGGTGGCTTGACTTCCCTTCTTGTCCCCTCTCCAGCTCCCCTCTCCATTAAGAGCCACTTCCATCACTCAATAAAATTCTCCACTTTCACCATCCTTCAGTTCATCCATGTGATCTCATTCCTCTTGGGCACTGGACAAGAATTTGGGATGTACCACATGCAGGTACCCAAAAAGGCTGTCACACTGGCCCCTTGCCCTCACTAGTGGAGGGCAGCTGCCCCATGTGATGAGGCAAACAGCCCACTGAGCTGATAACACACTGCTGTCTGCAGATGGCAGAGCTAAGACAGCATTATAATACGCCCTCTGGGGCCTTGGGGTCACAGACACCCTATATGGATGCTGCCGCAGGGCCCACACAGAGTTCGCTCCTGCTGGTGCCAAAGCGGCCAGTTCCTGCAAATGTTCACTCGCATGCTCCCTCCTGCGAGGGGTTGAACGGGGTGGGCTAAGTAAACAAGGCACTCCTGTAGCGAGTCCCACAAAGAGGTCAAGAAAATATTCTGTATCACAAGTATTTGTTTAAATCTCTGCTTTCAATTCTTTTGGGTTTTCACATAGCCATGGAATTGATGGATCATATGGTCAATCTATGTTTAACTTTTTGAGGAGCCACTAAATGGTTTTTCACAGTAGGGGCATCATTTTACATTCCCAGCAGCAATGTATAAGGGTTCCAATTTCTCTACATCCTCACCAATATTTGTTTTTGATAATAGCCATCCTAATGGGTGTGAAGTGGTACTTTCATTGGCTTTTAAGCAAGTATTAAACACAATTCTATTGCCCAGATCAGCCCCAGCATCATGATGTGTTGTTTCTGAATCCTGCTACAGACTGTGAGGTGTTTGAAGACAGGGACTGTGTATCCTCAGTCCCTGGTACAGTGCTTTGCAGAGTATAGATGCTCAGGAAATGCTTGTTGAATCCTGACTATTCACTATCTCCTCATTGTGACTTGCTGACATTCTTTTTCAAAGTGCCGTTTCATTGTTTTGGCACATTTTGGAGAGAAGAGGCTAAAAAAAGGTCTTTGTCCCCTGAGAAGTCTGTATGGAAAAATTAACTGTGCTGGGCACAATTTGGCCTTTCCATTTCATCACAGATATCAAAATGCTTCACAGCTTAACAGCATTTTTCCTGGTTTTTCTTTAATAAAATGCTTAAGAGCACCTTTTAAGCAGACAATGGATTGGTGCTAAGTATCTAAAATTGAACAAGACAGTGCCCGCACTTGAGAAGTTCCTGGCTTATTGGGGAAATATCTACAAACAGCAACAAAACAATGTGGAAAGGACATTGTACTGTTGTGGGAGGGATCTGGTGGGAGATGACCGAATCATGGGGATGGGTCTTTCTCATGCTCTTCTTGTGATAGTGAATGGGTCTCATGAGATCTGATGGCTTCAAAATGGGGGTTTCCCTGCACAAGCTCTCTTCCCTTGTCTGCCACCATGTGAGATGTGCCTTTCACCTTCTGCCATGATTGTGAGGCCTTCCCAGCCACATGGAACTGTTAAGTCCAATAAACCTCTTTCTTTTGTAAACTGCCCAGTCTTGGGTAGGTCTTTATCAGCAGTGTGAAAGTGGGCTAATACACAAGGGGAGAGAGGTAATCCCAGAAAGGAGGACTGGTCTGTATAAAGTCAGGGAGGGAGATGAAAAGAAACATTTTGGAGTAATGAGACATTGGGCAAGACTGTAGGTCAAAGAGGACCATTAAAGAATTTTAAATGAGGAAATGAAGGGTGGGTTGGAGGGGGCTGAGGTAGAAGGCAAGGAGACCCATCAGGAAGGTCTTGTCATACACAGACTTGGAGAGGGAAGATGAAGACCTGAGCCATGTCATTGGCAGTAGGGATAGAGAGGCAGAGAAGGGTCCTGCAGATATATATAGGGTTGGAATGGCAAGACATAAGTGGTGACCAATTGAATATAGGAAGTGAGAGAGAGGAAAGAACCAAGTATAGGCATACCTTGGAGATATTGCAGGTTTGGCTCTGTGCAGTGGGCAAGAAGAACCCATTGGGTTATAACAATTTATCTTAGCATGTGATGCTCTTTGATAGCATTTTACCCATAGTACAATTTATTTCAAAATTATAGTCCATCCTCTCAAACCCTGCTACAGCTCTATCAACTAAGTTTATGTAACATTCTTCCTTTGTTGCCATTTCAGCAATGTTCATGCCATGTTCATGGCACCACCAGCAGTAGAGTCCATCTCAAGAAACCATTTTATTTTTCGCTCATCCATGGAAGAAGCTCCTCATCTGTTAAAGTTTTATTATGAGATTGCAACAATTCAGTCACATATTCAGCTCCACATTTAATTCTAGTTCTCTCATTATTTCCACTACATCTGCGGTGACCTCCTTCACTGAACTCTTAAACCCCTCAAAGTCATTCATAAGAGGTGGAATCAACTTCTCTCAAACTATCATTAGTGTTGATATTTTTACCTTTTCTCATGAATGCAAATGTTCTTTATAGCATCTAGAATTGTCAATCCTTTCCAGAAGGTTTTCAATATACTTTTCTCAGTTCCCTCAGGGGAATCACTCTCTATGGCAGCTGTAGCCCTAAAAAATGTATTTCTTAAATAAGAAGACTTGAGAGTCAAAATTACTCCTTGATCCATAGGCTGCAGAATATATGTTGTTTTAGCAGGCATGAAAACAACATCAATCTCCTTGTACATCTCCATCAGAGCTGTTGGGTGACCAGGTGCATTGTCAGTGTGCAGTAATATTTCGAAAGGAATCTTTTTTCTAAACAGTAGATCTGAACAGTGGGCTTAAAATATTCAGTAAACCATGCTGTAAACAGATGTGCTGTCATCCAGGATTTGTTTTTTGATTTGTCGAGCACAGATGGAGTAGATTTAGCATAAATCTTTCTCTTTTTTGAGACAGGATCTTGCTCTGTTGCACAGGCTGGAGTGCACTGGCTCAATCATGGCTCACTGCAGCCTTGACCTCCCAGGTTTAAGTGATCCTGCCACTTCAGCTTCCTAACTAGCTGGGATGACAGACACATACCACCATGCCTGAAAATTTTTTGTTGTTGTATTTTTTGTAGAGATGGGGTTTCACCATGTTGCACAGGCTGGTCTTGAACTCCTGGGCTCAAGCAATCCTCCTACCTTGGCTTCCCAAAGTGCTGTGATTACAAGCATGAGCCACCACACTCTGCTGACTTAGCATAATTCTTAAGGGCACTAGGACTTTTGGAATGGTAAATGAGCATTGGCTTTAGCTTAAAGTCACCAGCTTCCTGAGCCCCTAACAAGAGAGTTAGCCTGTCCTGTCCACTAAAGCTTTGAAGGCAGGCATCGAATTCTCTCTAACTATGAAAGTCATGGATGACATCTTCTTCCAATAGAAGGCTGTTTTGTCTACACTGACAGTCTTAGTGTAGCCACCTTCATCAATGATCTTAGCTAGATTTTCAGGATAACTTGCTACAGTCTCTACATCAGCACTTGCTGCTTCGTCTTGCACTTTTATGTCATCGAGATGACTTATTTCTTTAAATCTCATGAGCCAATGTCTGCTAGCTTCCAACTTTTCTTCTGCAGCTTCCTCACCTCTCTCAGACTTCATATAATTGAAAGGAATTAGGGCCTTGCTCTGGACTTGGCTTTGGCTTGAGATAATGTTGTATCTGGTTTGATCTTCTATCCAGACCACTCCAACTTTCTTCCATATCAGCAATAAGACTGTTTGTCTTTCTTATCATTTGTAGGTTCGCTGGATTAGCACTTCTTATTTCCTTTCAGAACTTTCATTTGCATTCCCAACTTGGCTAGCTGTTGACATGCCTTCCTTACTAAGCCTAATCATTTATTTCTAGTTTCTGATTTAAAGTGAGAGATGTGAAAATCTTCCTTTCATTTTAACACTTTGAGGCCATTGTAGGGTTATCAATTAACCTAATTTTAATATTGTTATGTCTCAGGGAATAAGGAGGCCTGAAGAGATGGTGAGGATGAGAGAATGACTGGTCAGTGGAGCTGTCAAAGCATGCCAAGTATTTATGGACTAAGTTAGATGTCTTCAGCGGACATGGTTTGTGGTACCCCAAAACAACTACAATAGTAACATCAAAGATCAATGATCACAGATCACCCTAATAGATATAATAATGAAAAAGTATGAAATATTGTGAGAATTATCACAACATGACACAGAAACATGAAATGGACACATGCTGTTAGAAAAATGGCACTCATTAACTTGCTCAATACAGGATGGCCACAAACCTTCAATATTTAAAAAATCTTATTATCTGTGAAGTGTAATAAAGTGAAGCACAATAAAATGAGATGTGCCTGTAGAGGACTCCAGATTTCTACATGGAATGACTCCTTTCTATTCTTTAGTGTTTTTTTTTCTTTTTTTTTTTAATTATTATTATACTTTAAGTTTTAGGGTACATGTGCACATTTAGGGTACATGTGCACAACGTGCAGGCTTGTTACATATGTATACATGTGCCATGTTGGTGTGCTGCACCCACCAACTTGCCGTCTAGCATTAGGTATATCTCCCAATGCTATCCCTCCCCCCTCCCCCCACCCCACAACAGTCCCCGAAGTGTGATGTTCCCCTTCCTGTGTCCATGTGTTCTCATTGTTCAATTCCCACCTATGAGTGAGAACATGCGGTGTTTGGTTTTTTGTCCTTGCGATAGTTTGCTGAGAATGATGGTTTCCAGTTTCATCCATGTCCCTACAAAGGACATGAACTCTTCATTTTTTATGGCTGCATAGTATTCCATGGTGTATATGTGCCACATTTTCTTAATCCAGTCTGTTGTTGTTGGACATTTGGGTTGGTTCCAAGTCTTTGCTATTGTGAATAGTGCTGCAATAAACATACGTATGCATGTGTCTTTATAGCAGCATGATTGATAATCCTTTGGGTATATACCCAGTAATGGGATGGCTGGGTCAAATGGTATTTCTAGTTCTAGATCCCTGAGGAAACACCACACTGACTTCCACAATGGTTGAACTAGTTTACAGTCCCACCAACAGTGTAAAAGTGTTCCTATTTCTCCACATACTCTCCAGCACCTGTTGTTTCCTGACTTTTTAATGATCGCCATTGTAACTGGCATGAGATGGTATCTCATTGTGGTTTTGATTTGCATTTCTCTGATGGCCAGTGATGATGAGCATATTTCATGTGTTTTTTGGCTGCATAAATGTCTTCTTTTGAGAAGTGTCTGTTCATATCCTTTGCCCACTTTTTGATGGGGTTGTTTGTTTTTTTCTCGTAAATTTGTTTGAGTTCATTGTAGATTCAGGATATTAGCCCTTTGTCAGATGAGTAGGTTGTGAAAATTTTCTCCCATTTTATAGGTTGCCTGTTCACTCTGATGGTAGTTTCTTTTGCTGTGCAGAAGCTCTTTAGTTTAATTAGATCCCATTTGTCAATTTTGGCTTTTATTGCCATTGCTTTTGGTGTTTTAGACATGAAGTCCTTGCCCATGCCTATGTCCTGAATGGTATTGCCTAGGTTTTCTTCTAGGGTTTTTATGGTTTTAGGTCTAACATGTAAGTCTTTAATCCATCTTGAACTAATTTTTGTATAAGGTGTAAGGAAGGGATCCAGTTTCAGCTTTCTACATATGGCTAGCCAGTTTTCCCAGCACCATTTATTAAATAGGGAATCCTTTCCCCGTTGCTTGTTTTTGTCAGGTTTGTCAAAGATCAGATGGTTGTAGATATGTGGCATTATTTCTGACGGCTCTGTTCTGTTCCATTGGTCTATATCTCTGTTTTGGTACCAGTACCATGCTGTTTTGGTTACTGTAGCCTTGTAGTATAGTTTAAAATCAGGTAGCATGATGCCTCCAGCTTTGTTCTTTTGGCTTAGGATTGACTTGGTGATGCAATCTCTTTTTTGGTTCCATATGAACTTGAAAGTTTTTTCCAATTCTGTGAAGAAAGTCATTGGTAGCTTGATTGGGATGGCATTGAATCTATAAATTACCTTGGGCAGTATGGCCATTTTCACGATATTGATTCTTCCTACCCATGAGCATGGAATGTTCTTCCATTTGTTTGTATCCTCTTTATTTCATTGAGCAGTGGTTTGTAGTTCTCCTTGAAGAGGTCCTTCACATCCCTTGTAAAGGTATTTTATTCTCTTTGAAGCAATTGTGAATCGGAGTTCATTGATGATTTGGCTCTCTGTATGTCTGTTATTGGTGTATAAGAATGCTTGTGATTTTTGTACATTGATTTTGTATCCTGAGACTTTGCTGAAGTTGCTTATCAGCTTAAGGAGATTTTGGGCTGAGATGATGGGGTTTTCTAGATATACAATCATGTCATCTGCAAACAGGGACAATTTGACTTTCTCATTTCCTAATTGAATACCCTTTATTTCCTTCTCCTGCCTAATTGCCCTGGCCAGAACTTCCAACACTATGTTGAATAGGAGTGGTGAGAGAGGGCATCCCTGTCTTGTGCCAGTTTTCAAAGGGAATGCTTCCAGTTTTTGCCCATTCAGTATGATATTGGCTGTGGGTTTGTCATAGATAGCTTTTATTATTTTGAGATACGTCCCATCAATACCTAATTTATTGAGAGTTTTTAGCATGAAGGTTGTTGAATTTTGTCAAAGGCCTTTACTGCATCTATTGAGATAATCATGTGGTTTTTGTCTTTGGTTCTCTTTATATGCTGGATTACATTTATTGATTTGCGTATGTTGAACCAGCCTTGCATCCCAGGGATGAAGCCCACTTGATCATGGTGGATAAGCTTTTGATGTGCTGCTGGATTTGGTTTGCCAGTATTTTATTGAGGATTTTTGCATCAATGTTCATCAAGGATATTGGTCTAAAATTCTCTTTTTTGGTTGTGTCTCTGCCCGGCTTTGGTATCAGGATGATGCTGGCCTCATAAAATGAGTTAGGGAGGATTCCCTCTTTTTCTATTGATTGGAATAGTTTCAGAAGGAACGGTAGCAGTTCCTCCTTGTACCTCTGGTAGAATTCAGCTGTGAATCCATCTGGTCCTGGACTTTTTTTGGTTGGTAAGCTATTGATCATTGCCATAATTTCAGAGCCTGTTATTGGTCTATTCAGAGATTCAACTTCTTCCTGGTTTAGTCTTGGGAGGGTGTATGTGTTGAGGAATTTATCCATTTCTTCTAGATTTTCTAGTTTATTTACGTAGAGGTGTTTGTAGTATTCTCTGATGGTAGTTTGTATTTCTGTGGGATCAGTGGTGATATCCCCTTTATCTTTTTTATTGCGTCTATTTGATTCTTCTCTCTTTCCTTCTTTATTAGTCTTGCTAGTGGTCTATTGATTTTGTTGATCTTTTCAAAAAACCAGCTCCTGGATTCATTAATGTTTTGAAGGGTTTTTTGTCTCTCTATTTCATTCAGTTCTGCTCTGATTTTAGTTATTTCTGGCCTTCTGCTAGCTTTTGAATGTGTTTGCTCTTGCTTTTCTAGTTCTTTTAATTGTGATGTTAGGGTGTCAATTTTGGATCTTTCCTGCTTTCTCTTGTGGGCATTTAGTGCTATAAATTTCCCTCTACACAATGCTTTGAATGTGTCCCAGAGATTCTGGTATGTTGTGTCTTTGTTCTCATTGGTTTCAAAGAACATCTTTATTCTGCCTTCATTTTGTTATGTACCCAGTAGTCATTCAGGAGCAGGTTGTTCAGTTTCCATGTAGTTGAGCGGTTTTGAGTGAGTTTCTTAATCTTGAGTTCTAGTTTGATTGCACTGTGGTCTGAGAGACAGTTTGTTATAATGTCTGATCTTTTACATTTGCTGAGGAGAGCTTTACTTCCAACTACGTGGTCAATTTTGGAATAGGTGAGGTGTGGTGCTGAAAAAAATGTATATTCTGTTGATTTGGGGTGGAGAGTTCTGTAGATGTCGATTAGGTCCACTTGGTGCAGAGCTGAGTTCAGTTCCTGGGTATCCTTGTTGACTTTCTGTCTCGTGGATCTGCCTAATGTTGACAGTGGGGTGTTAAAGTCTCCCATTATTATTGTGTGGGAGTCTAAGTCTCTTTGTAGGTCACTCAGGACTTGCTTTATGAATCTGGATGCTCCTGTATTGGGTGCATATATATTTAGGATAGTTAGCTCTTCTTTTTGAATTGATCCCTTTACGATTATGTAATGGCCTTCTTTGTCTCTTTTGATCTTTGTTGGTTTAAAGTCTGTTTTATCCGAGACTAGGATTGCAACCCCTGCGTTTTTTTGTTTTCCATTTGCTTGGTAGATCTTCCTCCATCCTTTTATTTTGAGCCTATGTGTGTCTCTGCAAGTGAGATGGATTTCCTGAATACAGCACAGTGATGGGTCTTGACTCTTTATCCAATTTGCCAGTCTGTGTCTTTTAATTGGAGCATTTAGTCCATTTACATTTAAAGTTAATATTGTTATGTGTGAATTTGATCCTGTCATTATGATGTTAGCTGGTTATTTTGCTCGTTAGTTGATGCAGTTTCTTCCTAGCCTTGATGGTCTTTACAATTTGGCATGTTTTTGCAGTGGCTGGTAGCGGTTGTTCCTTTCCATGTTTAGTGCTTCCTTCAGGAGCTCTTTTAGGGCAGGCCTGGTGGTGACAAAATCTCTCAGCATTTGCTTGTCTGTAAAGTATTTTATTTCTCCTTCACTTATGAAGCTTAGTTTGGCTGGATATGAAATTCTGGGTTGAAAATTCTTTTCTTTAAGAATGTTGAATATTGGCCCCCACTCTCTTCTGGCTTGTAGAGTTTCTGTGGAGAGATCTGCTGTTAGTCTGATGGGCTTCCCTTTGTGGGTAACCCGACCTTTCTCTCTGGCTGCCCTTAACATTTTTTCCTTCATTTCAACTTTGGTGAATCTGACAATTAAGTGTCTTGGTGTTGCTCTTCTTGAGGAGTATCTTTGTGGCGTTCTCTGTATTTACTGAATCTGAATGTTGGCCTGCCTTGCTAGATTGGGGAAGTTCTCCTGGATAATATCCTGCAGAGTGTTTTCCAACTTGGTTCCATTCTCCCCGTCACTTTCACATACACCAATCAGAAGTAGATTTGGTCTTTTCACATAGTCCCATATTTCTTGGAGGCTTTGTTCGTTTCTTTTTATTCTTTTTTCTCTAAACTTCCCTTCTCGCTTCATTTCATTCATTTCATCTTCCATCACTGATACCCTTTCTTCCAGTTGATCGCATCAGCTCCTGAGGCTTCTGCATTCTTCACGTAGTTCTTGAGCCTTGGCTTTCAGCTCCATCAGCTCCTTTAAGGACGAGTATTTAAAACTGAACATTGTATGATAAGTCTTTAACCAGACCTTTGGGTGTGGCTCAAAAAATACCATAAGTACACATAGCATTTATTCATTTGTTTTTAGCTCTTTAGAGGTTACTGTTTGCAAGTTTTTGACCCATTGGTTATGTCTTTATGTATTAATATCAAATATTATGAGCCTATTATGTGTTGGGTACTTTGCATATATCCATCCTTCCTAAATCCACACATCATAGTTATTATTATTCCTATGTAGTGGATATGTCACAGACAGGGGTGCTAAAGATGTCATATATATATTTTTTTAATCAAATCAATCTGACTCCGTGTACCCCTGTCCCACTAAGTCAATCTGTCATCATTAGGATTCTCTTTCCAACCCCTTCCCTATGATAGTACAAATGTCGGAAGGGTCTTACTCAAACAGAGGCTTTGGAGAAAGCCATTTGGTTTTCTGCCCATCCTGGTCACAGCTCATTTGCTCATTGTATAAGTCCACATTTTTTTTTCTTTTCGAGACAGTGTCTTGCTCTGTTGTCTAGGCTGCAGTGCAGTGGCACCATCTGGGCGTACTGCAACCTCTGCCTTTCGAGTTCAAGTGATTCTCCTGCCTCAGCCTCCTGAGTAGCTGGGATTACAGGCACACACCACCATGCCTAGCTAATTTTTGTATTTTTAGTAGAGGTGGGGTTTCGACATGTTGGCCAGGCTGATCTTGAACTCCTGGCCTCAAGTAATCCCCCTGCCTTGGCCTCCCAAAAGGCTGGGATTACAGGCCTGAGCCACTGCCCCTGGCCCTGTATGTTTTTTTTTTTTTCTTTTTTTTTTTTAAGGCATCCTTGTCAAGACTGAGAACAAAAGTACTTAGGGTCACTTCTCTCTGTGATATCATCCAGCCATCACCTTTTTTTACACTGCAGTCTCCTAGGGATCCTGCCAGGTTAGTTTTTTTTATGAAAACAAAGCCAAGAAGAAAAGCTGTCTTCAGGTATCATAAATAAGGTGAGGGAGGCCTTGAAACCTTCTTTGAATGGGAAGAATAAAATGCAATGATAAAACAAAAAAGTGAAAGCATCTTGCCACATCCCATTTAGAGTAGTTACTCTACCCTTTTAGAGTCATCAGACAATTTGCCAAAGTCATTGTGGTGGGCAGGACAATGATTTCCCAAAGATGTCCACATCCTAATACCCAGAAGCTGTGATTGTTACTTTACGTGACATGAAGGAACTTGTGGATGTGCTTAATGGAAGAATATCCTGGATCATTTGAGTGGATTCAATTTCATCTCATGAGTTCTTAAAAGTAGAAGATGGGTCAGATATAAGTGAGGACTAGACCATCCATGTGGCTGGCTTTGAAGATGGAGGGAGGGAGCTATGAGTCAAAGAATGTGGCAGCCTCCAGAAGCTGTGAACAGCCCTTAGCTACAGTCAACAAGAAAACTGGGACCTACAACCACAAAGAACTGAGCTCTGCCAATGATCTGAATGAGGAAGAAAATGGATCCTCCCCTTGAAGTTCCAGAAAATAAAATAGCTTTGCCAATACCTTAATTTTAGCTCAGTGAGTCTGTAGGTATGGCCCAAAGAACTGTAAGATTATACATTTGTGTTGTTTAAACCATGGAGTTTGTGATAATTTGTTATGGCAGCCATAGCTAATACAGTCACAAAGTTAGTAAAAGCCAAGCTCGCACTCCAGATCGGTCATAGTCTAAAGTCCATGCTCTCTGTATGACATTATATTTCATCTATTTAAAGTATTCCCAGGGCCAGTGCTATCCTACACAAAGTTAAATTAGAAAATGGAAGATGTGGATTTTTTTCTTCTGAAAATGACCTATTGTTGTAAAAGCAATAGATCTTATTCAAAGAGTCAGATAATACATACAAATACAAAAAGAAAGTAAAGTAAAAGCCCCAAGAAATCCAGAATCTAAAAATCAGTGCTAACATTATTTTCATAAACATCCTTCCAGAAAATTTGCTTCACGTGTATGTACGATAAATATTTATATTTTTATATGTTTCTGTAATTGCTTTTTTGATGAGACAATTTTTCATAGATATCATTGTGCCAGTAAATATAGATCAACACCATTATTTTAGTTGACTGAGTAATATTCTATTGTACAGATGTTTCATAATTGATTTAAGCAATTCTTATAAATGGACACTAATGTTGTTTCCAATATTTAGCTCTTATAAACAAAACTGTGATTAATGTCTTTTTGTCTTACCTTTCTTGTTTGAACATCACATTAAGATAATTCCAAAATGGGGATATTCACAGTATGCATAAATTACACTTTTATATATTTTGAGAAAACTGACTTCCAGGCAGGTTTTATAATTTACATTCTCAGCAATACTGTGTAAGTGAGTCAGTGTTTTCACAAACTCATCAATGTTAGGTTCTGTTAATCTTTGCGATGTTTGTCTACCTGATAAGCAAATAAATGATAAATTATTATTATTTTTTGACTTCTTTGTTATTTAGCAATTGACTTTAAAAATGTTTATTGGTTATTTGTGTGTCTTCCTTTGTGGGCTTCTTATGAGAAATTGATATAACATAGTGTAAAAGTGTAGACTTTTTTGAATGACTGTTTCATCATTTGCTAGTTGTGCAATTTGACACACTAAAGTTATTTAAACGATCTGAGCCTTAGTTTTTTGACCTATGATATCGGCATAATATTATTTACTTCCTAAAGTTACTGAAAAAATGAAAATAGATAATTTAGGTAAAACTCTTAGCCTGGGATGTAATGAGGTGTTTCATAAATATTTGTTATTGTTAATGAGATCTTTTGTCTTATACATTTTAATTTGCAAAAATTTAAGAGCTCTTTAATTCTTAAGGCTATTTATCCTTTGACATTAATGTTGCAAAATGTTTTGTGTGAGTATATTTTAAACCACTAGAAATAGAGAAGAAAAAACTTGTATAGTCATAGAAATACAGGTACTTAAACAAATTCTTTCAAAAAAATGAATCAGTGGCCAGCCATGGTGGCTCACACCTATAATCCCAGCACTTTGGGAGGCTGAGGTGGATCACCTGAGGTCAGGAGTTCAAGACCAGCCTGGCCAATATGGTGAAACCCCGTCTCTACTAAAAATACAAAAATTAGCCGGGTGCGGTGGTGTGTGCCTGTAGTCCCAGCTACTTGAGAGGCTGAGGCGGGAGAATCACATGAACCTGGGAGGCGGAGGTTGCACTGAGCCGAGATTGTGCCATTGTACTCCAGCCTGGGTGACAGAGTGAGACTCTGTCTCAAAAAAAAAAAAAATCAGTGTATTACGGCACCAATCTAGTCCTACAGAAGGCATTTCATCTAAAAAAAACTGTAGAGAATCTCCAAAAGGTTCAGCTGTACTTGGCTGTTCTGATTTCTATGTTGTCATTTGCCAATGGCTGAGGTTGTTGAATCTCAGGGACTGGCTATAGCTGTAGGGTTTTTAGCTTATAACAAAGACAGGAGTGGGGAACTCACGGTTAATTTCAGCCTCCATTTGGCCAGTGCTTCCTTTGCTGGCAAGGCCCTAACCAACTTTTCCATACCTGGTGTTGGGGGCTGCACACTGTCATCACTTAATTTTGTTTGTTTGTTTTTTGAGACAGGGTCTGCTTTGTTGTCCAAGCTGGAGTGCAGTGGCGTGATCATAGTTCACTGTGGCTTCAACCTCCTGGGCTCAAGTGGTTTTCCTGCCTCAGCCTCTTAAGTAGCTGGGACTACAGGAGCATGCCGCCACACCTGGCTAATTTTAAATTTTTTTGTAGAGACAGGGTCTTGCCATGTTGCCCAGGCTTGTCTTGAACTCCTGGGCTCAAGCTATCCTCCCAATTTGGCTTTCCAAAATGCTGGCATTATAGGCTTGAGCCACTGCACCCGGCCACTGACGTCACTTAAGCGCTACTTAAAAATCATCCCTTACTCTTGCTCTTCCCTGGCCTCATGAGACACTTTCATGAGCATTGATATCGCAGCACTAAATTCTAGGTTTTTAGTAGGGAGGAGCCCTGCCTTTGACGGCCCCTCCCTCAGCCATACAGAGAGGCGCGGAGTTCTGGTTAACATTTATTTCTCTTTGCTACCATCTGGCTCCCTCTCCTTCCTCAGAGGGGTCAATGGCCTGCCCCCTTCCCTTGCTCAGACTTTTCCTGGAATGATCAGCTTTCTTCCCCTTAACTGACTGATTTGGGGCCCAGCCCGCCAGCTGCTGACAGAGGAGTGATTTGTTGATTCATGTTAACAACTATTAATAGGGCTCATCATTTCCCAGGAAACCAATAGGATGATGCTCCTCCTTGTCTTCTGTTTTGGGGGCACAGCTGATTCCTCCTCACCACATTAAGTGGCAGCCGTTTCAATCATATTGATGCCTACCATTCAAAGTGATGCCTCTGATGTTTTGCGTGGTAACAAATTAAATATGGGAGCTGAAATCCTGAACATGCCATTTACCTATTTTCAGGCACAGGGTGGAGCTTACTGCAAAGAGTGAGGTGCTGGGGTTTTTTATTTTGAGGCATAGATGTGTGCATATAGTCTGTTTGTGTGGAGTTTCACAGATAAGTGTCTATGTGTCTGACTTCTGCCTGGGTATGCATTTTTTTCCCCCTTGTCAGTTACTAAAGTCTGAATTTCTCTCTTTATCACTAACTTTAAAATATATCCCCAGTGTTTCAGTGGAGTTAATCAGAGGACCTTATGATTTCTGGTGATTTCTGGACTCTTCCAGAAGAATGCTGCACTGTTTTAAGTGTATGCACTGGGTGGGTAGGACTGTCAGGCAGGTGAGTGAGAACAGGAAATTAACATGGACATGGGAGAAGAAAACATAAGATTCAAGATTAATTACCTCTGACTGGGCAAAGTGGCTCATGCCTGTAATCTCAGCACTTTGGGAAGCTGAGGAGGTAGAATTGCTTGAGGCTAGGAGTTCAAGGCCAGTCTGGGCAACATAGCAAGACCCTGTCTGTACTAAAAATATAAAAATTACCCGAGCTTGGTGGCACATGCCTATAGTCCTAGCTACTAGGGAAGCTGGGGTGGGAGGATTGCTTGAGCCCAGGAGTTTGAGGTTGCAGTGAGCTATGATTGCAACAGTGCACTCCAGCCTGGGTGACAGCATGAGACCCTGTCTCTTACAAAAAAAAAGATCAGTTACCTCCAAAAGGAGATGGGATTAACATGAAGCAAGTCACCTCGTGGATAGCATTGCAGCAGGAACTGGTGGGACATTGGACTAATGTGGTTTGCCTGTTGTTTCTTTTTTATTAAAAACAAAACAAAACAAAAAAACCACTGTTCTTTCCATCCACCCTGGCCAGCATGCTTGTAAGATGGGACATTGTTGGTGGATCTTCTCTTCTGACACTGTGACTCCTCAGGTCTCCCGCTGGGGTCCTGAGCCCCATGACTGCTGACCGTGACTGCTGTGTGGAAGCTGGTGGTCCTGCCCTGGGATGTGCATGTCTTTCTGTGTGTCTGCTGGAGGATGCTTGCTTGTCTGTGTGTGCATGTGTATTTCTGTGTAGGTGCATTTCAGAATGTTTGCAGCTTGTCTGGGAGTTGCTGATTTGCCAAGTGTGGTGCAAAGCCACAGAGGGAGAAAAAACTTTCCTAAGGACAGATTTGTAATGGCTTCACAAAGTGGATGGAAGTCAAATAAGACAGCCAGGAGAAGCAGCTTATGCATTGATTGCTTCCTGCGCACCACTTAAGTGAGTTGGCAGCCCGAGCTTCAGTGAGTGGTGCACCTGATTGATTGATTTAACATTACAGCCTCCAAAAATTGTGGAGGAGCTGTAATTGTTGCTGGAGGTGGCTGTCAGCTTCACGCTGAGTGAGTGACTGGTGTTTGAGAGATCCCTGGGGCCCTCTCGCTGGCCCTGTGTGAGGGGCTCCCTCCATGCTTCGCTGGCACTGCTGTTGCTTGGCGGACCCCTCGGCGACCACTTGGTTTAAGGGCTTTGGAGGCTAATGTGCAGGCAACACACACACAAACACACGTGGGTGCACACAGTCACACACAGGCACAGGCACATCACATCTGTTTGGGTTTCTGTTAAAATGACCTGGAAAATGGTCTCATTAGACATTTACCTTTACTGCCTCTTACCTTTATTTCCCTGGCCATAGGGCAATTGGGTCATAGGGTCACAGGGAAGTTAGGTCAAGCCCCAGACTTGAGCACAGCAAGATGATGACTTTTTGTTGTTGTTGTTGTTTTGTTTGTTTGTTTTTGAGACAAAGTCTCACTCTGTTGTCCAGGCTGGAGTGCAGTGGCATGATCACAGCTCACTGTATCCTCGACCTCCCCAGGCTCAGGTGATCCTCCCATCTCAGCCTCCCGAGTAGCTGGAACCACAGATGCATACCTCCGTGCTTGGCAAATTTTTAACTTTTTTGCAGAGATGGGGTCTCGACATGTTGCCCAGGCTGATCTCAAACTCCTGGGCTCAAGTAACTCTCCTGCCTTCCAAAATGCTGGGATTATAGGCGTGAACCACTGGCCCTGACTAGATCTTGGCCATCTGTATAGTTTGGCATATTTGGAGTTGACTCACAGTGTAGGAGCAAGGATAAGGACACCATTTGTTTAGCTATCTATTTATTTATTTGAGCAGAGTCATAGAAAGAGTCCCTGACACAGGGACTAGAAGGGAGGGAGCAAAGGGTGTTCCACACAAAGGAATGAGGTGCAGACAATCAGGAAGTGTGTGCACCTGCAGAGGACCTTACAGGACAGGTAAAGGTGGGGCAGTCAAGGAAGCCACTTTGAATTGTTCCTGGAGCCCCACTGTTTTCTCAGGAAGTAGCTGCTGAGTAATGTGAATCCAAGACCACTGGCCCTTAAACTCCCTAAGCTGATGAATGATATTCCATTATTTTGCCTCTTGGTTTAGGGTTTTGGATACTTTAAAATTCAAATATCCCTGGGGGAGGAAGTATTTTCATTTTTTTCCCCACTCATTTACACCTTTCTGGAAGTTGGCTTATTAGATCTTCTCCCTAGAACATGTTTTGAGTGGGTGAGGGCAAGTGGGTGGTGGATGTAAGGAGGAATCTGCAGGAGTGAATTAGCTTGTTCTCTAAGGGGATTGATGAGGTAATTCATCATCTAACTGACTATATCTTCTGGTAACTATGGCTGTTCTCTAGAGTGGTAGCAAATGTGGTTGGGTGGACATGGGATGGATGACCACTCATAAAGAGTAACCAGCCAGACATGGTGGCTCATGTCCATAATCCCAACACTTTGGAAGGCTTAGGCAGGAGGATTGCTGGAGTCCAGGAGTTCAAGATCAGCTTGAGCAACAAAGCAAGACCCCATCTCTACGAAAAATTTACAAATTAGCTGGGCACAGTGGTTCGGGCCTGTAGTCCCAGCTACTTGGGAGGCTGAGGTGGGAAGATCCCTTGAGCTGTGATCCCAGGAGTTTTTGAGGCTGCAGTGCGCTGTGATCGCACCTCTTCACTCCAACCTGGGTGACAGAATGAGACCCTGTTTCAAAAAAAAAAAGTAACAAAATACATGTATGCTTCCTTTAATCTCAATTTCTTTTGGATTTGTTGCATTGCATGGGGAAACTGAGGGCCTAGGAAATGCTTCAGAATGATTCTTGCTAAACATGGCCTGAACAATTTCAGGCCAATGACACTGATAAATGACACATTCCTCAGGGCAGGCTCATCCTCAGGGCAGGGTCCCGGGCCGTGTGTGAGATGCGTGGTCTGTGCTTTCAGCACGTCATCTACTCCCACTCCTCCTGCTTTGCCACTTTCCTGCAAACCCCTGATCTTCTCTAAACCTCCTCCAGTGGCAGCCTTCCCTACTTCCCTAGCTAATGTGATAGCAATTTCATCCTTTAAGTCGCTCAGGACCAATACCTGGACACTCACTGCTTCAGAAGGTCCTGGGATATATACCTCCAGAGGACCTTGGGGTTCTACCCTCAGCCTCCAGACACACGGTGTCTGAAAATCACACCTCCAACATGGTCACCATGATTCATCTACTGTCAGCTCTTGCCTGGATCACTACAAAGTCTTCTGAGAAGCTCTCCTGCTTCTTCCACCCTTGTCTCCATAGACTAGCATCTGTTCTTAGCACCACAGACAAAGTGATCCGTGTAAATCATAATCCAGGTTGTGCCACTTCTCTGGCTCCCAACCTAGCAACAGCTCCCTATTTCAAGGGTGAAACCAGACTTAGAGTGGCCCACGAGGCCCTACACGATTGAACCCTTAAACCCTTGCTTCTCCTTCCTTCCATTCGATTCTCCTTGCACATTCAGCTCCCTGTTCTTCCTGGAGCAGCTCAGGATGTGTTTGTATGCTCCTACCGTGGATCCTTTGCTCTAGCTGTACCCTTCGCCTAGAAATTTCTCCATCGACATCTGCTTGGCTCCCTCCCTCACTCCTTCCACTCCACTCACATGCCATCTTCTTGGTTAGCATTTCCCTGACCATCCTATTTAAGACGGAATCTCCCCTCCTATCCCCACCCCTACCATGCCTCACCATTTCTTTCTCTTTCTTTTCTTTTTCTTTTTTCTTTTCTCTTCTCTTCTCTTCTTTTCTCTTTCTTTCTTTCTGTCTTTCTTTCTTTCTCTCTCTTTCTTTTCCTTCCTTCCTTCTTTCCTTCTTCTTCTTCTTTTTTTTTTTTCCAGCGTCTCTCTCTCTCTGTTGCCCAGGCTGGAGTGCAGTGCTGCGATCTGGGCTCACTGCAACTTCCACTTCCTGGGTTCAAGCAATTCTCCTGCCTCAGCCTCCCGAGTAGCTGGGATTACAGGTGCCCATCACCACGCCTGGGTATTTTTTTTTTTTGTATTTTTAGTAGAAACAGGGTTTCACCATGTTGGCCAGGCTGGTCTCGAACTCCTGGCCTCAAGTGATTTGCCTGCCTCGGCCTCCCAAAGTGTTGGAATTACAGGCATGAGCCACCATGCTATGGAATGTGTTACTTTTTAATGCATAACTTACCTAATTAGTATGTTAATATTTCATTATCCGTCTCCTTCCACCAGAATGGAAGTTCTATGAACTCCTCCTTTGGTTAGTAATGTATTCTGAATACCTCGAAGAGCAGTTGGCATACCATAGGTGCTCAGTGTGTATTTGTTACTTGCTTTTTGATGATTCTCTCTCTTAGTTAGCTGCCTCTGTCTTAAAAAATTTTCATGTGGCCGGGCGCAATGGCTCACACCTGTAACCCTGGCACCTTGGGAGGCTGAGGCAGGCAGATCTCTTGAGCCTGGGGGTTCAAGACCAGCCTAAGCGACATAGTGATACCTAGTCTCTATAAAATATTAAAAAAAAAATTAGCTGGGCATGGTGACACACACCTCTAGTCCCAGCTACTCATCAGGCTGAGGTGGAAGGATTACTTGAACCCAGGAGTTTGAGGCTGTGTTGAGCCACAATTGTGCCACTGCATTCAAGCCTGGGCAATAGAGTGAGACCCTGTCTCAGAAAAAAAAAAAAAATTACCATTTGACTCTCAGGTTTCTAGCAGGCCATGGGGCAGAGAGTTTTCAATGGTGAAAGAAAGAGCTTATATCTCAAATAGGTAGCATGAGTGGTGTGGTCTGGGCTAGCCCTGTCTGCTTCAGAACAGCAGCCAAGAATCCTCATCCCCAGTCTGTGCCCCAAATTCTATATGCTATTTTTCTATTACTAATTAAACAAACATGGGCTGTATGTCTCTATGTATTACTTCATTTTAACCAATGCCACATTTCTGTCTGGAAGATATTATCATCCTCATTTTATAGATAGGATCCCCAAGGGCCAGAGAAACCAAGTAACTTGCCCAAGTGTGACTGCTAGCAGGTGACCAAGACTGTGATAGGGATTACAGTTCATATCTTTTCAGTCCAAGTTTAATGCTCTTAAAAAAAAAAGCCCCCCTTTTCTTTTCTTTAAGAGACAGGGTCTTGCTCTGTCGCTCAGGCTAGAATGCAGTGGTGTGATCATAGGTCACTATAACTTCAAACTCCTGCTTTGGTCTCTTGGGAATCCTCCTGCTTTGTTCTCTTGGGAAGCTAGGACTACAGGTGTGCACTACTATGCCTGATGATTTTTAAATTTTTTTTGTGGGGATAGGGTCTTGCCACATTGCCCAGGCTGGTCTCCAACTCCTGGCCTCAAGTGATCCTCCCACCTCAGCCTCCCAAAGTACTTGGATTACAGGTGTGAGCCAATGTGCCTGGCCAAGACTTCATTTTTTAGGCCAGTTGTAGGTTCATAGCAAAATTGAGTGGAAAGTAGTGAGAGTTCCCATAGTCATTGCCCACCCACAACCTCCCCTATTATCACCATCCTTCACCAGAATGGTGCCTGTTACAATGGATGAACCTAACTATCATTATTGCCCAGAGTCCATAGTTTACCTAAGGGCTTGCTCTTGGTGTCGTTCATTCTATGGTTTTTGACAAATGTACAATGATATCTATTAATCACTGTAGTATCATACGGGGTAGTCTCACTGTCCTAAAAATCCTCTGTGCTCTGCCTATTCATCCTCCCGCTGCCCTAACCCTGGGAAACCACTGAGCTTTTTGCTGTCTCCATAGCTTTTCCTTTTTCAGAAAGTGATATAGTTGGAATCCTACAGTACATGGGCTTTTCAGATTCACTTTCTTCACTTAGTCATATGCATTTAGTGCACATTTTAATACATCAGATTCCTCTTGGGTTCAAAGAAATTACCCTCTATGACCCAGAGTCAGAATGCAATTAACCATTCCTAATTTTGTTATTGTAATGTATTTGTCTAGTGGACATTTATAAGATGCCTAATTATAGCTGATTGTGCACATATAATATGATTCCATTCATTCTGATTTCCTTCCCCCAGCCCTCAACCTTTTGTAAAGATGGACCCCCTCCTAAGCCCATAGCAAAAGAACTCTGAGCTGGTGACTCCCTTATAAGTAATGAGGGGTAAATGTAAGATAAACAAGATGGGGAAAAGAAGCCAGAGAGAGGGAGGGGAGTGCAGACACAGGGACATGGTGACCTCCGATTATCCAAAGCTGTTTCTCTAACACATTTTTGTGCTATGACCGCCTGCTGTCTACAATCTGCACGCTGCCTTCACTCCTCCTAATTAAAGCCAGCAGGCTAGGATGGAAAAAAATAATCTCAAGCCAAGAGGGTGGGGTAGGGAGAAAGCAATAGCTTCTTTTCTTTTTTGGGGGGAGATTCTGAGCTTGTTCTAGGCTAGGTGAAGCTGCCCCAAAGGACATACCCAGGAAATTAAAACCCAGGGTTGTCAAAGGTATCATTTGAATTTACTGCATTCCATTTTGCTGAGGCCTCTGGACTGTGGCTCAGCATGCTGGAAGAAAGGGAATGACAGATGAGGGAAACTTAGACGTTGTCAGGCTGACATGAGACATGAGAGTCCGCATGACTCTCTCCTGGCCCTAACTATTCATGGAGTCTCAATGGGAGGAAATAGGTATTCAGAAATGACTACATTTGCCATTACTCTCCTTTTTTTTTGTCTACTAGACTACTAGGTGGTCTCAAATTTTGGTGGACATCGAATCACCTGTGTATTAGTACATTCTCTCATTGCTATAAAGAACTACCTGAAACTGGGTAATTTATAAAGAGAAGAGGTGTAATTGACTCACAGTTCTGCAGGCTGTACAGGAGGCCTGGCTGAGGAGGCCTCAGGAAACTTACAATTATGGCGCAAAGGTGAAGGGGACGCAAGCACATCTTCATGTGGTGGCAGGAGAGAGAATGAAGGGGTAAGTGCTAGACACTTTTAAACAACCAGATCTTGTGACAACTCACTCACTATTATAAGAACAGCAAGGGGGATATCTGCCCCTATGAGTCAATCACCTCCCACCAGGTCCCTCTCACAACACTGGGGATTATAATTCAACATGAGATTTGGGTAGGGACACAGACCCAAACCATATCAACCTGGAAGACTGATTAAAACACAAATAATCAGGATCCACCCCAGAGTTCTTTTTTTTTTTTTTTTTTTTTTTTTTTTTTTTTTTTTTTGAGATGGAGTCTTACTTAGTCACCCAGGCTGGAGTGCAATGACACGATCTCAGCTCACTGCAACCTCCGCCTCCTGTGTTCAAGCGATTCTCCTGCCTCAGCCTCCCGAATAGCCGGGATTACAGGCACCTGCCATCATGCCCGGCTAAGTTTTGTATTTTTGTAGAGACGGGGCTTCACCGTGTTGGCCAGGCTGGTCTTGATCAGGTCTGAGGTCTGAGGTCAAGATCTCCTGACCTCAGGTGATCCACTCGCCGTGGCTTCCCAAAGTGCTGGGATTACAGGCATGAGCCACCACACCTGGCTTCACCCCAGGGTTTCTGATTCAGTAGAATCAGGGTGGGTTTCAAGAATGTGCATTTCTAACAAGTTCCTGGGCGATGCTGATGCTGGTGGTCTGGGACCACACTTTGAGAACCAGTGCTCTAAACCAGCTGTTCCCAAACTTTCACATGTATGGGCCTTCAGAATCATCCATTATTTGATTTTCTCGATTGGCATTAGCTCACAAACATGGAGCTGACATGTACTTGCAAGAGAGAGAAGGTTTTCAGTGCAGGGCATTCTGAGCTAACATGATCCCTCTGTCAGCAGGCAGTGATACTTCTATCCACAAAGGCCTGGGTGAAGGAGTTAAGCTCCTTTTAAATCATGTTGGACTGGGCCAGGCATGGTGGCCCATGCCTATAGTTCCAGCTACTCAGGAGGCTGAGGCAGGAGAATGGCTTGAGCCCAGGAGTTTTGGGCTGTAGTGCACTATGCCAGTTGGGTGCCCATACTAAGTTTGACATCAATATGGTGACCTCCCAGGAGTGGTGGGCCACCAGGTTGCCTAAGGAAGGGTGAACTGGCTCAAGCTGAAAACGGAGCAGGTGAAAACTCCCACGCTGATCAGTAGTGGGATCACATCTGTAAATAGCCACTGCACCCCAGCCTGGACAAGCCACAAAAAAACAAAAAAACACAAAATGTTGGATTGGGCAATGAGGAGGTTGGGGTTGAACCTATTTCCACTATGGGATAGCAGAAAGAGCATATGTGGTTTGAGAGTTAGTCAGGCATGTTCCATTCAATTCCTAGCTCTGCCTCTTATGGTGGATTAGCTTTGAATGTGTTATTTAACTCATTTGTGCTTCCATTTCCTATCTGTAAATTTTATTTATTCCACAAACATTTATTAAGCACATGCTGTCTTTCCAGCTTCTGGGGATACAGTGGACACAGTCTCTGCCTCATGGAACTTATACTGTGGTCCCAGCTTCTTGGTAGGCTTAGGCAAGAGGATTGCTTGAGCCCAGGAGTTTGAGGCTGCAGTGAGCCACGATTGTACCGTTGCACTCCAGCCTGGGTGACAGCGTGAGACCTTGTCTCAAAAACAAAGAAATAAACAAACAAATCCTCCCTGCATTTGTATCCCCTAAATCTACAAAAAACAAACAAACAAAAACAAAAAAACTAAAAGTACCTAAAAAAAAAGAATGTCTTACCATAATTTATGAGATTTTAAGTGAATGGTTTGTCTTTTCTCCCTGAGCTGTTCATGGTATCATCTCTAAGGTATAAATGACACATCATTTGACTCTTTCCTTTGACCAGATTTGATGGAGAGAACAAGGTAAAAGCATAAGGGCCAGTTGAGGGGAAGGTGGAAGAAGAAAACAATTCCATACTTTGCACCCTCGTAGGGAAAGGGCATGGATTTTGCTGCAGACAGGCTCAAGATTGAATTCTAGTAACTCCACTTAAACTTTGTGCAAATTGTTTAAGCTGTCTTTGTCATCCATGAAATGAAAATACCACTACTACTAATACCTATTTTGTAGGCTAGGAATGGTGGTTCATGTCCGCAATCCCAGCACTTTGAGAGGTTGAGGCGGGAGGATCACTTGAGATCAGGAGTTGAAGACCAGCCTGGCCAACTGTGTCTACAAAACCCTGTGTCTACAAAAAATACAAAAATTAGCTGGGCGTGGTGGCAGGTGCCTGTAATCCCAGCTACTCAGGAGGCTGAGGTAAGAGACTCACTTGAATTTGACAGGTGGAGGTTGCAGTGAGCTGAGATCATGCCATTGCACAATCTGGGTGACAGAGTGAGACCCTTTTCTCCAAAATACACCCCAAAAAACAAAAAGCCCAAAAACCTATTTTACAAAGCTATAGTAGAAGAATGAACAAGTTCTGGTCTGAAGTATCTACTCAATAAATACTTATTATTTGGCATGTCGTTTAGTGCCTTTTTCTTACCACTTTCCTCTCTGTTGATTCCTCTCTGCTCAGGTGAGAAATTTCTCTGCTGTCTGGGCTTCACCTTTTAGGGAAGAAAGATATAAGATATTATGCTAATTTGCATTAAGGTTTGGGGCACAATAAGTCACATGGTACCTTTCCCATGAATGTTGCATTTTAAAAGAGAGTATCCCATGGAGAAGGCAATGTTTAACACGCAAGCTGGAATTTCAGGGTTCTACAGCAAAACTAATTTGAAGTGATGGTGGGCAGAGGAGCTCTACTAGTATTGGTCAAAACACCTCTCAAGATCACCAATTTCGTTCTCATTCCTGGATCCTAGGAGGTGGGTATTTGCATTGTCTTTAATTGCCATGCTCATAGGGTCGAGGGAGGCCTTTTTATCTGGGGAGTCAGGCAGGCAAAACACTTCCTGGGCCTTAACAGGTTTTATTAGTTTCTGTCCAGTCATTTGGTGGTGGTGATGGTGCTGCTGGAGGTAGTATGTGTATGCGTGTGGATTTATAGTTGTTTATTACTCTAGTGGTAGAAATGGGGGCTATGGGCCATGGTGAAGTGGTCGGGCAGGGAAGGAGCCAGAAAGGAAACATTTGGGCTGTCCTTGAATGAAGAACTGGAGTCCAGCAGGCTGGAAGGACATTTCGGGCAGAAGGAGGAGCATGAACAAAGGCATTTACTAAGAAAGCATCCCTTGGGATGGAGGGGAGGGCTGGAGTGTCTGTAAAGCTGCTGGCCTCTGGCCCTGGGGGGGTTCCCATCCCCACCCTGTCCATTTCATGGCCTTCCAAACCAGTGCGCAGTTAGCAATTCATTGTCTTGAAGGACAAACACATTGCCCTTTCTTTACTTCAATGCTGCATTCTTTAGGTGTCGGGTCCCACACAGCCAAGGCTTGGGGACTCTGTCCACGCATGCCTTTTTGAGAGGCAAACGTAACCTTTTTGGTCTCTGGGTGACTAACCTCTGTGATTGTTTTGCTCATTTGCTATAAATGACTATCTCTACCACTTGGTTAATTATGTGATTACAGCAGCCAGTGACAAGGAGAAAATTAAAAATCCATGCTGCATTTTCTATAACACTTTTGCTCTATGCAAAAGAGGGCAAATGCAATTTAGCTGAGCTGCGGTGAACAAGAGCTGCTTCCTTCCCCTCGTTTCAGCCCCTCCCTCGTCCTCCCCTGGAGAGAAGCTGTGTTAGCAGATGACTAAAGCTGGGAAGAGAGCAGGTGTGGAAGGAAACATAAATTACCATTATCCCTGACAATTCTGGACAGTGCCACCCACGGAGCAGCAGCTCAGCCAGACATTTCCCCCTGATTTCAGGAAAGACCAGTAAGTTGTGGGCTTCTGCTAAGTGCATTAGTGTAGAACAAGGTTTCAGCTTGGGCTCCATATTTAATCTTTATTTCTTTATGATGCCCTGCTATAGTTGTGCCTCTTCTGAAAAATCCAAGATACAGAAAGGGGAGGTACTGCTAACACGGAGCGAGTACAGTTCTTGGAGCCAAGACACCTGAGTTCTTGGAGTCAAGATAATCTGCCACTTACCTGGTGTCTGAGGCGGGGCCATTGCTTATTCTATCTAAGCTTCAGTTTTCTCACTTATAAATTAGGGATTTTAAAGCACCCTTTCTCCTCTCTCACATTTAACATCTCTGAAATCAGGCTACCCTGATGATGGTTGCATTTTAGCATGTGTCAAAAGTTTAATTGACTTCACTTTTTTAAACAGTGTTCCATTAAATAATATTGGGTCTCTGAATTGGCATTTTAGACTTGATGAAATAAGGTCCTGTGCAGGCTGGTTGTAGAGATTTAAAGAAGAAATATATGTTATCTATGTGACTCTCTATGCTATTGTCAGACCCCCTAGGATATGAATTCTAATCCAGGCTCCCTTGTGTCACCTAGACAAGTTATTCAAAATTGATCCCCTCACCTAGAAAATGAAACAACCTCCAAACTCTCCATAAGAATTAGCCTAAAGCAGTCTAGGGCCAAGGAACTAAACAAAGCTTAGGGGTCAATAGTATCCGCACCATCTCTATCCTCGTCTACACATATTTGTGGATGCAAAGATTCCCAGGAGTTACAAAGGTCAAAGTTAGAAAAGTTACAACTATTCCTGGGAGTTACAAAGCCTGGTCACAGGTGAGGTTTAGGGTTTATGGGTGTGAGCGGCATACATGTTTAGTTTATGTGTGTTGCTATAACAAAATGCTACAGGCTGGGTAATTTATAAGCCAGAGAAATTCATCTCTCATAGTTTTGGAGGCTGGGAAGTCCAAGATGAAGGTACTGGCAGATTCTATGTCTGGTGAGGGCTGGGTTGCTCTGCTTCCAAGATGGTGTCTTTTCACTGTTACCTCATGTGGTGGAAGGGACAGAAAAGGGTGAGTCCACTTCCTCAAGACCTTTTATTTTATTTTATTTTATTTTATTTTTTGAGATGGAGTCTCACTCTGTTGTTCAGGCTGGAGTGCAGTGGTGTGATCTCAGCTCACTGCAACCTCCACCTCCCGGGTTCAAGTGATCTCCTGTCTCAGCCTCCCAAGTAGCTGGGATAACAGGTGTGCGCCACCACGCCCGGCTAATTTTTGTATTTTTAGTCGAGACAGGGTTTCACCATGTTGGCCAGGCTGGTCTCAAACTCCTGACCTCAAGTGATCAGCCTGCCTCGGCATCCCAAAGTGCTGGGATTACAGGCGTTAGCCACCACCACGCCTGGCCCCTTTTATTTTATTTTTAAGAGACAGGGTCTTGCTGTGCTGTCCAGGCTGGAGTGTAGTGGTGCAATAATAACTCACTCCAGCCTTGAACTCCTGGTTTGAGCCATCCTTCTGCCTCGGCCTTCCAGGTAGCTGAGACCACAGGTATGTGTCGCCATGCCTGGCTAATTTATTTTATTTTGTAGAGACAGAGGCTCTCACTATGTAGCCTAGGCTGGTCTGGAACTCCTAGGCTTAAGTGATACTCTCACCTCAGCCTCTCGAGTAGCTGAGATTATAGGTTTGAGCCACTGCACCCAGCATAAAGTTCTTTTGTAAGAGTCCCCACCTTCATGACTTAATCACCTCCTAAAGGCCATACCTCTCTATCAAATTGGTAATTAGGTTTCGACATATGATTTTTGGGGGAAACATTCAGACCATTGCATATGGCACAGTAAATTAATGTAAGGTGGAGTAGGATACATGTAATAATTGAGGTGTAAAAAGGCATTGCTTGTGAATAGAAGAGGTAATTTCAGCAGACAGGTTCAGGAAATATAACACTGGTTTTGAGTCTTGAATTATGTCTAGAGTTCCAAAAAACGCAGGAATAAGGGAAATGAACAATGAAGCACATTTGAAAAGAGTAGGTTGTGCTCGAGAGGTGACAAATTATCTACTTTGACTCTAGAGCATTTGGGGGCTAGGAGTGTTTGAAGGGGTTGGAGTGTTTTGGGGCAGAGAAAAAGCTATGATGGGAACTAGGTAACTGACATCACTGTCTGCCTGCTTGCTCAAGCCACGCACCTTGAAGTAATCTCTGAAGTCTTTCATTCTTCTTTTTCCTTTTCCTCCCACAAGTGATCCTAGAGTAGATTCTGTAAAATCCTACCCCTCTTGCATATCATACCTCGGTTCAACTCTTTCCATCTCTCTTGCTGTCACTCTGGTCCAGGCCACCTCCACATCTCACTTGAAATCTGCAGGGGCTTCCAACTGAGTTCCTTGCCTCGTCCCTTGCCCCCAGCTCAATCTCTTCTTCTTAGGGTAGCCAAACTGACCCATCTAGGCTGAATATCACATTAGTTTGCTTCCTTACTTTTCTTTTTTCTGGTTGTAAACACTTCCAACAAGGCAGAAATGAGTAAGGGGAAAGTGGAACTTGCTGTGGACACGGCCACAGGACCACGCTTTTGTTCCTGTTGGGATGCCTGGGTCGGTTTCACAGGTCGCCTCTCAGTCCTGCAGGCTGAACCCGTCTGTCTGGGTGCCCCGCGCTGCCTGCCTCCTGGGCACTCTGGGGCGACGTGGACGGATGCGCCCTTGTCTAAGCTTCGGTGTGTGCGGTGAGGGGTCTGCACCAAAAATGCTCCATCAATGAGGGAGAGTCCTCCCCGGGAGGGGCTTCCGTGCCTCCCATTCTGGGCACTTCGAGATTTTCAGCAGGAAGTGCTGTCCTTGAGTCATTCTGTTTTGTCCCGAGGCTGCTGCGAGGAGGTGGACAGGTGAGCACATGCTGAAGAGTGGGGACATGTGCGACGGTTTCAGTCCAGGCACAGCCGCAGGTCCTGGCTGCCCCACTTTCCCTGGCCCGAGAAGAGCAGCCCCCAGCAGGCTGCCGGCACAGTCCCGGCTCACTCACGGCCTAGAGAGCATTGCAGGGCCCCAGCAGGCTGCCGGCACAGTCCCGGCTCACTCACGGCCTAGAGAGCATTGCAGGGCCCCAGCATCCCGCCTTAATTTTCACCTTTGTTCCCTCCTTCTTTCCAGCTTTGGAGTCCTTGTTAAGAGGGACTCGAACCCCAAGGTTATAAACACGACACTTGCATTCCCTTCCAATCCTTCCTGGTTTTCTTTTTTACACACAAAATTTACAACCTTTACTTTTTCCAACTGGAAAACCAGTTTTTCCAACATTTTTTAAAAAACAAATTATCCTTTTATCATATGCTGAAAGCCCTACCCATAACAAGCCCATTTCTGCGTTTGACTCGGTTCACTGACCATTTACTTCCTAAACAGACCCTTTTGGTAACTTTCAGTGAAGAGATGGCTTTAATAAATATATTCTCCAGAAAGCTCCAGAACCTTTGCATGGGTCAGGGTGAGAGGTGCCGCCACGATGTAAACAGAACAGAGCAGCTGAGCCCTCCAGGTGGGCTCCAGGTGCGATCTGCACAGACCGCGCGTGTGGGAGGCATGGAGTCAGAGGTGCATCCTCAAAATGCATCCCCCCGTCTCCTGCAGGGCGCTCAGGCCCCAGGGCCCCGTGGACAGAGCTGGTCCCAGCGTACGCACGCCACTTCCTGGGCTTGGCCGGTGGTACGCCAGAGGCTGCCCATAGCAGGAAACCCCCGCAGAGGCCAGGGCCTCTTGTTCCACTTGGCAGAGACCCCAGAGAGAGCCAGGGGGCAGCATCAGAGCCTGGGGCCCTGGCAGGGGTGCCCAAGGGCACGGCAGCTGCAGGTATTGACAAGGCCAGAAGACGGTGAGTGGAAAGCAGGGGGCGCGTGGAGAGACACAGAGAAGGGGCTGTTCAGCTGGGAGTCCTGCGTTTGTCGTTTCTGTTTCATCTGGCGTTTTTGAAACCAGGTTTTTGTCTAGACGTCCGAGAGCTGCATCTCCCTGCCAGCCTTTTCCGTTCCAGAGGGCCCAGGTCCTGGTGGTGCTGGAAGACGCCCTCCAAGGCGCGGACCTGCTCGGTGGTGAAGGCTGTGCCTACACAGGGGGCCTGCCAGGGGTTTGGCTTCTTACCCAACCCAGCCACGGCCCTCTCCGGCGCAGGCAGATTTGAGGACCGAGCCTTCTTGATGCTGACGGCCTGAGGGGGCTCCCGGGTGCCGGATGTCTGGCCCGGGCCAGGGTGGCTCCCCGGGGAGACGTCGGCAGGCCTGGGGGTGTGGGTCGGCCCTGAGCAGCTGTTCTGGGAGAGCCAGTCCACGGAGCCAAAGCTGGAGGGCTGCTGCCGGCCACGAGGTGGGGAGGAGGACGGACGCATGGCGGTCAGGTGGGCCAGAGGGAAGGCCGGGCAGGGCTGGCCAGGCGCAGGATCCACCACCTGCTTCCTTCTTAAAACCTGCTAATGGTTTCTCATCAGACATGGGGTTAAAAATCCATGGGCCTGTAAGCCCTACGTGGTCCAGGCTCTCCAACCTTGTCTCACACCATTCTCTCCATTGTTCCTGACGCTCTACCCACCCTGGTCTTCATAGTTCCATCGGGCCTTTGCCTTGGCTGGTTCCTTTGCTTGACGTAGTCATCCCCTAGAGGGTCATGTGGCTTGCTCCTAGTTATTCAGGTCTCCGTTTAAATGTCTCTTACTCAGATGCTCCTAATCACCCATTGTAGAGTGGTCCCCCGCCCCTGCCATTCTCTAGCGCTGCTTTATTTTCTTCATAGCACTTGTCACCATTTGAAATTTTTTGTTTGCTTGCTTAATTTGTCTGCTTAATATTCTACTAAGAAATTAGGAATCTTGACTAATTTCTGGTTTCTTGATTTTCCCAGTATCTCCCATGCTTGGCATTTAATTGATATTTACTGAATAAAAAGGCAAAGCTGGAGCGGGAGGCTGAGGCTAAGTTTTGGAATGCTTGGGTGCATTGCTAAGGAGCCTGGACTTCACTCGATAGTTAAGAGGAGGGGCATTAGAACTCTTTGAGCAGAGGATTAATGCAATTAGAATTAAGCTTTACGAGTACTGACCCAGAAGTGGGATGCAAGATGAATTGGAGAGGGAAGAGAGTAGGAATAAGAGATCTCTTAGAAGCCAAACTTCATACACTAGATGACTTGACTCTTTCCAAAATATTTGATGATTTTCTGGCTTCTTTGCCGTCGTGCATAAGAAACAGTGTGTGGATGCTGCTGTAATAACCCTGGACATAAAATCAGTAGAGCATTATTCCTTTTTTTTTTTTTTTTTTTTTGAGATGGAGTCCCTCTCTTTTGCCCAGGCTGGAGTGTAGTGGCGTGATCTCGGCTCACTGCAGCCTCAAACTTCTGGGTTCAAGCAATCCTCCTGCCTCAGCCTCCTGAGTTGCTGAGACTACGGGCGTGCACTAATTTTTTAACATTTTTTTTTGTAGAGATGGAGTCTCACTCTGTTCCCCAGGCTGGTTTCGAACTCCTGAGCTTAAGGGATCCTCCTGCCTCAGTTTCCCAAAGTACTGGGATTACAGGTGTGAGCCACAGCACCACCTGGCACATTTGCCACTTTCAAATGTCCTTATTTGTGCATAGATTCGTTCTTTCCTTCCTTCCCCTCATCTCTGGACTGTCTTGTTCATCGAGGATGAGACCATGTCTTGTTCTCTCGATCCCAGAGTCTGGCACTGAGTAAGGTTCTCAACAAGTGTTTAAGACGTGTTTGTGGGATACATAGATATGGCAAGTAAATCCTTTTAAGTGTTTTCAGAAGGCTGTATCCTGAGTCATTTCAAATTGGCCCATAGGCAAGTACTTGTGTTGTGCAAAGCAAGGAATGGTACCTTTAATGAACTGGGAGGCTGAGGTAGAGATAAGGGCATAATGAGGAAAAAGATGGTAATTCTATTCTTTATTTTGGTTTCTTCTCCAGACTTTGATTTATTGTTACGGAGTTTTTCAGGTCATAAACACAGAAGACACATTGAGATCATTTTTGGGAGAACTGAGAATGTATCTGTGGCCATAATTCAGTGTGTTTTATTTTGGGAAATGAGAAGTCATGTTTTCATTTCATTTGTTGTTGCTAAGCTCTGAAGATTGCCAATTAGCCCTTGCCCTTGCTGGATGCCTTGGTAAATTTTTAAAATTTGTGGTCCTTGAAAAAACAAAGCAAACAGCCCTATTATTTTTCTGCACTTTTGTATCTTTATTGTATCACTTATTATAGTCTGCTTTATATTATGGTTATTTGTTGGTGTGGCTTTCTTCTCAGCTAGATTGGGAAGCCTTTAAGGCAGGAACTATGTTCATTAATCTCTTAGCATGGTGCCAGGTACATAGAAGGAGCTTAATTGATGCAAGCTGTATGGAATTTTTTGTAATTGTACATTAAGACATAGAGAAGAGGCTGTTTTTCTTTTTCTCAGTCCCCTTGGGAACTAGATGTCAATGCCACATTTTCTGTATTTCTGTTTGATCTGCAATCATTTATACATTGTCTTCAGGTATTTCATAAGGATTGTATTTATCTATATCAACGTCTATATCTGTCAGAGGCATTTGAACCAAAGTGACTCCATCTTGAATAGGGGCTGGATAAAATGAGGCTGAGACCTACTGGGCTGCACTCCCAGGAGGTTAGGCATTCCTGGCCACAGGAGGAGATAGGAGGCTGGGACAAGATACCGGTCACAAAGGCCTTGCTGATAAACAAGGATGCAGTACAGAAGCCGGCCAAAACTAAGATGGCGATGAAAGTGACTTCTGGTCATCCTCACTGCTCATTATGCACTAATTATAATACATTAATATGCTAAAAGACGCTCCTAATGTCCCAAAGACAGTCTACAAATGTCATGGCAATGTCCAGAAGTACCCTATATAGTCTGACATGGGGAAGAACCCTCAGTTCTGGGAAATCGCTTTTGGGAAATCCCTGCTCCACCCCTTGTTTAGCATATAATCAAGAAATAACTGTAAGTATACTCAGTTGAGTGGCCCTGTCACTTCTGCCTATGGAGTAGCCATTCTTTTATTCCTTTACTTTCTTAATAAACTTGCCTTCACTCTATGGACTCACCCCAAATTCTTTCTTGTGTGAAGTCCAAGAACCTTCTCTTGGGGTTTGGATTGGGACTTCTTTCTGGTAACATATCTGTGTCTATGTCTGCATGCCCATCTATCATCTGTCTGCCTGCGTATGTATGTATGTATGTATGTATGTATGTATGTATGTATCTATCATCTATCTATCTATCTATCTATCTATCTATCTATCTATCTATCTATCTCAAGAATACAGCTGTCTTTCCTGCAATAGACTGCTTGCTCTTCAGGAACTGGGTAGTATCCATGGGATAAAGATTGCTCCTTTGAAATTGTCCATTGGTGTCTTTCTGAGATTTTTGCATCATTTTTCAGCTTCGGGGATATAGAGCAGGAAGTATTTCCTGAATCATTGCTAATGAAGACCTCTGTGGAGTTTTCCTAAGTTGGGGGACTCTGTTAAGAGTAGAGGGAAGAACCAGAGCTTAATGTGATTCCTCCTTAAAGAGTAGGCGCCTGCAGAGGCTATTTGGGCTATCTGTGGCCTTGGGCTGATATTGAGTTGTATGGATATATTTAGCCCTTGCGTGGACACTCAGAACCTTCAAGAGTTGTTGGTTTTGAATCTTGAGAGTGCCTTGGAAATCCCTAATGAGACAGCTGGAACCACGATCACTGGCAAACTTATCCCTAAAGGTCTGATCATTTACCCTTAGTCAGGGTTTGGTCAGGTGGTCCCCTTTCTGTTCTCCTTAACTCAAGAGGAAAGGAGAAAACTGGGACTGGAAAAGCCCCTTTCCACACAGCAGCTTAGCAGGCCCTGTGGAAGTGTAGGAAGATGCCAGTGGCAGAAGGTTCACTTGGCTGCCTGACTATGGTCATGCTAGAAATTAGGATTCCAATGATTCCTCCAGATAGGCATCCAAGTTACTTTATTCTACAAGACCCAGTTCCTTTTGGGATTTGATTTCAAATGTATGTCTCATAGAGCTAATTAAAAAATCATAGTGTTGATGTTATGGATGGAACCCAGGGGGAGAGAAAGCTGGAGCCTCAGGAAAGGCATCAGAGTGACGCCAGGAGGTAGACATTGCACTCAAAAGATGCACAAAGGTGGCCGCAGCAGTTAACAGCAACTGCTGTGAGTCAGCCCCAAGTCAGGGATCTTCTAATGACAGCTCAGAAAGGAAGTTGCAAGCAGCGGTCCACTGGGTGGCTGATAGTTATTGATATCCAGAGGAAGCCATGGCACTGGATATAATTGGCTGCAGAATGGGGGCACATTATACGAAATGGTACCTTTAAGAATTAACAAGTTTCTGTTCCTCTAGAGAGAAATCGATATAAAAGATTTTTAAATAAATGGTCATGTCAATGATGGAGAAAATGATTTCTGTCAAATGAATTAAATTGATTGGGGAGATGCAAGAGAGATTTCTTCACTCTGGGATGAGTGGGCAGAACATTTACAAGCCATGCCACTGTATGGTTTCTTGGTTTCTGGGTTGTTTTCTAATATAGATCACTAAGGAAATGATATTAGTTCTGAAGTGCTCTACTACAGAGATGAAAACCACCAATTTTTTATTATTGCCAAAGGGAGCCTCCTCTAGAAGTGACCTAGAGCATGTTATAAGTAGCTCTTCCTTGTCTGGCTGGGCTAGTGCAGGTACAGTTCTGCATGGAGGCAGCTGAATGACTGTGTCAACCTATGGCTGCACTCCCTGAAAGAGATTGAAGTGCCCCCAGGACAGACTAAAAGTCAGCCATGGGTCACTGCCCAGGGAGATTGGTTACAGTACCATGGTTGTGGGTTTAGGTGGTGGACATATAAATTATAGAACATAATTTATAGAAATATATAATCCTATGTAATTATAGAATTATAAATATATTATTTATTTTATCTATCACACTTCATACCTACTTCATTAACTATGAATTAAATTAGTTCTCCAGATTAATTATAAATATACTACATTATATATAGTATATTTGTATATTTATAGTATACTATATATATCTTTTATGTATATATAGTATATTTGTACAGTAATAAGGTCTGTACAGGCCAAGTGTGGCTTGGTGCCTGTTTCTGTAAGAAAAGTTTTATTAGAACACAGACACGCTCATTGCATTGTCTGTGACTGTTGTCCTGCTCTGATGGTAGAGTTGAGAAGTTGTGACAAGACCACAGAGCTCTCAAAGTCAAACATGTTAACTCTCTGGCCCATTGCAGACATGGGCTATTTTTGATCTAGTCTAGTCCTCTGATTTCACCCATGAGGAAACCATCCTGGGAGGTAGGATGACCTTGCCCTGGATCACACGGCTGGACCTGGAAGAGTCAGAACTGAAATCACCTCCTCAGCTTCCCTGTGTGTGTTCACACCCTGTACCAACTGTACTGCCCACCCAGCTTCTCCAATTGTCACCCATTTATGGCAAGAGGAAAGAGATCCAATGAAGAGTAAGTTTTTTGTTTTTTTTTTTTAGAGACGGAGTCTTCCTCTGTTGCCCAGGTTGGAGTGCAATGGCGTGACCTTGGCTCACTGCAACCTCCGTCTCCCAGGTTCAAGCGAGTCTCCTGCCTCAGCCTCCTGAGTAGCTGGGATTACAGGCACGTGCCACCACACCTGGCTAATGTTTATATTTTTAGTAGAGACGGGGTTTCACCTTGTTGGTTAGGCTGGTCTCAAACTCCTGACCTCGTGATCCGCCCGCCTGGGCCTCCCAAAGTGCTGGGATTACAGGCGTGAGCTACTGCGCCCAGCCAAGAGTAAGTTTTAAGAAAGGAATGAGAGGGAAAGGTCTGGCACATGGGAGACTTTCGGGTGTCACACTGGGGGAATTTGGGTAGGATCCACAGCAAGAGGGGTTCATCAGTAGGAGTGCCAGTGTTTCCCACTTGGCATTTTTCTTTTTGTTGCAGTGGGCTCAGGCCCCTGTTGTAGAGCATGTACACAGGCTCTGGCTGTGTCTTTCCAAGTGTCTATCATCAATCCTTAAGACAAACATATGGGGTAGGGAGTGTTTTTATTCCTACTTTAAAGATGATTAGACTAAGGCCAGAGATGTTAAGTAACATGTCATTGATCCCAAAGCTGGAATGTGGTAGAACTGGGGTTTGAACTCACGTAGATAGGCTCTAGAGCCAGCCTCATTGAAATCACACTTCATGTACCATCTTCTTGCTGCTTTTCTGATGCTGGGCCTGTCATTGTGGGAGAAGCACTTTTCTTCTTCTTCTTTTTGAAAGAAAGCAGAATTTACATTTATGTTGACCGTATGTTCATTATCCGTGACTCAGTACAGAGAACCTTTCTGTGCCTTCTTATAGGATGAGGTTGCTTATCCTTCAGACACTACAGAAGGAAGAAGCACAGCTAAATACATTAACAACACTTACCTCCTGGCTTCAAGGCCCTTCATATAATTTACCTGGAGAGACCAGGGTGCTCAAAGACATAGAAGGAATAAGATTACGTCTATCAGATACTATGCTTATTATCTGGGTGACAGAATTATCATGCACCAAACCCCCACAACATGTAGTTTACCTATATAACCAACCTGAACATGTACCCCTGAAACTAAAATAAAAGCAAAAAAAATTATTAGATTCTAGGGAAGAAAATTCTATAGCTGGATCCAAATTATACCTTGATAATAATAAATAAATGTGATTAGAAATAAGAGTATTTTTAACATAAGAATTTAGAATTTTTAAAAATCTGTTTTTTGATTAATTATTATAGATTCACAGAAAATTGCAAAAAAAGAAAAAAAAGAAAGAAAGGAAAAAAATGTACAAGGAAGACCCATTTTCTCTAATGGTACCATCTTGCACAGCTACAGTACAATATCAAAACCAGAAAGTTGACATTGATAAAATCCACAGAGCTTGTTCAAATGTCATTACTTTTACATACACTCATTTGTGTGTATACCTGTGTGTATAGTTCTGTGCAATTTTAGCACATAGATTTGTGTAACCACCACCCATCACAATCAAGATATGGATTGTTCTATTATCACAAGACACCCTTATGCTACTGCTTTATCATCGCACGTATGCCTACTTCCAATCCTCACTCCAGCAATCAGTCATCTGCTTTCTCTGTCTATAATATTGTCATTTTAAGAATGTTATGCACTCATGCTTGTAATCCCATTACTTTGGGAGGCTGAGGTAGGAGGATCACTTGAGCCCAGGAGTTTGAGACCAGCTTGGGCAACATAGTGAGACCTTTTCTCTACAAAAAATAAAAAAAATTAGCCCAGTGTGGTGGTTCATGCCTGTAGTCCCAGCTGTTTAGGAGGCTGAGGTGGGAGGATGACTTGAGCCCAGGAGGTGGAGGCTGCAGTGAGTCAAGATCGTGCCACCTCACTTCAGCCTGGGCCACAGAGTGAGACCTTGTCTCAACAAAAACAACAACAACAACAACAGCAACAGCAAAAACAACAACAACCAAGAATGCTATGCAAATTTAATGGTAGAGTATTTAACCTTTTGAGATTGACAGTTTTTTCACTCAGCCTAATGCCCTTGAGATGCATCCAAGTTGTTGCATGTGTCAATAGTTCATTCCTTTTCAGTGCTGCATAATATTGCATGATGGAGGTTTCTCACTGTGTAACCATTTGCCTGTTGAAGGACATTTTGGTTGTTTCCAGTTTCTGGCTATTACAAATAAAGCTGCTATAAACAGATTGTGTGTGTGTGACCAAGTTTTCATTTCTCTGGGATAAATGTCTAGGAGTGCAATGTTGTGTCATACAGTAAGTACATGTTTAGTTGTAGAAAAAGCTGTCAAACTATTTTCCAGAGGGGCCATACCATTTTACGTTCCCACTAGGCATACATGAGTGATCCAGTTTCTCTGCAGCTTTGTCAGCATTGGGGATTTTCCCTGTTTCTCACTTTAGCGATTCGGATAGGTATGTAGTGATTGATCATTGTGGTTTTAATTTGCATTTCCCTCATGGCTAATGTTGTTGAATGTGTTTTCATGTGCTCATCTGCCATCTGTATATCCTCTTCAGTGAAATGTGTATTCATGTATTTTACCATTTTATAATTAGATTTTGTTTTTTTAATTGTTGAGTTTTGAGAATTCTTTATATATTTTAGGTACGAGCTCTTCGTTGACTATGTCATTTGCAAATATTTTCTCCCATCCTGCAGCTTGATTCGTCATTCTCTCCATAGCTGTTTTGTTTTTTTTTTTCAGAGTAAAAGTTTTTTTTATTTTAATGAGGTTCAATTTGTCAATTTTTCCTTTTATGGATTGTGCTTTTGGTATCAAAGTGAAGTGATCTTTTGAAACAGGGTGGACAGTGGCTGGGATTAGTGTTACCAAAAGAGCTTGTGGATCTACTACAAACACTAAAAGGCCAAGTGACCCTTTCATTCTCTCTGCATGAAGTGTGGTCTGATGCCTTGTTTTAGCATCAGGCTACTGGGGGAGTGCAAGTTAAGCCCTTGATATGCCATTAGTATCTGGGAAAGAGACAGAGGCGGGATGTCAGTTATGGGGACACAGAATAAAATCCTTAAGAATCAAGAGCTATCTCTGAGAATTAATGGACTGCTTTCCTCCAGCTTATTCAAATAATCAGCTCATTTCATGTGAGATAAATTACAGGACCTTGTCACCCTGGCTCCCAGAGGAGGACACTTCTGTGATTCACAGTGCTCACCCCCGGGGAGCCTGAGGTGGGGGCACAGAGGCCTGTCTAGCTGATTGATGACTTGTGGCCTGCTGTTCAACCTCCCTGCAAGGAGCAGGGCAAGGGAGGGATTCACATGAAGCCACTGCCCACAGGACAGGCCTGGACCATGCCATGGAGAGGGAGCAATCTTAACAACCGCAGTCAGGTTCAACCTTGAAGCACCATTTGGCATTCTCCGGAGCCCTACAGGATGCAAGCAGAGCCAGCATCCACTTTGTTGCGTGTAGCCTTTGTTATTGTTGGTGGTTGTGCTGGTTGGTGCTGTTGTGTATATGTTGAGGCTGTAGGGGGTTGTATTGCAAGGGAGAAGCAAATTCTGGATGTAGGAGAAATAGTGCAGTGTGCCAGAAATGGAGCCTAGGGCATGATCTTATGGTGATGGGAAGTTCTGCAAGGAAGCATGGACATCTGGTCTTTCGAACTATGGAGCTCAATGGGAATTAACCATAAAGCAACTTAAAAAACCCTACTGCCCCTTATTTATTTATTTATTTATTTTTACTTGTGGTATAATTACATTGGTATAAAGTTCAAGAACAGACAGAACTTGTCCATGGTAGAAATCAGAAAAGAGAGAAGTAGAAATTGACTGAGGAAGGTCACAAGGGAACTTCTTGGAGTACTGGAAACATGCTATATTTTTATTTGGTTGGGGTTATACCAAGTGAATTAGATGGATAGATAATTGATGATGATGATGAAGATAGATAGATAGAAAATAGGTAGATAGATGCTAGGTGGATAGAGATTGATAGATAATAGAAAGATAGGTGATAAATAATAGGTAATAGATCATAGATAGATGATCATGATGATAGATAGATGTAGAGATATATATCACTGAGTTGTACACTTAACATCTGTACGTTTTACTTTATGTAAATGTTACCGCTCATTTTAAAAAATAAGTTTTAAAAAAAGGAAACAACCTTCACTGGAGTTTGAGGAAAGGGGTCCCCATTTGCCAAGTTCCCCACACGGCCTCTGCCCCATCCCCTATTCCCTAATCAGAAGTTCTTTCTTCCTAGGCTCCAGGGCTTCTCCCAGCTACATCTTCACGGCTGAGTACACACAGGGTTCAGAGGCTTCTTGGAAGCCTCTTGCTGGCTGGACAGGCCTTCACTTAGGGCTTGAGTGTTCAGGTCGGCATATGTCACCCTGTGGGCTTCTTCAGCTCTGGAGGCCTGGGATCCTTCATCCAAGGCAGGCCAGCAACTCTTCCAGCTGGTGGCACATCTGTTACTGCCTCTTTGGGTTCTTTGGAAGAATGGGAGCTTTTGGTTACCTTGTCAGGAGCTGCTCCACTCTGGGTGTTTGTAGATGAGAAAGATGGAGAGGAAGAAGATTAAGATGATTATGACAGTGATGATACTCCCAGCTCCCAGGGGTTCCTCGTCCCTGTTTTTCTGTCTGAGGAGGCTTGTTTCCTTCAGATTTATTGGTTTGTGGAAGCAAAATATACTGAGTTTTAGTTCCACTTACTCTGCCATCTTCTCCTTAGCCATGCAGATACTTTGTAATTGCCACTGCACAGAAGATTCAGGACAGAGCAGTTTTGTTTTATTTATTTATTTTTCTTTCCTTCCTTTTTTTTTTTTTTTTTTGAGACAGACTCTGGCTCTGTCTCCCAGGCTGGAGTGCAGTGGCGCAATCCTGGCTTACTGCAACCTCTGTCTCCCAGGTTCAAGCAATTCTCCTGCCTCAGCCTCCCGAGCAGCTGGGACTACAGGCATGTGCCACCATGCCCGGCTAATTTTTTTGTATTTTTGGTAGAGATGGGGTTTCACCATGTTGGTTAGGCTGGTCTCGAACACCTGACCTCAAATGATCTGCCCGCCTTGGCCTCCCAAAGTGCTGGGATTACAGGCATGAGCCACCGCGCCTGGCTTTTTTCTTTTCCCTCCCTCACTCCCTTCCTCCCTTCCTTCAGCGTCTTGCTCTGTCGCCCAGGCTGGAATGCAGTGGCATAATCGTAGCCCACTGCAGCTTCAACCTCCTGGGCTCAAGTAATCCTCCTGGCTCAGCCTTCCTTGTAGTTGGGACCACAGGGTCATGCCACCATGCCCAGCTAATTTCTTAATTTTTTTTTGTAGAGACGAGGTCTCACCATGCTGCCCAGGCCAGCCTTGAATTCCTGGGTTCAAGCGATCCTCTTGCCTTGTCCTTCCAAAGTGCTGGGATTACAGGCATGAGCCATTGCACCTGGCTGAGTGTTGTTTTCTTTAATAGATGAGCAAACTGAAGCTCAAATAGGATACATGATTTGCTCAAGGTCACACAGCTGGTGAGTAGCAGAGCTGGGAGTTGGGGTCACCATCAGGCTTCGTTAAACTCTGCTGGTGGGATTCACCACATCACTCTCATTGCCTTCACCATCCACAACTCCTACTGCCCCTTTAAACCTATTTACTGCATCTAGTTTTCCTGCTGCTGAATAAAATATCAGGCATTCTTCTGAATTTTCTGGTGGTTCTTATGTAGTATGAAATCTAACAATTACCTTTTAAATGATAAACACAGCCTAGATTCAGAAAATAGAAGGTCGACTGCCTTATAATAACCAGTATGCCAATTCTAACTCACAGTGGAGACTTCTCCCACCTTCTCCAGCCGTAGCTAGGTGCCGGGAGGCCTAGAGCAAAGAAGGAGGGTGTGGTTGGCTCCTCCTGTATTTCCTGCTCTGACTAGCTGTTATTTCTGACCCTTCCAGGTTGGAGATCAGAGGCCAGATGGAGGGATGAGAGGAACAGAATGTTACTTAACAGACACTGTTGGAAGCTGGCTTCAAGCTCTCTAAGCTTGGCAGATGTTAAAAAGAGAATCTTTCTCTCTCATGATATTCCAGTTGGTTCTTTGGAGATGCCTTACCTCCCCATTGCTAGAGATCTTGCACTAGCTGCTCCCCTGTTGCAGCTAGTGGCATCTGTATTGCAGCTGGTCACTTTTTGCTGAGCCCTCAGGAATTTGGCAATACCTTCAGTGCAGTAGTTCTCAATGATTTTGTCTCTTACAACTGGGAAGTGGAATTGGCATCTAGTAGGTAGAAACCAGGGATACTACTAAATATCTTACAATGCACAGGGCAGCCCCCCACAAAAAAGAATGATCTACCTCAAAATGTCAGTGGTGCCAAGGTTGAGCAAACCAGCTCTAGTGCATGGAAGACTCTCATGCATCTTTTGCCTGAGCAAATTCTTGGCTTGCAGGTGGGTATCATTGTAGCCTATCTCCTTTGGCTTACCCGTCAATAGCTAGCCAGTACGTCTCTTGTCCATATCCCTTAAACTGCACTTCTCTGGGTGGTCCTGCTGAAGTCCCCCTTCCTTGGCTTGGGGGTTAGGCACACTGTACAACTCTCTTCAGAGAGACACATATGCCCATAAATATCTTCTCTTCCTCTAGTTTTATTCCCATGAGGTGGGTGACAGGCTTAGGTTTCTAACTAATTATTGTAAAATTTACCTGCTGCTTATTGCTACAATAATTCTATGTAACACAAAAGTGCAAAACCTCTATGGTATACAACAAGATGTGTATTTATTGCTTGTGTATTTGACTAAGATGATTGACCAAGGTTCTGCTGATCTGAGCTGGCTCATGTGTCTGGGGGCCAACCAGCTGTTTCCTGATCTACTAGGTAGGTGCAAAAGTAATTGCAGTTTTTGTCGTTAATGGCAAAAACTGCAAATACTTTCACACCTACCTAATAGAATGGTCTTGGCTGGGGTGATTGCTCTACGTGTTTTCCATCCTCCAGAAGGCTTGCTTGGTTGTGTTCTCATGGCAATGACAAACGAGCAAAGGTATAATATTAGCAAGGATCAAGAATATGACAGAGGTTAGGCATGGAGGCTCATGTAGGTATTCCTAGCACTTTGGGAGGCTGAGGCTGAAGGAATGCATGAGACCAGGAGTTTAAGACTGGCCTGGGCAACATATTGAGACCCCATCTCTAAAAAAAAACATTTTAAAAAAGAGTATGACAGAGAGGATCTAGTGATAACAGGAAGGTTATCATGTTAACGTATGATAAACACATGTTTATCTTATACATTGTAGTACACATAGTTGGCATACAACACATGTATTGTCTTTATTACAAACAACAAAGAAAATAAATGAATGAATGAGTGGGTGAATAAATGGGATGGGGAACAGCTTGAAAGACAGCATCTAGGGAGGGAAAAACCTACTGGGGCAGGTGGTAAGTGGCTCTAGCCTGACCTGCTTTCATTCACAGCCCCTAAGAAAACATGTTGTAAGTCCACACCCAATCTCACACCTTAAAAGCATAAGCCTTCATGGAGATCAAAGGTAGGATTTCTTCTAGAAAAGACAAGAAACTCTTGAGGTACAGTACAGGAAGTGTTAGGAGCCTTGTTCTTCTTGAATTCATATAGGCACCAAAGCTGAAAAATTTAGCAAGACATGCTGGACTTTTTCTCTCTTCTATCTTTCCTTTCTTCCTTTCTTTATTGTATAATGACCCTTATTAGAACTTACTCTGTGTAAGGCACTGACATAAATGTCTTACAAGCTTTATTTTCTCACAACAACTCAGAGAGGCATTATAATTATTATTTTACTATTGAGGAAACTGAGGCTTAGAGAGAGGTTAAATGACTTGTCTAGTATCATGGAGCTGGTAACTAGCAAAATAAAGTTGAATTGAGGCCTGTCTGGCTTTTTTTTTTTTTGAGACAGAGTCTCACTCCGTAGCCCAGGCTAGAGTATGATGACGCGATCTCGGCTCACTTCAACCTCTGCCTCCCAGGCTCAAGCGATTCTTGTGCCTCAGCCTCCTGAATAGCTGGGATTACAGTTGTGCACCACCACGCCCAGCTAGTTTTTGTATTTTTAGTAGAGACAGGGTTTCTCCATATTGGCCAGGCTAGTCTCGAACTCCTGACCTCAGGTGATCCACCTGCCTTGGCCTCCTAGGCTGTCTGGCTTTTAATTACCACACTGTTCTACCTCAGACCTCAAGTTTTGGTTTGCTTTTTTAGCAAGAAAAATCTCAAACCAGTTTGTTCTTATCTCCTTCCTTGTTTTTTTTTGTAGCAGAAATTGGTTGATTCATTTAAAGCACTGAGAGAGTTTTACCACTGAAAACATCAGCCCTTCACCCCTTACCTGTAACACCCAGAGATGTGTTTTCTTTGCCCCCTTTGGGCCACTTAATTACATTCTCTCTTCTTTAGGAGGAAAGCTGACATGTAATTATTTTCATGATTAACACTCTTGTGCAGCTAATTGTAATTATGCCTTATAATCACAGTTATGATCGTCAATTGCTCATTCCTGCCTCATTTGAATGTTTTTCTTTATTCCTGCTTCAAAAAGTTGATGGAACTTCTTGTATGCACTCTGTCTCTCTTCTAAGTCATGTGTGGTCATTATTTTGGTCTTCTCTGTTTGTTTTCACCCTTGTTCTTTTCCCACATTCCATTACGGCATCTCATTGGCTACTCTCCACTTGATGTTCCTTCTCATTTCTGGCTTGGCTTGCTTTAGTCTCCTATTCATCCAGTTGTGGAGGGTGGAGGGGAATTCCTGTCCCCAGGAGGATGGCCCAGCACATGACACCCAGGACTGGGCAATGGAATGACAGCAATTTACCAGCCACATATAATCATAGCCTTGGGGAAGGGACACTGTGCCAGGCAGGGCCCCAGTGCTTGCCCTCAAGAGCAGAGTGAACAAATGAGGGCGGAGGGAGGAGGGCTTTGTAGTATCAAGAGGGAGGGGTGCCTGCTGGTTCCTACCAGAGGAAGTGATTGGCTTGTTTAAAGAATTTGGTGGGCTTGCAGAGAACAGAAACTTGCTAGTCTGGGATAGGCGTGAACTGTGACTGGTTCCTATAATAAGGAGCATTGTTGGACCAGGGGGTCTCATTCATAGGAGCATAATTGGGAGGGGAACTTGTAGTTAGGCCATTCAAGAATTTTACCATACAAGAATTTTATGTGTGCTTGTAATCTCAGCTACTTGGGACACTGAAGTGGGAGGATTGCTTAAGTCCAGGAGTTCAAGACCAATCTGGGCAACATAATGAGACCTCATCTCAGAAACAGAATTTCATCAGATGTTAAGGCAACACATAATATAAGGCCTTATTTTAAGCCTTATGCTACAGTGCTCTCACCTTGAAGGTGGAACAATAATGGTATAAAATGAAGAGGCTTTCAGCACAGACCCTGGAGATGGCCATATAAGTTTGAGCTCTGGCTCCATTTCTTACTAGCTCTTTGATCATGGGAGGCTTACCTGACATTCCTGTGCCTTGATTTTCCCGTATGTAAAAGGTAAGAGTTCAGCAGCTACCTCATAGGTTGTCGTAAATATTAATCTTGTTATATAAAACACTTAGCTCAGTGCTTGGCCACTGTTTTGCTCAAAGCATTTATCTAGTCTTCTTAACAAGTCATCTCTGGCTTTGATCTTTGAATTCTTGAAGGTCTAGAGGACAACTATACTTTCTCTATTTATTTTCTTTCTGAAATGCTTAAAGAAAATGATCTGGCCTAATCTGGTTCTGGATGGCAGAACTCAAATTCTGGTGCCAGGCTACACTGTCCTTCCTAAATGAGAACCAAGTGAGGTCTAGGGGCCTAAGGCATCTCTTCTCACCAGCCTCCCGTCAGAGCCTGAGGACCACCTGACTATTTAAATCGGCAACACTTCAAACCATTCACTCTTCCTCAAACATACTTTGTCCTGGGCTGCAGCCTGAACCACTCCAGGGCCCTTATTCTATATTGTGCTCCAGGAGTTTCCAGCACATGGAATTGAACAACCTGGAGGCCCTGACATTGTCCCTTTCTATAGGCGTAACTCTCTGTTTCAGCAATGCCTCTTTATCTTCTCTGGCTATCAAAAGCTCTAAATCCATTAATCCATTCTATTCTTCAAGTCCCAGATGGTATCTCTCCATGAACCGTTCCCTTATATCCTCAGTAAGACAAGATGTTGTCCTTTTCTAAATGCCTCTATTTGTGGTTTGTTCCAATTTTGGACACTTATCTATCCTCACTGTGTCTTATCTTGCTGATTATATATACATTTAAAGTCTTGGTCTCACTCTGTCACCCAGGCTGGAGTGCAGTGATGTGATTACAGCTCACTGCAGCCTTGGACTCCTGGGCTCTAGTGATCCTCCTGCCCCAACCTCCTGAATAGTTGGGATCCCAGGCAGGTGCCACAGAGTGCCTACATTTTTATAAAGCCTAACCTCATCTATCTACCTAATATGTGAGTCTGGCACAGAGTGGGCATTTGATGCATTCTTGCTGATTAACCTTCCAAACACTGTGTGTGATGATCTCAGTCGGTCCCTGCTCTCGAGGCCTGGTGGGATAATGTAAACGGCGGGAGGAGCAGGGCCCAATGTTACTGACAGGCAAAGTCTCCTTTGCCTCATTTTGGCTTCAGGAATTAGGCTCTTCAAGAATTCCATCAGATAGCAATGAGTGCCCTCATTTTGGCCCAGCTGCTGATGCTCTGCTTGGCTCTTGCTATCTGATAGAAGGAAATTGATCCTGTAATTGTAATTTCTAGCCTTAAATCAGAGAGTCATACAGAAAAGGGCTCTGATCCCGGAGACTTTAGTGACTTTCTTTTCTGTGAAATTGTCCTCTGGGCAAGCTGACAGGAGGAAAAGAAACTAATATTCATTGAACACCTTTGAGTTGAATGCATTGTGTGACAGGCGTTATCACCCTAAGATTGCATCTCTGAGTCACATATGCCACGCACACATGTTGCAGGCTGGATTCTCCAGGAAGCAGGCCTGAAATGGAGACTGGAAGGTGGGAGGTTTATTAGGGAGTGTCTGAGGGTTTAATACCCGTGGGGAAAGGGAAGGAAGCAGGCATTGATAGAGGAAGAAGTTGGCTGCAGTGTCGTTACTACAAAGATTGCAGCCATCACTGGAGTTGGGATTGCTTTTCCTCTCAGAGTGGGAGAGGGGCCCAAGCTTCAGGTAGTCATTGGAGGTGTGCTGTCTCTGGGAAGGGATGTGACCTTGGACAAAGTCAGGTGGCTCTTTTTCTTCAAGGACAATTGCCAGAGAGTGATGTCAGCTGAGGGTTGTCTGTAGGGAGCACCCACAGAATCAGAGGAAATGAGTCATTCATTTCTGAACAGGGAGTTGTATGATGGGGCCTAGTATTCACTATAACACATTTCAGATTTTTGTTAAACCCATGCCCTTTGCCTGTGAAAATTGCTTCTCGTTCATAGTGGCAGGCCCCAGAGGCCATGTTTCGCTATGATACTATTCTCCAGCTGAGACCCTGGACCCATGTTGGGCCAGTCAGCTGTTCTTTCCCAGGACAGTACAAATGGATTCCAATTAATTGGAATGGTGACAGCTATTTTATGCCACATACATGGAGATGTTAAGAAATCTAGCTCATAAAAAGACACATACATGATAACCAATGAGGTCTGCATTAGGCTGTTCTGGCATTGCCATAAAGAAATACCTGAGGCTGGGTAATTTATAAAGGAAAGAGATTTAATTGGCTCACAGTTCTGCTGGCTGTACAGGAAGCATGGCACCGCATCTGCTTGGCTTCTGGGGAGGCCCCAGGGAGCTTCTACTCATGGCTAAGCCAAAGCGGGAGCAGGCATGTCACCTGGCAAGAAGGAGCAAGAGAGAGAAGGGGGTGTTCCCACACACTTTTAAACAATCAGATCTTGTGTGAACTCAGAGTGAGAAATCACTCATCACCAAGGAGATGGTGCTAAGCCACTGATGAGGGATCTGTACCCATGATCCAAACACCTCCCCCAGACGCCACTTCCAACATTAGAGACCACATTTCAACATGAGATTTGGAGGGGACAAACTTCCACACCGTATCAAGGTCTCAAGAATATGAAGTATCAGGTTGCCTGGGTTCCTAAGGATATTGTATTTCCAGGTCCTCTTTGCTCATCAGGCTGGACTGCACTTCCTGTCCTTGGGTTCTGTAAAATAGCCCGATGTCCTCTTACGTCTCACCTCATTTTCTTCGATTTATTTATTTATTTTGAGACATAGTCTCACTCTATCGCCCCGGCTGGAGTTCAGTGGAGCAATCTTGGCTTACTGCAGCCTCTGCCTTCCAGGTTCCAGTGATTCTCCTGCCTCAGCCTCCCAAGTAGCTGGGATTACAAATTTGTGCCACCACTCCCGGCTAATATTTGTATTTTTAGTAGAGAGAGGGTTTCACCATGTTGGCCAGACTGGTCTCGAACTCCTGACCTCCAGTGATGCCTCAGCCTCCCAAAGTGCTGGGATTACAGACGTGAGCCACTGTGCCCGGCCTATTTTCCTCAATTTAAAGAGGACTTCTGTTACTTTCAAAGAAAGGAGTACTAATTAAGGCCTCAGCTGAAGACACTGAAGTTCAGAGAAGTCAAAGAACTTATAAAAAATCACACAGCAAATTAATGACAAAACATTTTTTTTTTCTGACAGAGAAGTTTTTTTCTATTATACAATGTTACAAATTAAAAATTCCAAAAATAAAGTCCAAGTTTTGGAATTATTAATTTACATCTATCTTTTATTTTAAGATTTTAAAGTACATTCACATTCATCATTTCATTATATTTGATTAATACAACAAACTCACAGGTGTAGGCAGAGTAGATGTAATCCCCATTTTTCAGAAAAGGAAACTAAAGTCTAAGTCAGTGTATTAGTTCGTTTCATATTGCTGTGAAGAACTACCTGAGACTGGGTCATTTATAAAGAAAAAAGGTTTAATGGACTCACAGTTCTACAGGCTGCACGGGAAGCATGGCTGGGGAGGTCTCAGGAAACTTACAATCATGGTGGAAGGTGAAGGGGAAGTAGGCATATCTTACCATGTGGCAGGAGAGAGAGAAGGATGGGGAAGTGCTACACACTTTTAAACAACTAGATCTCATGAGAACTCACTCATTATCACAAGAACGGCAAGGGAGATGTCTGCCCCCATGATTCAATCACCTCTCACCGGGCCCCTCCTCCAACACATGGGGATTACAGTTTGACATGAGATTTGGGTGGCTGGTGGCAGGGGCACAGAGCTGAACCAGGGTCAAAGTCCAAGAGAGAGGGAGTGGTTGAATGTTGGAGGTGTGTCCAATTGAGCCTGGAAGTTTCTTTTTTTTGATGCCAACACACCCAGTTTTGGCCTGGGCAAGTACAGTTGGCTCAGAAGGAGCACACGTCAAGGTACTCTGCTAGGAGTTGGGATATGTGGAGTTAGAGTTGAGTGGAACTTTGTAGCTGAAGAATCATGAGATGCTGAGAGCTGAAAGGAGAAAGAAAACTCAGGAATAAAACCCTGTGGGAATTAGAGGCACCAAATCCTGGCAGAAGGAGTCTCTAAGATCTTGCAGATCCAAGAATTTAAAGAAGAGATTGGTGCAAAAATGAGACTTCCAATCTGTCTTGCTCACTGCTGTGAAGGTCTGCAGTGTGCTCTAAAGTTAGCTTAAAAAACCAGAGACAGGCAGATAATTTACTCTCAAACATCATGTGACACAGGGTTGGCTGGTTCTGTGTACACTTTCCTACTCAGCAACAAATTCTTTTTCAAAATGAGGACAGGTATAAATAAATGATAAACAAAGGAAGAAGGAGGGCCTCGGGCTAACATGAAGTTTAATATACTCTCTTTGACTCTAAGCTATTTTATCTTTGGAGTCTTGGAAAAAGATCTAATATGAATGATAAATACTTGGAACCCTTTATGTACAGAATTTCAGTTTTCTTTCTAAAAAATTTCCACTAGTTTAGCTCATTCACTACCTATTCCAGATATAGGAGTGCTAGGGTTCAGTTGATCATATTAGAACTGTGCATGTGGATGCCCTCTTTGTCATTGACTAACAAATCCTTATATCATCTGCCTGGCAGAGATTCTAGTGAGCAGAGGTTTCATGGTTAAACTGGCTGGGTCAGGGCTATTTTATCCTATTATTTCCAGGTCCACTCTTTATTCTCACATTGACCTAATAACAACAGTGGATGAGGGAGCAGAGGTTGTCCTTTCATATGGATTTTTCTGAAATACACAATGGAATCTGATACATAATTTTTTTTTTTTTTGAGACAGGGTCTTACTCTGTTGCCCAGGCTGCATTGCAGTGGTGAGATCATAGCTCATTGCAGCCTCAACCTTCTGAGCTCAAGGGATCCTTCTGCTTCAGCCTCCCCAGTAGTTGGGACTACAGGGGCATGCCACTACACGTGGATAATTAAAAAAGAATTTCTTTTTGTAGAGATTGGGGTATTGTTATGGTGCCCAGGCTGCTCTCCAACTCCAGGGCTCAAGCAATCGTCCCACCTCTGCTTCCCAAATCACTGGGATTACAGGTATGAGCTACCAAGCCCCACCCTGATGCATACATTTTTGAGAAGGTAGATATGCATCTTCAAGAGCGACAATATTGAGGCAGTAGAGTGTGTGCATGTGAGTATATGTGCACATGTTTGTTGTGCATGGTTTTATGGATAAAGATGAGGAAAACGTGAGTATGGTGGGTATAGGGTGGTCAAATGTCTGCTTTAGGAAATCTTTTCATTCTTTTCACACTAAGAGCAATTAAAAATGTTACTTCTGTGATCTTATATTTCTCTAAAACTTGGATTCTGCCCATGTTTCTCCTCATTTCACCTCTAACAGAGAGCACTGGGGCAGAGCTGTAGCTGCAAAAGGATTCTATTACATACACTGGAGAAGTCAGAGTCCTCCTCAGATGAATAAAGGGCAGACCTCCAACCCTGAGGTGACGGTGTTATTAATAAAGCCTACAGCAAAATATTTGTTTTGGGTGCTAATGTGAACCAAAAGTCTTATCTGGGATCCTCATTTCTTGGGATGTTTCATATTCTGCGTGGGCTTCTCTGCAGTGGTGCTTAGGACTGTTGCATGCCCTTGGGATCCTGCTGTTCCTCCTCAGCCATGGCGGCACTGACTCTGTCTCTCTCAGGATCCACTTTTCCAGCATCTTCACTAAATCAAGCTGCTTCCCTACCAGAAATATCTTCAATATTTTACTGGGCTAATTAGTTAGATCAGAATTTATACATTAGAAGGCGCAGTAAGGGCTTATTTTGACAAATGCAAAAACTCAGACTCATAAATTTTGGCCATTTAGCCAAAAGAGCACAGAACTGGTGGAGAGGAAATTAGGAACCCAGGGACATGTGACTCCCAATCCCGGGCTCTTTCCATCCTGGTGATTCTGTGGTATTTAATGATTTTATTTTATTTCTTTTAGACAGAGTCTCGCTCTGTTGCCCATGCTGGAGTGCAGTGGTGCAAACTTGGCTCACTGCAACCTCGGCCTCCTTGGTTCAAATGATGCTCTTGCCTCAGCCTCTAGAATATCTAAGATTACAGGTGCCCACCATCACACCTGGCCAATTTTTGTATTTTTAGTAGAGATGGGGTTTCACCATGTTGACCAGGCTGGTCTTGAACCCCTGACCTCAAGTGATCTGCCTGCCTTGGCCTCCCAAAGTTCTGGGGTTACAGACATGAGCCACTGTGTCCAGACAGTATTTAATGATTAATTTGCTCGGATGCTTGTACTTACCAAACAACTCTAAAACACTCACTGAATTTTTGAACTCATACCTAATATTCTTCCCTATCCTGCTGCAGGAGACCAGGGACAGAGATTGCTTCCTTAATTTCACATGGGAATATTAAACATTTAACACATTTAAACAGCAGTGCTTAAGTGGTGGTTTTCAAACACTTTGAGGGGAATGCCCTTGTACTGGGTTCTATGCATTGGGGTAGATTTGGGGAGAAGAAGTGCAAACCAGACTTGCTCTTACAATGAACTTGCTCTCACAGTTCCACATGGCTGGGGAGGCCTCACAATCATGACAGAATATGAAGGAAGAGCAAAGGACGTCTTACATGGCACCAGGCAAAAGAAACATGTGCAGGGAAAATCCCCTTTATAAAACCATCAGATCTCCTGAGACTTATTCACTAACATGAGAACAGCATGGGAAAAACCTGCCCCCATGATTCAATTACCTCCCACCAGTTCCTTTCCATGACATATGGGAATTATGGGAGCTACAAGTTAAGATGAGATTTGGGTGGGGACACAGCCAAACCATGTCATTGCACCCCTGATCCCTCCCAAATCTCATGTCCTCACATTTCAAAACCAATCATGCCTCCCCAACAGTCCTCCAAAGTCTTAACTCATTTCAGCATTAACTCAAAAGTCCACAATCCAAAGTCTCATCTGAGACAAGGCAAGTCCCTTCTGACTGTCAGCCTGTAAAATCAAAAGCAAATTAGTTACTTCCTAGATACAATGTGTGTACAGGCATTGGGTAAATATATCTATTTTAAATGGGAGAAAATGGCCAAAGCAAAAGGGTTACAGGCCCCATGCAAGTCTGAAATACAATAAGACAGTCATTAAATCTTAAAGATCCAAAATGATTTCCTTTGACTCCATGTCTCACATCCAGGTTTCGCTGATACAAGAGGTGGGCCCCCAAAACCTTGGGCAGCACCATCCCTGTGGCTTTGCAGGGTACAGCTCCACCTCCGGGCTGCTTTCACAGGCTGGTGTTGAGTGTCTGAGGATTTTCCAGGTGCACAGTGCAAGATTTCATTGAATCTACCATTCTGGGTCTGGAGAATGATGGCCCTCTTCTCACAGCTCCACTAGGCAGTGCCCCAATAGGCACTCCGTGTGGGGCCTCTGACCCCACGTTTCCCTTCTGTACTGCCCTAGCAGAGGTTCTCCTTGAGGGCTCTGCCCCTGCAGCAATCTTCTGCCTGGACATCCATGCCTTTCCATACATCCTCTGAAATCTAGGCGGAGGTTTTCAAACCTCAGTTCTTGACTTCTGTGCACCCACAGGCTCCACACCATGTGAAAGCTGCCAAGGCCTGGGGCTTGCACCCTCTGAAGCAACTCCCTAAGCTCTATGTTGGCCCATTTTAGCCACAGCTGGAGCTGAAGCAGCTGGGACACAGGGCACCATGTCGGAAGGCAGCATAGACACAGGGCACCATGTCGGAAGGCAGCATAGAGCAGGGAGGCCCTGGGCCCAGCCCAACCATTTTTTCCTCCTAGATCTTCAGGCCTGTGATGGGAGGGGCTGTGTGAAGGTCTCTGACATGCCCTGGAGACATTTTCCCCATTGTGGTGGTGATTAACGTTTGGCTTCTTGTTACTTATGCATATTTCTGTAGCCCCTTGAATTTCTCCCCAGAAAATGGGTTTTTCTTTTCTACCTCATGGTCAGGCTGCAAATCTTCCCAATTTTTATGCTCTGCTTTCTCTTGAACCCTTTGCCACTTAGAAATTTTTCTACCACATACCCTAAATCTTCTCTTTCAAGTTCAGAGTTCCACAGCTCTCTAGGCCAGGGGCAAAATGATGCCAGTCTCTTTACATAGCAAGAGTGACCTTTACTCCAGTCCCCAACAAGTTCCTCATCTCCATCTGAGACTACCTCAGCCTGGACTTTATTGTCCATATTACTATCAGCATTTTGGTCAAAGCCATTCAACAAGTCTCTAGAAAGTTTCAAACTTTCCCACATCTTACTGTCTTCTGAGCCCTCCAAGTCTCTAGGCAGCTTCAGAACTTTTCCACATTTTCGTATCTTCTTCTGAACCCTCCAAACTGTTTCAACCTCTGCCTGTTACCCAGTTTCAAAGTCACTTCCACATTTTTGGTTATCTTTACAGTAGCACCCCACTCTACCAGTTCCAGTTTACTGTATTAGTCTTTTCTCATGCTGGTAATAAAGACATACCCAAGACTATGCAATTTATAAAGGAAAGAGGTTTAATTGACTCATAGTTCCACATGATTGTGGAGTCCTCACAATCATGGCAGAAGATGAAGGAAGAGCAAAGGTACATCTTACATGGGAAGTGAGCTTACTGAATATTCAGTTACTGGCTGACGCTGCCTTCCTTGTTCGATGTTTTGATACATGGAATATAAAACTTTGCAAAAATAGTTAGAGGGAATTGCTGGCCAGGCATGGTGGCTCACACTTGTAATCCCAGTGCTCTAGGAGGTGATATGGTTTGGCTTTGTGTTCCCACCCAAATCTCATCTTGAATTGTAATCCCCACATGTCAAGGGAGGGATCTGTAATCCCTACCTGTCGAGGAAGGGAAGTGATTGGATTATGGGGGTGATTCCCCCATGCTGTTCTCATGAGTGAATATGATGGTTTTATAAATTGTAGTTTTCCCTGCAGTCACACTCTCTCCTGCTGCCATGTGAGAAGGTCCAAGCTTGCTTTCCCTTAGCCTTCTGCCTTGATTGTAAGTTTCCTGAGGCCTCCCCAGCCATGCAGAACTGTGAGTCAATTAAATATCTTTCCTTTAAAGATTACCCAGTCTCAGGTATTTCTTTATAATAGTGTGAGAACAGACTAATCTAGAAGGCCAGGCTGGAGGATTGCTTGAGCCCAGGAGTTTAGACTAGCCGGGACAACATAGTGAGACCCTGTGTTTCCAAAAAATAAAAAATAAAGTGAAAAAATTAGCCAGGCATGGTGGCACTTACCTGTAGTCCCAGCTACTCGGATGGCTGAGGTGGGAAGATTTTTTGAGACCAGGAGTTTAGGTTACAGTGAGCTATGATTGCACCATTTCCCCCCAGCCTGGGTGCAGAGCAAGACCCTGCCTCTCTCTCTCTCTCAAAAAAAAAAAAAAAAAAAAAAAAGGAATTGCTAGTGTAGAAGAGAAAGTTCTATTCTGAGAACTTACAGTGTTCCATGTGGGTGAAGACAGAAACGGCCTCCTTGAAATTGAAGACCTAGATTTTCATTTTAATTGTAATCATTGACCATTATAATTTGGAAATGTGGGCATAATTTGTCAAAAGATTTATATCAAAAGAGATTCCTTTTTTGGAGATTTTAGAAAGAAGATAGCCATTTTTGTTGTTCACTTAAGGTCTGAACTTTCTTAGCTGGGGGCGGTGGCCCACGCCTGTAATCCCAGTATTTTGGGAGGTAGAGGCGGGTGAATTGCTTGAGTCAAGGAGTTTGAGACCAGCCTGGGCAACATGGCGAAACCCTGTCTCTAAAAATAAAATTAAAAAAAGAACCAAACTTCCTGTAAGTGGAAGGATAAAACAAAATTATTATACTAGGTTCCAGTAGCAAAATATATTTTCTTATCATGATACTTATTGATGTGATTGACTCATAGATGCTAACATTTAAGTTATTTTCAATGTCCTCTTTCCTTAATAAGCTTTACTTCTTGCCTCTCTGAGAGTATCTTTTTTCTTATTCCTGATTGTCCATCTTTTAGGCCAATTTCCAATTTATAATATAACCAGCCACTGAATTCTATGAGGCTGTGAATACCAAGAGGCAGTTTTAAAACATGAAGCGATGCAGCAGTAGGGCCCTCTTCTGGCCTCCTCCAGATCTTTTGGGAGGCTGAGTACTCTGCACCAATCAGGCAATAGGTGTGACATGCTAAGAAGAAGGCCCAATGCCTCAAATTCACTGCAAGAAAAAGAATGATTTTTTTTTTTTTTTTGGAGACAGAGTCTCGCTCTGTCACCCAGGCTGGAGTGCAGTGGTACAATCTCTGCTCACTGCAACCTCCAACTCCACCTCTAGGGTTCAAGCAATTCTCTTGCCTCAGCCTCCTAAGTAGCTGGGATTACAGGCCCCTGTCACCATGCTTAGCTAATTTTTATATTTTTAATAGAGACGGGGTTTCACTATGTTGGCCAGTCTGGTCTCAAACTCCTGACCTCAAGAAATCTACCCTCCTAGGCCTCTCAGAGTGCTGGGATTGCAGACATGAGCCACTGTAGTGGCCAAAAGAATGATTCTTCTATGAGGAGGATGCCACTATTCAAATCTCCCCTTCTACTAGGTTAACGTTATTCAGAAAATACTCTAAGTTAACTCAATACTTATTGAAAGGATAAAATTGATTGAGTATATCTATATTTTTTACTTTTGATGTTTTTGTCTTGCAAACTTATAGAAGCATAGAGAAGAATAAAAATTCCTGCACCCTCAATTCCACCACTCAGAAGTTTTCAGCAGTAGCATTTGGTGTTCATTATTCTATTTATATACACTGTACATGTGGATACAGGGCAAGCAGTAATTTCATAAAATAGAATCAGATCAATATGTTTCTTTTAGTATTAACTTTAGTTTTATATGAAATTAGGAAGAAAAAGAAACAAGTGAATTTATAGGAATTGTTGAACTTATATCAACATTTATTCACCTCAAGAGTCATTGGTTTTTAAAAGATCTTTTTAAGGTTATGAGAAAAGACTAGGAGGATATTAAGAAACTGAAATCTTTGTGTGTTTTATAACTCCATGTTTCCATTTTTGACAGTATTGAATGACTCCTTGTTATAAAGATGAAGAAATTAGCACTCTGAACACCTCTCCCCACCTCTTTTCCCCTCCCCACCTCTCAACTGCTATTTTTACTGTGTCAGTGTTTATAACATTTACATTCTATTTGGCAACGATAATTTTCACAGTTATTTGATTCAAGTCCTATTTTTAAAAACCTTCAAATTCTAAAGATTGTAACACATTTCTTAGTGACATTCCTTCCCCACTACACTTAGGATTTTGCACTTCTGGAGCTGGCCCTCCCAGCTGCCATTTACACCACCTGTTCCTTTCATTATTTCTTATAGGTTGGTTTCAGTGTGGCCCGGACCAAACGGCATCTTCTTTCCTGGTCTGTCCTATGGTTTTGTTTTTTTTTTTGTTTTTGTTTTCTTCTTCAATATTTACTCAACTAACTTCCTGAGAATATAATATTCTATGAGAATAGATTAATTAAACATATTTGTGGTTTACCATTTGGTAAAATCTATTTTTTTTAAAAAAATTACTCAATTAACTTCCTGACAATATCTTATTCTATAAGAATAGATTCTTTAAACATATTTGTGGTTTACTATCTAGTAAATCATTTTTTCAATATTATTCAACCAACTTCCCAAGCATATCTTATTTTATGAAAATAGATACTTTAAACATATTTGTGGTTTACCATTTGGTAAAATCTGACAGTTGGTAATAAATACAGGTACATATTTTTAAAACATTGGCATAATTGTTTGAGGAGTTGAGACATTCTTGTATTTATTTATTTTTATCTTAATTTCTCCATAAGTTATTGGGTACAGGTGGTATTTGGTTACATAACTAAGTTCTTTAGTGGTGATTTGTGAGATTTTGGTGCACCCATCACCTGAGCAGTGTATACTGCACCCATTTGTAGTCTTTTATCTCTCGCCCAACTCCCATCCATCCCCCTAAGTCCCCAAAGTCCATTGTATCATTCTTATGCCTTTGCGTTCTCATAGCTCAGCTCCTAAATATCAGTGAGAACATACGATGTTTGGTTTTCCATTCCTGAGTTACTTCACTTAGAATAGCAGTCTCCAATCTCATCCAGGTCGCTGCAAATGCCGTTAATTCATTCCTTTTTATGGCTGCGTAGTATCCCATTGTATGTATATACCAAAGTTTCTTTATCCACTCATTGATTGATGGACATTTGGGTTGGTTCCATGATTTTGCAATTGCGAATTTTGCTGCTATAAACATGCATATGCAGGTGTCTTTTTCATTTAATGTCTTCTTTTCTTCTGGGTAGACACCCAGTAGTGGGATTGCTGGATCAAATGGGAGTACAACTTTTGGTTCTTTAAGGAATCTCCACACTGTTTTCCATAGTGGCTGTACTAGTTTACATTCCCACCAGCAGTGTAGAAATGTTCCCTGATCACTGCATTCATGCCAACATCTACTATTTTTTTGATTTTTTGATGATGGCCATTCTTGCAGGAGTAAGATGGTATCGCACTGTGGTTTTGATTTGCATTTCCCTGATCATTAGTGATGTTGAGTATTTTTTCATGTTTGTTGGCCATTTGTATATCTTCTTTTGAGAATTGTCTATTCATGTCCTTAGCCCACTTTTGGATGGGATTGTTTTTTTCTTACTGATTTTCCTGTTTGTTGTAGATTCTGGATATTAGTCCTTTGTCAGATGTATAGATTATGAAGATTTTCTTCCACTCTGTGGGTTGTCTGTTTACTCTGCTGACTGTTCCTTTTACTGTGAAAAAGCTCTTTAGTCCCAACAATTTATCTTTGCTTTTATACATTTGCTTTTGGGTTCTTGGTCATGAAATCCTTGCCTAAGGCAATGTCTAGAAGGGGTTTTCCAGTATTATCTTCTAGAATTTCTATACTTTCAGGTCTTAGATTTAAGTCCTTAATCCATCTTGAGTTGATTTTTGTTTAAGGTGAGAGATGAGGATCCAGTTTCATTTTCCCACATGTGGCTAGCCAATTCTCCCAGCATCATTTGTTGAAAAGGGTGTCCTTTCCCCATCTTATGGTTTTGTTTGCTTTGTCGAAGATCAGTTGGCTGTAAGCATTTGGGTTTATTTCTGGGTTCTCTATTCTGTTCTATCGGTCTATGTGCCTATTTTTATACTGGTACCACGCTATGGTACTGTGGTGACTATGGTGACTATGGCCTTATAGTATAGTTTGAAATCAGGTAGTGTGATGTCTCCGGATTTGTTCTTTTTGCTTAGTTTTGCTTTGGCTATGTGGGGTCTTTTTTGGTTCCATATGAATTTTAGAATTGTTTTTTCCTAATTCTGTGAAGAATGATGGTGGCATTTTGATGGGGACTGCATTGAAATTTTAGATTGCTTTTGGCAGTATGGTCATTTTCACAATATTGATTCTACCCATCCATGAGCATAGGATGTGTTTCCATTTGTTTGTTTTGTCTCTGATTTATTTCAGCAGTCTTTTGTAGTTTTCCTTGTAGAGGTATTACCGCTCCTTGGTTAGGTATGTTCCTAAGCATTTTATTTTTTTGCAGCTATTGTAAAAGTGGTTGAGTTCTTGATTTCATTCTCCTCTTGGTCGCTGTTGGTATATAGAAGAGCTACTGATTTGCGTACATTAATCTTGTATCCAGAAAATTTGCTGAATTCTTTTTTCAGTTCTAGGAGCTTTCTGGAGGAGTCTTTAGGGTTTTTGAGGTAAACGATCATATCGTCAGCAAACAGTGACAGTTTGACTTCCTCTTTACTGATTTGGATGCCCTTTATTTCTTTCTCTTGTCTGATTGCTCTAGCTAGGACTTCCAGTACTGTGTTGAAGAGGAGTGGTGAGAGTGGGCATCCTTGTCTTGTTCCAGTTCTCAGAGGGAATGCTTTCAACTTTTCCCTGTTCAGTATTATGTTGGCTGTGTGTTTGTCATAGATGGCTTTTATTACACTGAGGTATGTCCCTTGTATGCTGATTTTTCCGAGAGTTTTAATCATAAAGATGTTGGATTTTGTCAAATGCTTTTTCTGCATCTATTGAGATGATCATGTGATTTTTAGAAAAAATTCTTTTTATGTGGTGTATCACATTTATTGACTTGCATATGTTAAACCATCCCTGCATCCCTGGTATGAAACCCACTTGATCATGATGGGTTATCTTTTTGATATATTGTTGGATTTTGTTAGCTAGTATTTTGTTAAGGATTTTAGCATCTATGTTCATCAAGGATATCAGTCTGTAGTTTTCTTTTTTGGTTATGCCCTTTCCTGGTTTTGGTATTAGGGTGATGCCGGCTTCAGAGAATGATTTAGGGAAGTTTCCCTCTTTCTCTGTCTTGTAGAATGGTGTTAAAAGGATTGGTACCAATTCTTCTTTCAATGTCTGGTAGAATTCTGCTGTGAATCCATCTGATCCTGGACTTTTTTGTTGGTAATTTTTAAATTACCATTTCAGTCTCGCTGCTTGTTATTGGTCTGTTCCAGGTATCTAATTCTTCCTGATTTAAGCTAGGAGAGTTGTATTTTTACAGGAATTTGCCCATCTCTTCTAGATTTTCTAGTTTATGTGCATAAAGGTGTTCATAGTAGCCTTGAATAATCTTTTGTATTTCAGTGGTGTCAGTTGTAATATCTCCCGTTTCGTTTCTTAATGAGGTTGTTTGGATTTTCTCTCTTCTTTTCTTGGTTAATCTTGCTAATGGTCTATCAATTTTATCTATCTTTTCAAAGAACCAGCTTTTTGTTTCATTTAGCTTTTGTATTTTTTTTTGTTTGTTTGTTTCAATTTCATTTACTTCTGCTCAGATCTTGGTTAGTTCCTTTCTTCTGCTTGGGTTAGGTTTGGTTTGCTCTTGTTTCTCTAGTTCCTTAAGGTGTGACCTTAGAAAGTCAGATTTTGCACTTTCAGTCTTTTTCATGTAGGCATTTGGGGCTATGAACTTTTCTCTTAGCACCACCTTTGCTGTATCACAGAGGTATTGATAGGGTGTGTCATTATCGTTGTTCAGTTTGAAGAACTTTTAAATTTCCATCTTGATTTCATTTTTGACCCAATGCTCATTCAGGAGCAGGTTATTGAATTTCCATGTATTTGCATGGTTTTGAACATTCCTTTTGGAGTTGATTTCCAGTTTTATTCCACTGTGGTCTGAGAGAGTGCTTGATATAATTTCAATTTTCTTAAATTTATTGAGGCTCATTTTAGGGCCTATCATATGGTCTATCTTGGAGAAAGTTCCATGTGCTGTTGAATAGAATGTGTATTCTGCAGTTATTGGGTGAAATATTCTGTGTATAACTGTCAAGTGCATTTGTTCCAAGGTATAGTTTAAATCCATTGTTTCTTTGTTGACTTTCTGTCTTGATGACCTGTCTAATGCTGTCAGTGGAGTATTGAAGTCCCCCACTATTATTGTGTTCTTGTCTATTTGTCTATTATGTCATTTCTTAGGTCTATTAGTAATTGTTTTATAAATTTGGGAGCTCCAGTGTCAGGTGCATATATGTTTAGGACTATGATATTTTCCTGTTGGACAAGGCCTTTTACTATTATATAATGTCCCTCTTTGTCTTTCTAAACTGCTCTTGCTTTAAAGTTTGTTTTGTCTGATATACGAATATCTACCCCTCTCACTTTTGGTGTTCATTTGCATGAAATGCCTTTTTTTACCTGTTTATATTAAGTTTATTGAGTCCTTATGTGTTAGGTGTCTCCTGAAGGCAGCAGATAGTTGCTTGGTGAGTTCTTATTCATTCTGCCATTCTGTATCTTTTAAGTGGAGCATCTAGGCCATTTACTTTCAATGTTAGTATTGAATTATGAGGTACCATTGCATTCCTCATGTTATTTGTTGCCTCTGTACCTTTGTTTTTGCTTTTTAACTTGTATTTTTGTTTTATAGGTCCTGTGAGGTTTATGCTTTAAAGAGTTTTGATGTGTTTCTAGGATTTGTTTCAAGATTTAGAGCTCCTTTAAGCAGTTCTTGTAGTGGTGGATTGGTAGTGGTGAATTCTCTCAGCATTAGTTTGTCTGAAAAAGATTGTATCTTTCCTTCCTATACGATGCTTAGTTTCACTGGATACAAAATTATTGGCTGATAATTATTTTGTTTGAGGAGGCTGAAGATAGGGCCTCAATCCCTTCTAGCTTGTAGGGTTTCTACTGAGAATCTGCTGTTAATCTGTTAGGTGTTCATTTATAGGTTACCTGGTGCTTTTGTCTCACAGCTCTTAAGGTTCGTTCCTTCATCTTAACTTTGGATAACCTGAAGACAATGTGCCTAGGTGTTGATCTTTTTTGTGATACATTTTGCAGGTGTTCTTTGTGCTCTTGTATTTGGATGTCTAGGTCTCTAGCAAGGCCAAGAAAGTTTTCCTCAATTATTCCCACAAATATGTTTTCCAAACTTTTATATTTCTTTTCTTTCTCAGGAACATCGCTTATTCTTAGGTTTGGTTGTTTAACATAATCCAAGACTTCTTGGAGTCTTTGTTCACATTTTCTTATTCTTTTTTCCTTTGTCTTTTTTGGATTGGGTTAATTTGAAGACCTTGTCTTTGAGCTCTGAATTTATTTCTTCTACTTGTTTAGTTCTATTGGTGAGGCTTTCCAGAGCATTTTGCATTTTAAAGTGTATCCAATGTTCCTGAAATTTTGATTTTTTTATTTATGTTATCTATTTCCTTGAATATTTATCCCTTCACTTCTTGTATCGTTTTTTTGGATTTCCTTGCATTGGGTTTCGCCTTTCTCCGGTGCCTCCCTGATTAGCTTAATAACTAACATCCTAGATTCTTTTTCAGGTAAACCAGGGGTTTCTTCTTGGTTTGGATCCATTGTTGGTGAAGTAGTGTGATTTTTGGGGGATGTTAAAGAGCGTTGTTTTGTCATATTAGCAGAGTTAGTTTTCTGGTTCCTTCTCATTTGAGTAGGCTCTGTCAGAGGGAAGGTCTAGGGCTGAAGGCTGTTGTTCAGATTCTTTTGTCCCACGGGGTGTTCCCTTGATGTAGTACTCTCCCCCTTTCTCTATAGATGTGGCTTACTGTGAGCTAAGCTGCAGTCATTGTTATCTCCCTTTTGGGTCGAGCCACCCAGCAAGTCTACCTGGCTCTGAGCTGGTACTGGGGTTTGTCAGCACAGAGTCCTATGATGTGAACCATCTATGGGTCTCTCAGCTGTGGATACCAGTGCCTTTTTCAGTGGGGGTTGCAGAGGGGTGAAATGGACTTTGTGAGGGTTCTTAGCTTTGGTGGTTTAATGCTCTATTTTTGTGCTGGTTGGCCTCCTGCTATGGAGGTGGTGCTTTCCAGAGAGCATCAGCTGTGATAGTATAGAGAGGAACCAGTGGTGGGTGGGGCCCTAGAACTCCCAAGATTATATGCCCTTTGTCTTCAGCTACCAGGGTGGTTAGGGAAGGCCCATCACGTGGGGACAGGGCTAGGCATGTCTGAGCTCAGATTCTCCTTGGGCGGGTCTTGCTGTGGCTGCTGTGGGGGATGGGGGTGATGTTCCCACATCAATGGAGTTGTGAACGTAGGAGGATTATGCCAGCCTCTGCAGAGTCATGCAGGTTGTCAGGGAAGTGGGGAAAAGATGGCGATCATAGGCCTCACCCAGCTCCCACACAAACCAAAGGGTTGGTCTCACTCCCACAGTGCTCACACTAACAGCCTCGAGTATGTTTCCAGGCAGTGGGTGAGCAGGGCCTGAGAACTTGTCCCAGGCTACCTGCCTCCCAGCTGTGAAAAAAAAGGGCTTGGTTCTTCCCCCAGCTATGGAGTCTGCACACCAGTTTCATGCCTTCCCCCGAGTTCTAGCCAGGAGAGTTCTTATCCAGTTCAAATTGTTACAAAGTTTAGCTGGAGATTTCCTTCTCCCTGTGGCATTTTCCCCCCACTCCTCTGGCTGCCCTCTCCAAGGATCCCTGTGGTGCCAGGCAGGAATGGGCTGCTTGGGGACCCAGGGAGCTCCCAAGGTCTTTCCTGCTGCTTCCTCTACCCCTGTATTTCGTTCGGCTGTCTAGACTGACTCAGCTTCAGGTAAGGTCGGAAACTTCTCCCACAAACAGACCTTCAGTTTCCCCAGTGGGGGTTGTGTTCAGCAAAAGAGGATCTCCTTTTCCCACTTCTGCAATTGGGGTACTCACAATATTTGGGGTGTCTCCCAGGTCCTGTAGGAGCAATCTGTTTCCTTCACAGGGTCTGTGGGTCCTCTCAGGATTCCTGGTTTGTTCTTGCAGTTGATCTGGAGGTAAAACTCACAATGCGAGCCTCTGCATGCTGCTCTGTCTGTCCAAGTCAGAGCTGCAATCTAGTCCTGCCTCTTGTCTGCCATGATTGCATTTTATAGTTTAAAAAACACTTTATTTTATTTGCAAGAACAGATGCTCTTTATATGTAGCTTAGAAAATGTAGGCAAACAAAAAGAAAACAGTAAATCTCTCCCACAATCCTATTATGCAAGGATAAGAATTCTTAAATATCTTAGACACTAGGTTATTTGGTATTCTTACTATTTTTTTCTATTCACAGAAAAATACCTATTAGTCTTTAAAAATAGAAATATGATTATACTACAATATTGTTTGTAACCTAATTTTTTAAACTCTATATATTGAAAAATATTTTCATTTATTGTTTTAAAATAGCGTAGCCTTCTACACTAATTCAGAAAATGTCAGCATCAGGATGCGCTGAAAAAATACTCCCATTAAGTAATATAACACTTTTATTTTAAAAAGGATCCAAGAACTTTACCTGCATTATTAATTTTATCAAATACACACACACACACAAACACACACACGCTCAAAAGCGTGAAGTAGTGAGGAGCATCGGTAACTTGTTTTATTCTTTTTTCAGAATAAGATCTGAGACAGATAATTACTTGCATAGAAACAGTGATTGTGGGATTTTCTGACTTCAAGTGTCTCTTTTATTAAAATACAACTCTTCCCCTGCCACATCAATGGTTATTTGCATATATCATGGGAAAACACTTTCTGATATTTCATAAGAGCTTCTAGATATCTCAAATGCACAGTAATAGCTAGGAAAAACTTTCTATATTTTATCTGCCCTGGTTTCACCATTGTTTAGTGAAAGCCTAATCTGTGGTATGAGGACATATTTTAGTGTAAATTAATTTCACTGACCAGTCAACCCCCACAGTAGTGGTTATTCATTACTTTAATTCATCTATAGACCATGCTTGGAGTTGAAGACTTTGGAGTAACTCTGAGGTCCAGAGGTAGGGACCTCAGAGGGAAGCATCTCTCTTGCATTTGTTTTAATAAGGTCATTAATCCCATTCATGAGGGCTCAGCCCTCAGGACTTAATCCCCTCCTAAAGGCCCCACCTCTTAATGCTATCACATGGGTGATTAAGTTTTAATGTATGAATTTTGGGGGACATATTCAGGCCATAGCATTCTACCCCAACCCTTTAAATTCATGTCCTTCTTACATGTAGAGTATATTCATTCTATCCTAGTAGCCCCAATTAACTCATTCTAGCATCAACTCAAAAATTTTTATCTAAATTAGATATAGAAGACTTAAGGTAGAGAGACTTCTGCTGATATGGATGGAGGTTGCATAGGGATCTAGGCACTTTACTTTGGACTAAGTATGCAGATCAAATGGAGAGAAAGAAATGAGTGAGTGCCTGTATTAGTTTTCCAGGGCTGCCATAACAAAGTACCACAAACTGGGTGGCTAACAACAATAGATGTGCATTCTTTCACAGTCCTGGATGCTGCAAGTCCAAAATCAGGTGACAGTAAGGCTATGCTCCCTCTGAGAGTCTAAATAGAATCCTTCCTTGCCTCTTCCTAGCTTTGATGGTGGCCGTTGATCTTTGGTGTTCCTCGACTTGCAGCTGCATAGCTCCAATCTCTGCCTCCATCTTCATGTGGCATGCTTCCCTTGTATCTTCACACTGTCTTCTTACATGGATAGCAGTCCTGTTGGATTAAGGGCCCACCCTCCTCAAGTATGACCTTGTTTTAACTAATTGCATCTGCAATGGCCCAGTTTCCAAATAAGTTGCATTCTGAGGTACTGGGGGTTAGGACTTCAATATATCTTTTTGGGGGACAAGATTCAACCCATGACAAATAGCATAACACATGTCCCTTAAATATTAGCTTTGGTGACACTGGAGGAAGAAAATGAAAAAGAAAAAGAAATACTAGGTTTGGATGTAAAGATTCATAAAGTAATGGTGAATGTGACAGCAGCCATTACTATGCTTTTCTTGCCTTTTTCCAAATCTACACTTTCTTGATGACAGTGAGGAAAAGGGCAAAAGAAATGATATGATATTTGGTTTTCTGAGAAATAATGACCCTTATAAGGTCTAGTTGTCAGAGGTCATTTTTAAAAATAACTACAAAGCCTGTCATTAGTGTAGCCTTTTACAGTTTACAAAACGCTGTCACAGACATTATCACTTTGATCCTGATAACATTCCTGTGAATTGGATAATGCAGGTATTCCCATTTTCTCCATTTTACAAAAGTGGAATCAGATTAAAGCAGGTTCCACAGCTGATAAATTGTGGCCTCGTGACATCAGATTACTTTTTCATACTACCCACCATACCTCAGGAAATGCAAAAAAATCACTCTCTTTTCTGTGGCGTCCTACATTATATTTTGCAGGTATATACAGCTATTTCCTTAGGACACATCAACCTGGGAAAGTTGTGGGGGAAGCAATAGAATAATAAACCCATCAATTCTTGGGAATGACTGAGAAACATTCTCCCCAGATTTTTCAAGTGCCTAGGTACTTCTAGATGGCTTTAGGGTTTTCTGTTCAATCGGCAAATTTAACATGTAGCCTATGCTTTTCTTCAAGGCTTTCTCTCCACGTCTAACGAATTATATGCACACATTAATCTATACGGGCTGCCTTAGTCTATTTGGAGTTTTGTAACAAAAGACCTTAGACTGGGTAATTTACAAACAACAGACATTTATTGCTCACAGTTGTGGCAGCTGGGAAGATCAAGGCACCAACAGATTCAGGGTCTAGTGACAGCTTTCTGTTTCATAGAAAGCACCTTCTTGCTGTGTCCTCACATGGTGGTAAGGGAAGGAATAAGCAAGTCTCCTTAGGGCTCTTTTATAAGGGCACTAATCCCATTTATGAGAGTAAAGCCTTTCTGACCTAATTACCTCTTAACGGCCCTACCTTCTAATACCATCACCTTGGAGGTTAGGATTTTATATTGGTCTATTTGTGCTGTGATATTGTTTGTATGTGTGACCTCTCCAAATTTCATGTTGAAATTTGATAACCACTGTTGGAGATGGGGCCTGGTGGGAGGTGTTGGGGTCATGGGGGCTTATCCTTCATAAATAACTTGGTTGCCTTCCCTGCAGTAATGAGTGTGTTCTCACTCTATTAGTTTACCTGAGAGCTGGTTGTTTGAAAGAGTGTGACACCTCTCCTTCTCTCTCTCTGCTCTCTTTCTTGCCATGTGACATGCCTGCTCCTCTATTGCCTTCCATCATAATTGGAAGCTTCCTGAAGTCCTTACCAGAAGCAGATGCCAGTGCCATGCTTCTTGTAAGCTTGGAGAATTGTGAGCCAAATAAACTTCTTTTTCTTATAAGCTACCTAGCCTCAGATATTCCTTTATAGCAACATAAAATGGACTAAAACATGCTGGTATAACAAAATACCACACACTGGGTAATTGTAAACAGATAAATGTTTTTCTCACAGTTATGAAGGCTGGGAAGTCCAAGATCAGGCTGCTCATAGGTTCAGTGTCTGGTGAGGGCCCAGTCTTTGCTTCCCAGATGGTGTCTTGTACCCTGTGCCCTCACATGATGGAAAAGATAGCAGCACAAAAGGGAGGGAAGCATCTCTCTTGCATTTGTTTTAATAAGGTCATTAATCCCATTCATGAGGGCTCTGCCCTCAGGACTTAATCTCCTCCGAAAGGCCCCCCCTCTTAATGCTATCACTTGGGTGATTAAGTTTTAATGTGTGAATTTTGGGGGACACATTCAGACCATAGCATTCTACCCCTGACCCCTCAAACTCATGTCCTTCTCACACGTGGAATATATTCATTCTATCCCAATAGCCCCAATCAACTCATTCTAGCATCAACTCAAAAATTTTTATCTAAATTAGATATAGAAGACTTAAGATAGGATTCATCCTGAGACAAATTATCTTTCCAGCTGTGAACCTATAAAATTAAACAAGTTATGTTTCCAAAATACAATTGTGTTACAGGTGTAGGATAGCAACAGGAATAAACTGGAAAGAAGAAAGGAGTAACTGGCCCCAAGTAAGCCCAACAAACAGCAGGACAAACAGCACTAAACCTTGAAGATTGAGAATCATTTTCTTTGACTCCATGCCCTGCCTTCTGGATGCACTGGGGCAGGAGTTGGGTACCTGAGGCCCCAGGCAGCCCTACCACCATGGCTTTTCTGAGTTTAGCTCACTCAGCAGCTCCCAGGGGTTGGAGTTGGGTGCCTGCAGTGCTCCCACACTGGCACTGAATGCTGGTAGTTCTATAGGTCTGGAGTCTTGGCGGACATCTTGCTGTCATGGCTCCACTAAGTACAGCTCTACTGGGGTCTCTCTGGGGTGGTTTCAACCCCATAGCTTTGCTAGGCATTGCCATGGCTCAGACGTTATGGTGGCCCTGCCTCTGTGGCAGTTCTCTGACTGGGCCTCAAGGCTCTTGGAGGCATTCTTTGAAATCTAGGTAGAGGTACTTACGTCTCTATAGCTTCTGTACTCTGCATGCTTGCAGAGTTAGCACTACATGGATGCTACCAAGGCCTACCTTTTGTGTCCTCTGGAGTGACAGCTGAAGCCACACTTGGGCTTTGCTTGAGCCACAGCTGGGGCAGCCAAGGGGTACTGCACCAGAATGTGGGGAGCAGAGACTTGAGATGGCTCTGGACAGTGAAACTCAAGGTCCCACAGGAGCCCAGGTCCTTCCTTTGAAACCATTCTGTTCTCAAGGCCCTGGAACTCTGGGCCTGTGATGGAAGTGGCAGTACTTATAATCTCTGAAATGACTTCAGGGTCATTCTTCCATTGTGTTGATGAATAGTATCTGTCTTTTTTCTGTCCATACTAATTCCTTATCAAACAGTAGCTTGGCCATGCCCTTGGTATTCTCTTCCAAACATACTTTGTTATTCCTCACAATCTGGCCAGGCTGAAAATTTTCTACATCTTTAAGTTCTGCTTTTTTTAAAAAATTGCAAATTCTGTCTTTAATTCATTTTCTTCTTGCATTTTACTCTAAGCAGTCAAGTGAAGCCAGATAACTCCTCCAATGCTTTGCTTGTAATTTTTTTCCACCAAATATCCTAGTTCTTTGCTCACAAGTTCTGCTTTCCACAAAGCATTAGGACATGGATACAATTCAACCCAGTTCTTTGCAACTTTATAACAGGGGTAGTCTTTCTTCCAAGAAAGGTTATTTCTGTTACACGTTTCTGTAAGACCTCATCATAATTGTCCTCCCTCGCTCCCTCCCTCCCTTCCTTCCTTCGTTCCTTCCTTTCTTTTTTGAGACTGAGTCTCACTCTATCACCCAGGCTGGAGTGCAGTGGTGCGATCTCTGCTCACTGCAACCTCCACCTCCCGGGTTCAAGTGATTCTCCTGCCTCAGCCTCCTGAGTAGCTGAGATTACATGCGCCCGCCACCACGCCCAGCTAATTTTTGTATTTTTAGTAGAGATGAGGTTTCACCACGTTGGCCAGGCTGGTCTTGAACTGACCTCAAGTGATCCACCCACCTTGGCCTCCCAAAGTGCTGGGATTATGGGCATGAGCCACTGCACCTGGCTTACTGTCCATATTTCTGTCAACATTCTTATCATGACCACTTAAGTAATCTCTAAGCAGATTTAGGCACTCCCTATAGCTCTTCTCTTCTTCTGAGCCCTCACCAGAATAGCTGTTTATGGTTCAGCCTCTACTCATTATCCAGTTCCAAAGATGCTGCCACTTTTTTAGATATTCATCATAATAACATAGCACTCACAGTACCAATTTTTGTCTTAGTCCATTTGTGTTGCCATAACAAAATACCACACACTGGGTGATTTATAAACAGATACACTTATTGCTCACAGTTATGGAGGCTGGGAAGTCCAAGATCAAGGTGCTGGTAGGTGCAGTGTCTGATGAGGGGCTGGTCTTTGCTTCCAAGATGGTGCCTTGAATACCGCGTCCTTGCATAGTGGAAAGGATGTGAAGGCAAAAGGGAGGGAGACAGCTTCCTTATGCCTCTTTTATGAGGCTATTCATCTCATTCATGAGATTTCAACATGTGAATTTTGGGGGAACACAAATATTCAGCTCATAGTATCCCCTAGATCTTACACAAAAGGTGACATACTACAGTCTTTTGGACCTTGCTTTTTTCACTTAACAATGTATCTTGGAAGTCTTTACATAACAGTGTATTGAGATCTTCTTCATTCTATGTTACACTACATAGTATTCTCTTATATGAATGTACTATTAATTATTTAACTTGTTCTCTATTGAAGGGCATCGGGGTTGTTCTAAGTTATTATTATACACAATGCTGGGGGGAAATCATGTACACACATCATTTAGTTAAGTACATATGCAAGTATATCTAGGACAAATTCCCAGAAATGAGATTGCTGGGTCAAAGGATAAATGCATTTGTTATTTTGATAATTCTTGCCAATTGTCCTCCATAGTAGTTGGGCAAATTTGCAATCCTTGTTGCATGGTATGTGTTTCCCCAAAACTTTTGCCAATACAGTACATTGTCAAAATTTTAGATTATTTTCTCAACTTGCTTAGGATGAGTAAAGTGAGCATCTTTCCATATGTTTAAGGGCCATTTATATTTTCTTTACTGTGAACTGTTAATGTCCTTTGCCGTTTTCAGCTGGATTATTGGTTGCTTTTACATTTAGATGCATATTATGGTATTTAATTATCTTAAGTATACAACTAGCAGATGTTCAATGCAAAAAAAAATTAGAAAATAAGAAATGCAAATAACCTTCGAAATATAAAATTACTCTGATAACTCTCCAAATGTGATATATGACTTTTAGGTGTATTTCTGTGTACATACACATTCATTTTTATAATATACACATTGTCAAGTAATCCCTTTTTTCACTTAATAAATCATGAACACCTTTTTTTTTTTTTTTTTTTTTTATGAGATGGAATATTGCTCTGTCACCCAGGCTGGAGTGCAGTGGCCTGAACTTGGCTCACTGCAACTTCTGCCTCTCGAGTTCAAGCGATTCTCCTGCCTCAGCCTCTGAGTAGTGGGGACTACAGGCATGTGCCACCATGCCCAGCTAATTTTTGTATTTTTAATAGAGATAGAGTTTTGCCAAATTGGCCAGGCCAGTCTCAAACTCCTGACCTCTGGTGATCTGCTTGCCTTGGCCTCCCAAAGTGCTGGGATTGCAGGTGAGAGCCACCGTGCCCAGCTGATCAACTCTCTTTAGCAACCTAAAATCTTCCTAGAGGCAGGGGATGCTTGGTGCTGGAAGGATGCAGCAAGTTCATGTCCACAGGAAATGGAATGCTTTATACACCGAGGAGACCAAGAACAAACACCAAGTTTGAAGTCATGTGAAAGGAAATTAAATCTTGAGACCCCAAACTCACTTAGCCAAAGGGAAAAGTCAAGCTGCGAACTGAGTCACGCAAAGCTGCCTTCCCCTTTTAGTTCCTAAATAAAATGGCTATGAGATGAAAAGCTACACACCTCCCTCATATTTTGCCCAAAAGGAAATTCCTAGTGATCTGTTAAAGTTCACCATGGCAACGTAAATCGATAACTTATCTTTACAGGTGCAGTCACCTTGGCCCACCAGACACAAATGCATATCTGATTGTTCCCCTTCCCCATTTGGTCTATTTTTATTTTATGTAAAATGCAGATTCTCTGCATTTTTCCTCCGCAACATTTGTTTATGTTATCTTATGTAAAAAATGCAGATTCACTGAGCCAAAGGCATGAATAACTATTTCTTCCTGCCCCCCGCTTACATGAAAATTTTGTACTTCTCTATTTCCTGCCCTTTCCCCTTTACATTTGGAGCCCTCAAAATCGTCTTCCGAGAAAGGCATAGACTTGTCTCTTGGGTGTGTCCTTAACTTTGGCAAATATGTCTCCTAAAATGATTGAGACTTGTCTCGTAATTTTTTTCTTGACTGACAGTCAGAAGCGGGAGCAATGATAGGATCTAAAAGGTGAGGCAAGAATTCAAAGATGAGATACTGGCAGGTACAGGTTAGACCAAGAAAGGGAGAGGAGAGATCCTGGGTTGGACAGTTGTCTCAGAATATGGGTTAATCAGTACTGACCTCAGTGTGGATTCTCACCTGTGTCAGGATAGACTAAGGGCTGAGGCAGGGGTCATATTAGCTTGGTCCCAATCAAGTATTCCAATTCTACCTTAAATGTTACAGGAAAGGGTCCTGATCCAGACCCCAGGAGAGGGTTCTTGGATTTCACGCAAGAAAGAATTCAGGGCCAGTCCGCAGTGCAAAGCAAAAGCAAATTATTAAGAAAGTAAAGTGGTGAAAGGACAGCTGCTCCATAGACAGAGTAGGATGTTCCTGAAAGTAAGAGGAGGAATGTGTCCACCCTAGGTACAATACTCTTATATATGGGGAGATGTGTTCTGCTACAAGGGTTTGTGATAAAGGCTTAATGTTCTTAATTACTATATTTTGCAAGAATCAATATTATTATCTTTAAAGCAAAATTAGGAATGTGTTTGTTCTCCAAATATTGGGATATCTGGACACTCCCAAGTCTGGGTCTGTTTTAGTAAATATTATTAATTTGTTCCCTTAACCATAAACATCTAGAGGCTAGGAATGTTTAATTTTCTGGGAATGCAACCCAGCAAGTCTCAGCCTTATTTTCCTAGCCCTCACTCAAAATGGAGTTGCTCTGGTTTGAAGTCCTCTGACATAAATATTTAAAGAGTAATTTCACCAGCACTGTATACCACTTCCTACAAAGAGAAGTTAAAGATTCATTAAGTTACATATATTATCTGGGGATTTGTGAAATATAATTTTCTTAGTCCATCTCTTGCTACCCTTCATCAGTAAAGACATAAAACATGATATCATTGAAATATACAAGATAATTTTTATTTTAATTTTGCCTCTTGCCTTGTGGTTCATATTAGGAAATTTATTATAGCCTTGGGCTTTTGCTCTTCTCCTATGGCTCTCGAGTGTTCCCCTCTCCACCACACACATTCCTTTTGTATTCCCAGTGGTTTTCAAAGTGCATTCAGTGCTATCACCTAATGGAAGTTCCTAGAAATGCTATCACCTGCATTTCTAGGAATTTCTTAGAAATGCAAATACTCAAGCCCCACCTCAAATCTTCTGAATAAGAAACTCTGTGGGTATCCGCAATCTGCGTTTTAACAAGCTTACCAGGTGATTGTGTGGTATAATCAGGTTTGATAATTGCTAGTTTAGAACAAGAGTCCTTCAATATTTTTGTGAGGAGAAACTACAATGAAATTTTAGATGGAAAGCAGAGAGGGGCTTTTCATTTAACATTCTGGCAATCCCATGAGACAAGTATGTTTATTCTCAACTTATAGCTGAGGAAACAGAGGCCAGCCCAGAATAGTAAAGCAATTGTCCCAGCTTTTAACAGCTGAAGCTGGGATTTCAACCAAAGTATGCTATCCTCAGAGGAGAGAGGGAAGGCAAGGAGGACAGAGAGAAATATGGATGTATGTGTTTCTGTGTGTGTGTCTGTGTGTGTATCAAGGAGAAAGGAAGAAGATCTGTGTACTAATATGGCTAAGGTCCTGGCCCCTACCTCACACCATATACAAAAATTAACTCAGATCGGGAGCAGTGGCTCATGCCTGTAATTACGGTGCTTTGGGAGGCCTAGTGGGAAGGATTGCTGAGGCCAGGAGTTCAAGACCAGGCTTTGCAACGTGGCAAGACCCTGTCTCTACAAAAAATAGAGAAAAAAGTAGCCATGCATGGTGATGCATACCTGTAGTCCCAGCTACTTGGGAGGCTGAGACAGGAGGATTGCTTGAGACCAGGAATTCAAGACTGCAGTGAACTATGATTATGCCACTGCACTCCAGCCTGGGCAACAGAGTAAGACCATCTGTTAAACAAATTTAATTCAGAATGAATCTAAAATTATAAAACTCTTGGAAGGAAATAAATATAGGGGTAAGTCTTTGTGACCTTGGATTAGGCAATGGTTTCTTGGATATGACACAAAAAACACAAGCAACAAAATAAAAAATAAATTGAATTTCATCAAAATTAAAAATGTTGTGCTGCAAACAATGTTATTAAGATAGTAAAATTAGCCCACAGAGTGGGGAAAATATTTTAAAACATATATCTGATATATGATATGATAAGGAACTTGTATCTGGAATACATGAAGAATTCCTACTATTCAACAATAAGAAACAAATAACTCATTTAAAAAATGGGGGCTGGGTTTGGTGGCTCATGCCTGTAATCCCAGCATTTTGGGAGGCTGAGGTGGGTGCATCACTTGAGGTCAGGAGTTTGAGACCAGCCTGGCCCACATTGCGAAACCCTGGCTCTATGAAAAATACAAAAATTAGCCAGGCGTGGTGGTGCACGCCTGTAATCCCAGCTTCTCAGGAGGGCTGAGGCCCAAGAATCACTTGAACCTGGGAGGTGCAGATTATAGTGAGCCAAGATTGCACCACTGCACTCCAGCCTGGGCAACATAGTGAGACCCTGTCTCAAAAAAAAGAAAAAAAGGCAAAAGATTTGAATAGACATTTCTTCAAAGAAGATATACAAATGGCTAATAAGCACTTAAAAAGATGCCCAACATCAATACTCAGTAGGAAAATGTATATGCAACCTACAATATAATATCACTTCACACCCAGTAGGGTGAATGAAATAAAAATGATGGATAATAATAAGTGTTGGTGAGGATAAGCAGAAATGAGAAGCCTCATACATTGCTGGTAAGAATGTAAAATGATACAGAACTTTGAAAAACAGTTTGGCAGTTTTTCAAAATGTTAAATATAGAGTTACTATTTGACCCAGCAATTCTACTCCTAGATATATACCCAAGAGAAGGGAAAACATTTTTGAAACTAAAAATAAAATCCTAAGCCCCTCACTGACTGAATGGACTCCCTTTTGGCCAATGGGACCCCAGAAAAACCCTAATAACTGAATTCCTGGCCATGATCGGAAGGGAGGCCAGACATAACTCATTTTATCCCCTCCCTCCACTTTTTTTTGGAGACAGGTCCTTGCTCTGTTGCCCAGCACATGGCTAACTGCAGCCTCAACCTCCTAGGCTCAAGCAATCCTCCCATTTCAGCCTCCTGAGTTGCTGGAACCACAAGTGTGTGCCATCATGCAAGGCTAATTTTTTAATTTTTAATTTTTATAGCTACTGGGGTCTCCTCTATTGCCCAGGCTGGTTTTGAACTCCTGAGCTCAAGCAGTCCTCCTGCCTTGCCACCACACTTGGCCTATCCCCTTTCTTGTGGAGTTTAGGCACAACAACAGACCACAGGGTCAGAACCTTAGCTGTATTAACACATAGACCTTTCTTTCTCCTTGATAGACACACACACACACACACACACACACACATTAATGTTAAAGAAATCCTAATTTGAACAAAACTGACTCTGTGGCAATAAGGAATGAAATTATAAATAAAACCTAGGGCCATGTGAGACAGGGATTAAGTCACGCCTGCAGGCCAATAATCTTGCTACGTAGCCTCCTTCTCTGAATTTAAAATATTCCTTTCTTTTGACTCCAAGTTTTACAGAGAGCCTTGCTCCTTTAACCAATTGAAAATTAAAGAATCTTGGAATACACTTATAACCTGTAAGCTCCCCCTCAAGATAGCCCATCTTTTTGAGCCAAACCCATGTATACCTTCCATGTGTTGATCTATGTCTTTGCCTGTAATTCCTGCCTCCCTACACTGTATTAAACCAAACTGTAATCTGATAGCTGCAGGTACACTTTCTCAGGACTTCTGGAGACTGTGTTTTCCCTGGCAAAAGTCACTCACATTGGCTCAAAATAAACCTCTTTAAAATATTTTGGAGTCTGGTTTTTCTGTTAACAATATTTCCAAACATAAACTTTTAATATGAGTGTTCATGGTACTGTGATTCAAAACAGCCAAGGTGGAAACAACCCAAATTCCCACCAGCTGATAAATGGGCCAAGAAATGTGGTATATCCATAAAATGGAATATTATATGGAAATAAAAAGCAATGAAACACTGATATGTGTTACAAAATGGATGAACCTTAAACAAAGTATGCTAAGTGAAAGAAGCCAGACAGCAAAGGCTGCATATTGTATGATTTCATTTACATGAAATGTCCAGAATAGGCAAATCCAAAGAGATAGAAAACAGATGATGGTTGCCAGAGGTTGAGGGGGAAGGGGGGAAAAGAGTAATTGCTAATGGGTATGGGCTTTCTTTTTGGGGTGATAAAAATGTTCTAAAATTAGATAGTGATAATGGTTGCATGATTTTGTGAAAATACTTAAGACCATTTAATTGTATACTTTTAAAGGGTGAATTTTATGGTGTGTTATATCTCAATAAATCTGTGACAAAAAATATAGTTGAGGTCTTGTGATGTAAAAGGGCAGAGCAGGAATAGTTCCTTTATCAGGCGTGCTCACCTTCCAAGAGAGATCCCTTTGGAATCACAAGGAAGAGGAGTAACTTAGAAAAACTTTGAGATATGTTACTAGATTCCATTATATTGCTTGGAGACCTCTGCCCTAAAATACTCGTGTCCTGAAGACTTTGCCAAATTAAATTCAGAAAATTAATTTAAACCTGAATTGGGAAAAATACTCAGGAGGAAAGGTATTCATGTCACTGAGCCCCTTTTGACATGATAGACAGAATGAGGAACTGATACAGATGGGATGAATAGGAAGAGATGCCATCAAACTAAGAATGACACGGTGGACTTTGGGGACTCGGGGGGAAAGGGTGGGAAGGGGCTGAGGGATAAAAGACTGCAAATTGGGTGTAGTGTATACTGCTTGGGAGATGGGTGCACTAAAGTCTCACAAATCACCACTAAAGAACATGCTCATGTAACCAAACACCACCTATTTCCCAATAACCAATGGAAATAAGAGATTTTTTTTTTTAAAAAGGAAGAGATGCTATCACAAAAAATTTGCAGATTTCATGATTGAGGGTATCTTTGCTCATTATTCCTATGAAAGACGTGAGCTTCTGCCTCTCAGTCCAAATGAAGATGGATGTGTGTATCTGCTGGAAGGTAACAGCATTCCAGCTGGCTGTTGAGCTTAAGGAATCTGGAATTCAGACTTAATCAACAGCAAATACAGTTATCCACGCTCTCTGTTGCTTGTCCAGGTCACCCTGAAGAGGCCACCAGCTGGTGTTTCAGGATTGAGCTGATAAGATATTGTTATCTGCCAGTCTTCATTTTTAAGCAAAAAAAAAAAAAAAAAAAAAAAAGGATTCAAATGAACATAGGGATTCTTGTTTTTGGCTCTCAGTGTGTGAAGGTGAAGAAACAGTTTAGAGTTTAAAGGCTAGAGGGTTAGAAAATGGAAGTGCTCACAGGACATCTGCTCCTCTACTAGGTGGAAGAAACGTGTCTAAGAAAGGTGTGTACCCCTTCCTCTCCTTTACGTCCCCAATATCTTGGGTTAGGTTCTCCCATGTCCAATCCTGTCTCTGAAATGTCCCTTGACAAGTTTATCGGGCTTCACTTTTTTGTTACTCTACTGTAAACATTACTGTTACCACCAGTTTTTTTTCCTTAAGATACAAACTTGAAGCTGTTTCTCCCTTGCCGATGAAAAATCTGTGGTTACTGTTTTGAATCACAGGATAAAGTACAAAGTCTTCACATAGGATTCAAGTTTCTCATCAAGCCACAATATACTTGTCCACTCTTGCTTTCCTGCCACACATCCTAAGTCCCTGCTACATTTAAAGAGTTTAGGGAGTATCTGTAGCTTACTTCCTCTACCCTCTGTATTCTTATTAATCTTTGAAGGCTCAGCTCAAATATATCTCTTCTAAGAAGCCTTTCTAATTCCTCCAAGCAGGATTAAATGCTCCTTGCAGGGGGTTCTGACAAGTCTACACTCCTTTTCCTGCACTGAATGCTTGGGAGGGCTGAGTCAGTTTTCCACTCTAGGCTGAATGCCTTGAGACAGACTTTTTTTTTTTTGAGATGGAGTTTCGCTCTTGTTGCCCAGGCTGGAGTTCAATGGTGCGATCTCGGCTCACCGCAACCTCCACTTCCTGGGTTCAAGCGATTCTCCTGCCTCAGCTTCCTGAGTAGCTGGGATTACAGGCAGGCACCACCATACCCGGCTAATTTTGTGTTTTTAGTAGAGATGGGGTTTCTCCGTGTTGGTCAGGCTCGTCTCGAACTCCCGACCTCAGGTGATCCACCCACCTCAGCCTCCCAAAGTGCTTGGATTACAGGTGTGAGCCACCGAGCCCGGTCCTGAGACAGACTCTTATTCAGCTAGGTATTCATGTCTAGGCCATTGCATGTTTCTTCTTTCTCTGTCTCTCCATACACACACACACACACACACACACACACACACACACACACACACACACACGGAGAGATCTACATCTGGATCTATATCTACCCACATTTTCTTTAATGAAGAGGGTAGACACTTGGGCCAGAAATGTAAAAAAAAAAAAAAAAAAAAAAAAAAAAGAAAGGCTAAAATGATGAAATTGAGACTGGGAAAAGGTTGTGCTCAAACTGGAATTTGTACCTTTTACTTTTCTCTCTGAAAATGAAGGGCACCAAAAACGAAGGTGCCAAGAATGAAGGCAGTGAGCAATGCCAGAATCGTCAGGGGCTTTTGTGATTTGAAAATGGCGCCCTTAGCAGGAAATTAAACTGAGCTCATTATCTCATTAACTTTTGACAGGAGAGGGAATATTCCACTGAAATTGTATTATCTTTCTGATATGACAAGTTGGTAACAACCTGGGATTTTGAAAGATGCTTTGTTTCCTTAGCAAGAAATTCCACCAATACAAATGAGTATCCATGGAGAGGAATTCCATTTTAGAAAGATCCTTAGAAAGGCAGGAACCATGCATGCCTAAATTGCTTTGTGTGCATGATGAATCCCAATGGTTGATAAAGGTATCCTTCCATTAAGATTAAATCTTACCACCAACATATTGGAGTGGTTAAAAACTGCTCTACAAGATAATTGTGCATGACCAACCTTTTTCCTTCTCCCAAGAGATCCTTTGAAATGCAGATAACAATCTCAGCATGCTTATTAGCTGGCACCATTTTTAATGTCCTTCAGCTTCTAAAGGGATATTACAAATTCTATGTTTGATCAAATGGTTTACATTATGGCCTTGTTTTTCAAAGATGGGAGGAGGTATATTGGAATTCTTAAAATTACCTGTTGATCAGACAGGCACTTACTTTATGAACTAGAAGGCATCTCTGTTTTTGGGGGAAATCATTTTATTTCTAAAGGTGGGAGGCAATGTGATACAGTGGGAAGAAAAATGGGTTTCAAGTCAGAGACATGGGTTTTCATTCTAGGTCTTCTGCAAGTTTGCTTAACTTTGATATCAATTCTTTTAACTAGGGCATATGCCATAAAAGGTTGGGCCAGGTGGGGTGAGGAGAAGGCTACCAAATGTGATCAAAATGGTAGAGCACTGGCTGGGCATGGTGTGTGGCTCACGCCTGTAATCCCAGCACTTTGGGAGGATGAGCTGGGTGGGTCATCTGAGGTCAGGAGTTCCAGACCAGACTGGCCAACATGGTGAAACCCCATCTCTACTAAAATACAAAAAAATTAGTGGGGCATGGTGGCGGGCATCTGTAATCCCAGCTACTTGGGAGGCTGAGGCAGGAGAATTGTTTGAACCCGGGAGGCGGAGGTTGGTTGCGGTGAGCCCAGATCATGCCACTGCACTCCAGCCTGGGCAACAAGAGCAAGACTCTGTCTCAAAAAAAAAAAAAAAAAAAAAAGTGGAGCACTTTCCTGGCCCACAAAGGTCTTTCTGTGTTAGTCTGGCAGGGGAGGTCCTATCATATGCTCAGCAAATATTATGAGGAATGATTTTATTTGATGCCTTTCAAATACTCTTCTCTTTATATTCTGTTAAAACTTTTGATTAATATTGAGAGGTAAAGAGTTCGATATTTTTAAATTCCTTAATGATTATCATCACAGTTTTGCAGGGTGAATACCAATAAATACCCCACTTTGGATGTGACAGAAAAAAGCTGAGAAGGCCCCCAGAGAGGTCAGTTTCTCAAATAGCGGGTGTCTACGTCTGTGTGAAGGCAAGGTGAGAGGGTGCTACCAGGCTGGCTCTCAATTCCCTTTAGGAAATTATTTTAAATCTGCTTTAGTTCACAAAGCAATGAGCGCTTATATTCGAGAAACTGAAATCATACTCTCTTTACTAAATACAGGTTTTTCTTTCTGTATTTTTTATAACAAGATCAGCACATAGCCAGCACAATAAAGAGGTCACAAATAAACAAGTTTAAAGAGTATAGAAAACTATAAATTCTCTCTAGGATCTCTACAAAAAGTTAAATATCTGCCGCTTGGAAATAAAGGACAACAGGGCTAACAAGATTTCTAGGAAGAACGATACATAGTTGTTCAGAGCTGTCACAGTCATGGGTGGGGAGAGCAACTGCTCAGCATCTGCAGTTAACTTTGTACTGAGATGAAAAGGTAGCAACATCTGAATGAATGTTACAGGTGGCTGAATTAATTACCTCCAAATCCCAACACCCCAAAACATCCGGTGCTGGGATTAGGGAATCAGAGCTAGTTTACTAGTGAATCCCAAACCTCAGACCTGATTTGGATTCAAATTGGAACTGTTGCAGATTGGTTAAGATGGGAAAAGGATTAGGGAAATGTGGGGGATGGATATGTTCTTTCTCCTCTGGGAACAATGACTATCTCTCTTTTATTTCTTTTCTCTTTGTTCTCTTTCTCTTTGTCTCTTCAATTTGGCGGTCCCCTTTTTCTTTTCTTCTTCCCTCAATTCATCTGTCTCCTTATTCCATGGGATGTCTGTTGCCCATCTTTCTATTTCTATTGGCCTCCTCTTCACCCATTGCTCTAGCTCAATTCTTTTTCTACTTCCCACTTTCTTTGATTTATGGGGTTTCTATTGCTTAAAGGCACAAATGTACTGCTCGATAAGTTTCTTTCCATTCCAGACACATTGGATTTAACTAAACAATACTGCCAAGACAAAGGTGAGAATATTAAAGGTGAAAATTAACAGCCACTAAAGAAGAATGTCAAACTCATGGTAGAAGAGACAATTTTCTTTAAAAGAATTTCTTTTGCCTTCATTTCCTGGTGATGAGAGAGAGAATGTTCAAAGGCCACATTAATGTAGCACAGATGAACCCACTACTGGCTGAGCACATCTCAGTGGCTGGTGGGGCTTTATTTTCGTGAGGACTAAACAACCCAACATCAAATCGAGAATCACTGGGAATCCTCAACTTCCACGGCGATGTTTCTCATGGGGAAAGATGAGATTTAAGGGGAAAGGAAATCAGGTGAATCTATTATATGTAGAGTTTTAGAATTAGGGATGAGATGGGGTTAAAGAGAAAAAAAATTTTGGATACAGCAGAGTATGGTGTTATTCCCAATTTATCTTTAGCTTGAGCCTCCCTGGGTACAGGTGTTAGATTAATAAATGATGGCATTTATAATGAACTGGATTTTGGAGTCAGACAGACCTAGGTTTGAATTTTCATTTGGCCACTTATAAACTGTTTGACTTTGGGAATATTAGTTAAATTTCCTAAGCTTTGGTCTACTTACCTAAAAAGGGAGATGATAAAACCTCGATGGATTGCAGAGAATACTAATGAGAGAATACACGTGAAGTGCCAGGAACACAGTATGTGTTCAGTAAATCATAGTGACTGTTATTACTGTTTCATGGAAAAAAGGCCCATGTAAATGTTTTGATCACACTAAAATACCTTGCCCCTGAAATAGTCACCTGAGCCTGCAAATTGTTTTAGAAAGAATGTTTTATATAAATACAGCCAGTCATGGTGGCTTACACCTGTAATCCCAGCACTTTGGGAGGCTGAGACGGGTGGATCACTTGAGGTCAGGAGTTTGAGACCAGACTGGCCAACATGGTGAAACCCCGTTTCTACTAAAAATACAAAAATTAGCTGGGCATTGTGGCAGGCACCTGTAATTCCAGCTACTCAGGGAGGCTGAGGTGAGAGGATTGCTTGAACTCAGGAGGTGGAGGTTTCAGTGAGCCAAGATTGTGCCACTGCACTCCAGCCTGGGAGACAGAGAAAGAATCCATCTCAAAAAAAAAATGTTTTATATAAATACAAATGAGGAATTATCTGGCAGGGTTTTATATTTTAATGGAACAGCTTAGAATGATGTCTTAGACCAGGGGTCAACACATTTTTCCTGAAAAGAGTCAGATACATATTTTTGGCTTTGTGGGCCATACAGTCTCCATTGCTGCTACTCAAATCTGCTATTGCATCATGGAAGCCCTTATAGATGGTATGTAAATGAATAAGTGTGGCTGTGTTCCAACAAAACTTTATTTATGGCTGCTAAAATTAGGATTCCACATACTTTTCCTGTATCACAAAATATTTTTCATTTGATTTTCTTTCTAACCATTTAAAAATGCAAACACCATTTTTAGCAAGTGGGCAGTGTAAAAACTGGCAGTTGGCTGGATTTGACCTGTGGGCTGTAGTTTGATGACCCCTGTCTTACACCTTCAAGATCCTAAGACATCAGTTTGCTTCCTTTTTCAGGTCACAGAGGAGGACTCAGAAGCACAGAGGCATTCTGTGACATGGCTGGAGTTATCTCTTAGCTCAATAGCAGAGCTGGGATTAGAACCTGAATCTTGTAGCAACTGGTCTAGTGACTTTTAGTGCTGATGTCTTTCTGCTGGCTTTAGTTTCTTCTTTGCCCTCAACCTTCCCTTAATCTTGATACTTTTCATGTTGTTTGCTTCTCTTTGAATACGTTCTCAGTCTTTTTGTGTGTCGATTTCTGCAGAGACCCCACTGCTTAGCAAAGAAGGAAAACTGAAATACCTCAGGGACTAAGAAGTTAATAAGCCTCAAACAAGGCCAGATGGAGGGTAGGAGATGTAGCAAATTGGAGAGCACATGCCACATCTAACAGAGAAAGATTCTGTTCAGCTCAGACCACTGTGGCCATCAGGAGTGAGTCCAGGGATCCCAGGCCTCCTGACTTTTTTTTTGAGATAGAGTCTTGCTCTGTCACCCAGGCTGGAGTGCAGTGGCACAGTCTTGCCTCACTGCAACCTCTGCTTCCTGGGTTCAAGCGATTCTCCTCCCTCAGCCTCCCGAGTAGCTGGGACTACAGCCGCCCACCACCACGCCTGACTAATTTTTGTATTTTTAGTAGAGATGAGGTTTCACCATGTTGACCAGGCTGGTCTCGAACTCCTGACCTCAAGTGATCCACCTGCCTTGGCCTCCCAAAGTGCTGGGATTATAGATGTGAGCTACTGTGCCCGGCCCCAGGCCTTTTTAAGGAGATACCAGAAATACAAATTTTTATGTGGAATTTTAAGATATTAGCAAAATTTTTAAAAAGCCTGTGGCGACCAAACAAAACATGTCTAAGGACTACATCCAGCCTGCGGGAGATCAGTTTATGATCTTTATCTTAGCCTGTCATTTCTTCACGGCACACATAGATGTGATTTATAAATATTTTGAAAAGATTTTCTTGTTTCACTTAGAAATGTATTTGATAAATAAAAATGTTTGCTCAAAAGGTGACAGCAATGACCACTGGTTTAGGACAAGTAGTTAGACTTTACCTTTTTACCTGGATGGTTTTGTATTTGAAAACAGCCTTGAGGGGCAACTCTGAAATTTTGGAGGGGGACTGAATAGAGATTTTCGAGTGCCTCTAGGATGGGCTATACATTCTCAAATTTTAAATATGTGGCTGTTTAATGCCTCCTGGAACCTTGTATTGCTTTTTTTTCTCCATCCAACAAAGAGCTAACAATCATGGCAGTTATTTTGTTTATTGAAAAGGGGTGTGTTTCCTCATTTCACTGATATCCAAAGCAATAGTTTTCTCCTAAGGTGCTGCCTCTCTAAGACAGTTTAGAACTGAAGGGTAGGAAACCATAGCTATAATTGGTGACAGTGGGGAGGAGAGAAGGGTTCCAGTGACAGTGACAAAGTATTTGGACAGAAACCAGCTAAATTAGAAGTTTCTAGGGTGGGACACTTAGAATAAGCCAGACTAGTTTCATGAGAATGAACTGGAAGCATGCTGATTTCTGGACTTCATCTCAATGGATCTGGAGTTGGATATGGGATTACGCTTTTTTTTTTTTTTTTTTTTTTTTTTTTTTTTGACAAGGATTCACTCTGTTGCCGATGCAGTGGTGTGATCATAACTCACTGCAGCCTCGAATTCATGGAACTCCTGGGTTCAAGCCATCCTTCTGCCTCAGCCTTCTGAGTAGCTGGGACCACAGGCATGTGCCAACATGCTAATTTTTTAATTTTGTAGAGATGGGGTCTCTTTATGTTGCTCAGGCTGGTCTCCAACTCTGGTGCTCAAGTAATCCTCCTGCTTTGGCCTCCCAAAGTGCTGGGATTATAGGTGTGAGCCATTGGGAAATATGCATTTTAACAATTTTATTTATTTTTTATTATTATAATTTTTTTGAGACAAGGTTTTACTCTTTTACCCAGGCTGCAATGCGGTGGCACCATCTTGGCTTACTGCAACTTCCACCTCCCGGGCTCAAGCCATCCTCCCACTTCAGCCTCCTGGGTAGCTAGACCTACAGGCATGGGCCACCATGCCTGGCTAATTGTTGTATTTTTTGTAAAGATGGGGTTTCACCATGTTGGCCAGGCTGGTCTTGAACTCCTGAGCTCAAGGCAATCCGTCTACCTCGGCCATCCAAAGTGCTGGGATTACAGGGCTGAGCCACCACACTTGGCTGGGAATATGCAATTTTAAAAGCCACACAGATGCTTCTGATGCTTGGTTCGGTTTGGGAAGCACTAGTCCACACCATTTCTTAGCTCACAGTTTTATCAAGACTCTTTTAGAATTCCCAGGGAGACCCCCTTTAGGGAGTGTTGAGCCCCAGCTAGGGGACCCTATAAAGGGTGCTCTATATTGGCATGGAAGCAATAGAAACTGCAAAAATTTAAAATGGAAATACAAGCAAAACTATAGTTTCTATAGATGGGGCAAAATCTCTATGAAGGAAGACACCAATGCCAGAGGATTCTTGGCCATTAACATGCAAGAGATTAACCTGTGGCACAGTATATTTAAACATGCACCTTCTTTTGCCCCATCAAAGATATCTTAGTCATATTTTCTTGGGCAGATCTTGAGTATCTGTACTTAGGTTAGGATTGGTAACCACTGTACTTGTGTATTTCTGGGGTTCTGTAAGGAGTAATTTTTTGTTTGTTTGTTTGTTTGAGACAGGATCTCACTCTGTCAGCCAGGCTGGTGTGCAGTGGCACGATCTCAGCTCACTGCAACCTTGACCTCCTGTGCTCAAACGGTCTTCCCACCTCAGCCTTCCTTGTAGCTGGGACTACAGGCACACACCACCAATCCCAGCTAACATATTTGTATTTTTTGTAGAGATAGGGTTTCACCATGTCGCGCAGGCTGGTCTTGAACTCCTGGACTCAAGCAATCCACCTACCTCGGCCTGTCAAAGTGCTGGGATTATATAAATGAGCCACTGTGCTTGGCCAGGAGTAATTCTTAAACTTTTTCCATTTCAGGTATACTTTGAGCACTGTCATATTTCTTACCCAGCCTTCCTGTTCTCATTGACCACTTTTCTTTAAAATTAAAATTAAAAAAAACATTTTAAATAAACGCAATGCTTACTTCCCCTAGTATAGAAACCACTGCTTCTACTCGATAGGAAGTATGGTAAATATGCCCCAAACATAGGTGTGATCAACTTTTTCCCTCCCAGCAGCATATGTTGCTTCTCACATTCAGAGGTGAAGTGTATTTCCCCTCTCCTTGAACCTGGGCTGGTTTGAAATGGGCTTTGACCCATAGCATGCTGTGGAGTGATGTGGTGCCAGGTCTGGCACCTCCCAACTCCATCTGCTTGGAAACCAGCCACTATATGCAATGTCTAGCTGTGTTGAGACCATCGGGCTGTGACCATAATGCCACCACATGGAGAGGTCATATAGAGGAAGAGAGACATCCAGTGGTAGGGGGAAATTTTGTCTTGAACTGTCTTATTAAGGATATTTTTATTCAAGGATGTTTGTATAGCAAACATCCTTGGAAGATAGAGATAGGGTCTCCTTCCTGAGCAGAGGGCAGATTTGTTTCCTGATCAGGGCAATAAAGAGAAAGTCTTCTCCTGGGAGGAAGGTTGGGCATCTTTGCTAGAAGCTCCCTTACAGGATTGGGAGCATCCTAAGCTCAGAGCTTCTCAGCAGTGGGACAATCCCACTGTGTGAGCAGCATCTGCTTGGGCCACTCTTTGTTGCTCTCATGAGACATAAGTGGGTGGGAGGTGGGGACGAGGGGCAAGGAGAACTCATGCAAACATACAACTCATGCTGACTCCTGTGCCATGAATAATAAAAATAATAAATAATAAATAAAAAATAAAGTTCTTTGTCCCTCACATAGGACTTCTCCCTGCATCCATGAATGTGACAGACTAATTTGTTAACTTGTAAGTAGGGTATTGTCTCAGATCCTTCACAGTTCTTGACATCTGGTCAGCTCCTAGCTGCTGACACTAGCCTAAGGGAGACAGCAGATATATGAGTGATGCAGCCATCTTGGCATTTCAGCCCCAGCAGATACTACATGAACCAGAACTGCCCAGCTAAGCCCAGTCCAGATTTCAAATTAATGAGAAATAATAACTTGTTTTAAGCTGTTTGATAATCATCTATCTAGTAAATCATTGAAATGGGGAGCAGAGCTGTTTTCTTCTCCTTCCAAGGGAAGCCCAAATAGCTCCCATAGTCCTTTCTGTTCATTACTCATAAATTCCTACATACCTGGCATCATACATTAACATCCAAATAGATCTGCCTGTATCCTAAATATAAAGATTTCAAAATTAAGCATTCAGGCTTCACAACTGCCAATGGCCTCCATTGCTGGCAGGACAACATTTAAGGTCCTCTCTGTCTGCCTCCATCCCCTCTACCTGATGTTATTATTCATAACTACTTCCCCATCAGAGGTTTTTGTTTGATCCTACCTTGTGCATGTTATTTTCTTTCTTGATTTGAAACCTTAACTACTACTGTTTCTTTGGACTGGAATGCCCTCCCTCTGTCACTACTAAATGACACCCACTCTTCCAGCTCACACCCTTTTCAGTACCTTTTCTGCATCTCTGTGGTGGTTATTATTAATATTGGATGGATTATTAATCACACAATGATTTGTATTGTATTCTAAATTAAAACTAGCTTTTAAAAATATACAAAAGCAAATGTATTCATTGTAAAACAAATTCAGAACTACAGCTCTTCAAATTAAAAAGAAAAAACTTTTTCTGTCTCCCATATCTAACCCCTGATCTCTTGCCCTTCTATTTTCTAACCTTTTCATACGCACATGAGCACATATGCACATAAATTCACAGGTGATCATTTTATTATTATATATGTACAAGTGAATGAAAAAGCATTAATACTTTTAAAAAGTATGTAATTTATTTTAGTTTTATGTGAAGTTACTGTATTACAGGTGTCATTGACAACATTCTCAGTGCTCAAATTACCTAACAAGAATGGATGTGGGTGATATCACTAAGTCTGAAGAACTGAAAATGGCTTTAACCAAAATAATTTCTTCACATCTGATGCACTGTGACTAAAAATTAAATAATGGCAATGTAGTAAATCTTTTGGGTCAAAGGTTATGCACATTTGGAAGGCTTTTGACAAATATTGTTAAATTACATTTTTAAAAAAAATCTTTTATTTTAGGTTCAGGGGTACATTTGCAGGTTTGTTATGTGGATAAACTGCATGTCACAGGGGTTTGGTGTACAGATTATTTTATCACCCAGGTAATAAGCATAGTATGCAATACATAGTTTTTCATCCTCTCTCTCCTCCCATCCTCCACCCTCAATTAGATGCTGTTGTCTGTTGTTCCCTTCTTTGTGTCCATGGGTTCTCAATGTTTAGCTCCCACCTGTAAGTGAGAACATGCAGCATTTGGTTTTCTGTTCTTGCATTTGTTTACATAGGAAAATGGCTTCCAGCTCCATCCATTTTACTGCAAAGGACATGATCTCATTCTTTTTTTATGGCTGCATAGCATTCCATGGTATGTATGTACCACATTTTCTTTATCCAGTCTACCATTGATGGGCATTTAGGTTGATTCCATGTCTTTGCTATTGGAATAGTGCTGCTATTTACATACATGTGCATGTGTTTTTTATATTCCTTTGGGTATATACTCAATAATGGGATTGCTGGGTCAAATGGTAATTCTGTTTTAAGTTCTTTGAGAAATCACCACACTGCTTTCCACAATGGTGGAACTAATTTACATTCCTGCCAGCAGTGTATAAACATTCCCTTTTCTCTGCAGCCTTGCAGCACCTGTTATTTAACTTTTTAATAATAGCCATTCTGACTGGTGTGAGATGGTATCTTATTACAGTTTTTTGATTTGCATTTCTCTGATGATTAGTGATATTGAGCATTTTTTCATATGCTTGCTAGCTGCATGTATGTTTTCTTTTGAAAAGTGTCTGTTCATGTCCTTTGCCTAGTTTTTAATGGAATTTTTTGTTTTTTGTTTGTTAATTTGTTTAAGTTTCTTATAGATTCTGGATTTCAGACCTTTGTCAGATGAAATTGCAAAATTTACACCTGTTTATTTTTGTTTCTGCAGTGTAAGAGAGGGTGCATTTTCCCCCACCCTGCCCAGATTGGATATGTTTCGTTTTTGGCAACTCCAAAACTCCTTTATACCACTTCTTAGTTATTATCCTAGTGCTTTATGGTGGACAAAAGGCCTTCACAAACATCATCGTCTTTGAGCTACACAACAGTACCAAGCGTAGAAATGTCAGACAGTTTTCTTCCCACCTTACAAAAGAGCAAATCAAAACTCAGAGAAATCAAATAGCTAACAGAGCTTGCGTGGTTAGTAAGAGAGGCCAGATAAGAACTCAGGTCTTCTGTGTCTTTGCCAGCATTCTTGGGCTCTCCTTCGAACATTTCCCTTGGAGAGAGAACTGTGTGGGAGCCAGGGCGTCCCTGTTATGAGAGACGATGTGGAGCTGGGGATCTCAGCCTGGCTTAGTAGGTAGCTGCTGGCCTTTCTGATGGGAACACAGCTTATGTTCTAGGGAACTTCCTTATCTGGAATGCCCATGAGCCCACTAATTTTTCTCTGGCTTGTAAAATCAACAGATTTTGATTTGCTCCTCTTAATGAAGAGTAATATTAAGGACACTTAGAGGAAAATGAGAAAGAGCAGTCAGTTTCTTTGTTAATCACAGTGGATGCTACCGCAAGGTTGCGGGGGAAGTTAGAGAGGGCACAACTGAGAGCAAGAGAGGCTTGGTGTTGTGTGCATCTCAGCCACTGCCTACTTATCCCCTAAGCTGCCAGCCAGCCTCAGCAGAGCGATGGTGAGGGCCCTGCCCCTCTGGCATGCCAGCAAACCTTGCTAATGTAATGGAAATTATAATTATTCCCAGTTCTGAATATTTTACTTCTTCTGGACTGCAGGGGTATTAAAATTGATTAAACACATATGCTTCTGATAGATAGCTTCTACAGTCACATATGGAGTGATCTGTCTTTTTTGTCCTCAGGAAGAGAGGGAGACAAGACCACAAAGGAGGCAAGGGCTGAGGTGGGGTTAAAAAATAGGAAATGAGTGAGTCCAAATTCCTTGTTACAGTCAAGACAAGGGCGAAAACCTAAAGACTTTAAAAAAAATCCCCTACATTTCTATACAGAAAAAAAAGCTAAAGATGCTTATTAGTGTTAAAATTCAATTTTAATAATTGCAATCTCCTCCTTTCAAAAATATATATTTGACAAAGATGAATATGTTATGCTCATTAGTCTAAGATTTGCCATTTTGGTACAAATAGATGTATATATGTCATGAATTATGGGTTGGAAAAACTAGTACATTTTACAGTGTGAGAGAAATGACTCACATGTCCTCAGGATTCAATTATTTTTTAAGAATTTATTTCTTAAAATGGCTGTACCATTCTGCAACATTTCTCAAAGCCAATAAGTGATGTTTGTCTCATTTGGAATTATATGTTTAATTATTCACAGCTTGACTTTCTACACCATTGGCAAGAAGAAATGTTAAGAGGCTATTATAAACTTTGCTTTGGAATAGTTGATGCTGGATCTTGAAAAAAGAGCTTTTTAATAATCCACTTCTTATTCCTCAGTCTCAACAAATCTCTTCCAGCATTGAAGCAGAGAGCAGCACTAGTCTATAGCTTCCCTGACATACATGGGAATGGAGGCTCCAAGTGCAGGCTGATGGGATATGCATTTGGGTAATAGTTGGCCTGGTTATTCTCTGGGACTATAGAGTTATTTTCTTAGGTACATGGTGCTATGTGCAGAATAAGGAAAGTCCCTTTCCACTCTATGTATTAGAATATATGTATTTCATCTGTGAGAAGGGAATTCACATAACTGGGTACACAAAATTTTTTTTAATCTTTAAGATCTTTTAAATATTACATTTTTAAATATTTTAACTTTAAAAAATGCCAATTTTTGCCAATATCAACATTCCTATTTTTTAGCTCTTGAAAAACTATTTTTGGCAGGGCACGGTGGCTCATGCTTGTAATCCCAGCACTTTGGGAGGTCGAGGTGGGCAGGTCACTAGGTCAGGAGTTCCAGACCAGCCTGACCAACAAGGTGAAACCCCGTCTCTACTAAAAATACAAAAATTAACTGGGCGTGGTGGTGCATGCCTGTAATCCCAGCTACTCAGGAGGCTGAGGCAGGAGAATTGCTTGAACTGGGAGGCGGAGGTTGCAGTGAGCCGAGATCCTGCCACTGCGTTCCAGCCTGGGTGACAGGGTGAGACTCCATCTCAAAAAAAAAAAAAAAAAAAAAAGAAAAGAAAAGAAAAAAAGAAAAACTATTTTTGTTGTTTTGTTCTAATTCAGAAAAGGAAAGAAGTTAAGATCACCCCAATTCTATCATTCAGAAATAACCAATGTTAACGAAATGGGAAAAGTTCCCTTGTCCTCTTCGCAGGGCATGTGATGGGAGTGTGGCTTGTTTCTTCAGTGCCCTGCTGCTCAAACCTCTAGGGGAGCATAGAGACAGGCAGGCTGTGGGCCTCTGACCCCACGGCAGTGTCTAGGGGTGAATGCCTATAGCTGAAGCCTCAGTGGGCATGTTTAATGGGGTGCTCTTTTAGTTTAGTCATCCATAGGCAGCTTCTGTTAGTCACCTCAATCAGACCCCTGCCTTATCGCAAGGACAGAGGACTTTCTGTATCCCGGGGTTCTTGCCTTGGTGTACTGGAAGAATCAGATCACACGTGGGCTTGGAGAATGAGTGCAAGATTTTATTGAGTGGAAGTAGCTCTCAGCAGATGGGGGAGCCAGAAGGGGGATGGTTTTCCCTTGGAGTCAGGCTGCTCAGCCCGTGTGTTCCTCCGGTGATGTGCTCCTCTAGATGTCCAGCCACTTTGGTGTCTGCCTGCTAGGGTCTCAGGTTTTTATAGGCATAGGATGGGGGTGTGGCAGGCCAGGGTGGTCTTGGGAAATGCAACATTTGGGCAGAAAAAACAAAAATGCCTGTCCTCACTGAGGTCTGTGGGCACAGGCCCCGGAGGTGGAGCCCTTCCATATCATTAAAGGGACTATGCCTTTTCCTTCCCAGCACTCCCCTTTCCCCCTTCTGCATCACTTAAAGGGATCATGCCCTTCTGTATCATTAATATTTGAATGGATTTACTTCTTCTCAGACATAACTTTTGGACAGAGTTGCAATCATAGGAATTTATCCTAATTTTTTAAGATAGGCATTTGCCATATCATAAAATGATTTTCAAATTTAATTGTAATAGTTTCACACACAAATTCGTTTTAAAAATAATATTCATTTTATTGATTACAAAAGTAGCAAATATTTTTATGAGAAAATTTGAAAGATGTAAACAAACATCAGAACATAAGAGCCCATCAAGTGATAAACAATTGCTAATATTTTTGGTATATTTCTCTCCCTCTCTTTCTCTGCTTTCAATCTCACCTTCAATCTTCATCTCTCTCTCCCTCTATACACACATACATTTTACATACACAAAGAAATACACACAATAACGACCTGTATGTATGGATGTGCTAAAATTTGACGTTTGGATTGAATACTTTTTAACTTTTTAGAAACTTACCTTGACATTTCTATGTTGGCTTTAAAAATCTTTGAAAACCTTAATTTCATGGCTGCATAATATTTCATTGAATGGATGTACTATAATTTACTTACTTAATGGCATTGCTATTTAGGCTGGTTGCAACTTTTCATTATTGCATATATTGAAGCAAACTGCATTCATATGTAAAAATCTGTGAGCCCGTTATTCCTACCTTACCAAGGGCAGTTTCTTAGCAGGGGTATAGTAGGGCAAAGGAAACCTTCCTGAGGCCCCTGGCATGCACGGCACCTGACTTTGCAGGAAGCTTTTCTTGCCTTACATATCTTGCTAGAGGACATGAGAGGGCTTGTTGCACTGCTCTTAGCCCCATGATCTCTCCTCTGCACCTCAAGACTCCTCCTCCAGGGAGCAGTGCAAAGATCAGCCGTTATTCCCATTTTTAATAGATGAAGAAACAGCGGTTCACGGGACCTCTTCAGACCCACGTGGACAAACAAGGCATTAAGAAGGATAGTTAACAGAAGGGACAACTTTAAATATTCTCACCACAAAGAACTGATTAAGGTTTGAGGTGATGTAATTACCCTGATTTGATCATTATACAATGTCTAGATGTATAGGATCACATTCTAGGCCATGAATAAGAACAATGACTACGTGTCAATTAAAAGGGAAAGAAAACTTAAAAGAGGAGTAGCTAAGTGTCCTGAATCTTAGCTCAGTGCTAGATCTTTAAAACAAAGTCACCCAAAATAAACACAGTTTTTGATGCCAAGAGGCAGTGAAACTGATAAAAAGCAACAAAAGATATACAAATTGGCCAGGCACAGTGGCTCATGTCTGTAATCTCGGCACTTTGGGAGGCTGAGCAGGGTGGACCACCTGAGGCCAGCCTGACCAAAATGGTGAAACCCCGTCTCTACTAAAAATACAAAAAATTAGCCAGGTGTAGTGGTGGGCACCTGTAATCCCAGCTACTCGGGAAGCTGAGGCATGAGAATCCCTTGAACCTGGGAGGCAGACATTGCAGTGAGCCGAGGTCGCGCCACTGCACTCCAGCCTGGGCAACAAGAGTGCAACTCTGTCTCAAAAAAAACCCACAAAATCAAAAAACGAAGATATACAAATCAACAGGTCTTCTGGCACTTTTGCCAGCCAGTTGGAGACTCGAAAGGGAGGGACAAAAATAGCTGTTGCTGTAGAATGCAATTGCCTTGGTCTGTTTAGGGAGAAAAGTGTGAGAGCTCTAATTTGTGGAAGTCACAAACTGAAGTGCTTTGAAATGTACTTAAAAATAAAAGAAAGTGCTGAGATAGCTTTGTTCCCCAATAAACACAATACACATTTTGGATAGTTATAGTTTTTAATCACATGTTTAGGGAATCCATGTGGTTATTCTCTTGGTGGTGGTTGTGTTTTTTTCTTCCTTTTTTTTTTTGAAAGAGCTAGACAAAAGTTCCTTAGATGAATGCTCCTGACCTAGATGAAACTAACAAAAGCAAAACTCAAGCTGTTAACTCTTTGATGGCTCATTGTATTTGGAAGGAAGTCTTATAATCTCTATAACTGGACGCTGATCACTAAGTTTAGCACAGACACTGGTGTATTCTCTTCTGCAGCTGTGTTCTGATCCTGCTGTTCACATCTGGATCAATTTCCTGAGTCCTGGCAGTCTGAGCTGGTGTTTGACTGAGGGATATTTACTCCCACACAGCTGTTAAGCAGTAGGAGCAGAAAATCAGCTCGGATACAATTAATACCATGTTGTAATAAGGAGACATCACCAAGGGAAACAGTTGCTGAACTGGTTATGATGATGCCAAGGAGGGTAACTATAATGATAATGGTGATTAATATAGCCATTACTGGGGACAGATTCATATAGCAGCACATTTTTATCCTGTCTTTGTTTATGCTATTGCAATCGTTCATGCTCCAGTTACCCACATAGATCAGGTTTACACAATTGCAGATAAACTTTATTTTGCTCTGAATCCTCTATATAATGAATAATAACACCTTTGATACAGTTCAGGTAAAGTTGGGGTGACACCCAAATGCCAGTCTGTTTTTTTTTCCTATTAGAGATGACCTCTTCTGAAATTGCCGGAGTTCTCATAAACCAAATCACTTAGCAGGAATGCTCAGACTGTTGAAATTGAGCTGGAGAGGGACTGACAAGGCTCTGAATGCCCAGTGGTCCTCCTCGTCTTGGGATAGCACTATTATAACTCATTAACTGACCACTGTATTTCCATTGCCTATGTGAGTTTCTCCATGAGGCTCCTGTTGCATTGCAGAGGACAGTTCTCCTGGGCGTGGGCCTGTTTGGAGTTGTAGACCCTTTAGCCACCTTGGGTTCTACACACCTTTGTCCCCCAGGCAACGTGACCACCCAAAATGTATCTGCACTTTTCCAGATTGCTTTCACCTCGTAGAAATCCATTGCCTTAGGCAATGGGTGCACCCAATTTTGTTAAGCTTAATTGACTTTCAAGGATGGAAAGAGTAGTTGAGACCTGTGAATTCAACTCTCCTTATATCACAGATGAAATGCAGGGGTTTATGACTCTCCCTTAAAACTGATGCCTAAAATTCCACCACTGGAGACAAAGTTATGTAGGGGAACATAAAAACACCCACTCTGGCATCTTATTACCTGGGATCAAATCCTGATTTTGCCACTGGTTAGCTGGATGACTGTGGACAAATGACTGAACCTTACGTGCTGTCATCGTTACAATGGGGACAAAATAGTACCTACCTTCTGGGATTGTTTTGATGATTAGTAAAGTGATACATGAAAGGGACTGACACAAGATGACCTCTCCATACACCTTAGCTTTGTGTCTTTGTGTGTGTGTGTGTGTTTGTGTGTGCACATACATGCAGTCAACATTTACTAAGAGCTGGACTTGAGTTATGTAGTGAAGATGACAGCCAGGGCTTGCCAGCTTTTGTGAGTTAGAGCTGTGACCCAGGGGAGTTCCTGGCTGGGAGAGAACAGCAGGGAGACAGAACTATGAGTTCTAAGGATGCCTCCAATGTTAGCTAGAGTATCATGCTCACTGTTGCTGACTTGGAGGAGTCTCTTTTAGATTGCATATGCCCCGAAAGGAGACTCACATCTTGCTAATGTCTTCCCTGAGTAGCATAGCTAGTTAGATCTAGTAGTTTTGTGTCTCGGAAATCTCCTAGGCTAGTGGTTCTCAAACTGGCCTGTAAAGAGACTCTTACAAACACAGATCTCTCGTACCCATCCTCTTAGATGCCAGCGGTCTAGGTGAGTCCAGCATTCTGTGTTTGAAAGCAACTTCCCCAGGTGATTCTGCAGTAGGTGGTTAGAAGTCCAGTCTGATAAATGTTGACCAAGAAAAAGTTTTCACTTTTAAAGATGAGAGGGCATGAGGCCCACTGCCACTGAGCATCTTGGTGGCAGTGTGGGAGTGGAAGCTGGCTAGCCTGATACGTGTTTACAGAGCTCCCTCCAACAGCATGAATTAGGGTAAAGGAGGCCTCAGGAAAGCAAATGTCCCTGAACTCAGCATCATGCATCATGACTTCTTCTTCCTTGTTTATTTATTTATTTATTTTTTTGAAACAGGGTCTTGTTCTGTTGCCTAGGTTGGAGCGCAGTGGTGCTATCATAGCCTGCTATAACCTGGAACTCCTGGGCTCAAGCAATCCTCCCACTGCAGCCTCCTGAGTAGCTAAGACTACAGGCCTGTGCCACCTGTGCGCTGGCTAATTTTTAAATTTTTATTTTGTAGAGATGGAGGTCTTGCTATATTGCCCAGGCTGTTCTCCAACTCCTGGCCTTAAGCAGTCCTCCTGCCTTGGCCTCTCAAAGTGCTGGGATTACAGCTGCGAGCCACAGCTCCCAGCCTTGACTTCTTTATTTCTCTAGTTCTCTGCCCTCATGATCTTTTAGCATCTTTGTTTAAGCTTCAAACTATCTAATTTGACCATCAGAGGTAAATCCTGGAGGATCATTTTGTGAGCTGATTTTTAAAAGGATCTTGAGACATTTGCTTTAATGGGTGGTGGCATTTCTGCCCACCTGGAGAGAATCAGAGAAGGCTGGAAGGAGAGAGGATGAGAAGACCTTGGGTACTGTGCTGTCCTGCTGCGGGAACTGTGGAGCCTCTCCCTTTGCCACCTGCTGGTCTCCTGTTCTGGGTACGGGGGTGTCTTCAGGGCAACCAGAGGAAGGCTCTGGCTCTCAGGATCATGTATGTCATCACGGCACCACATGTGCTTTTATATTATTTTTAAATGAACTTAACAGCAAGAAGATAGACCTCACTCCCTAACCACCTGCCAGCAAACCCACTCTGACACTGCTTGCACCTGTCAGTCAATATTTGCAGGCTGGGCAACTTCTTGTCTCTTGGCATTCTCTGCAGAAACAGCCTGATTCCAGCCTCCCTCTTCAATAAAATAAGTTAATGCTAGTAACATTATCTCCCATTTCTTACACTATGTCAGACATGATGCCCAAAGCCCTTATATGTCATTTCCCATTTAATCCAATTGAAAACTCTATAAGCATTGCTGTTACCATTTTAGGAATGTAATACTGAGGCTTAGTGATGATAAAAAACATTTGTCCAAGGTTGCACTGCTAATAAGCAGTGCAGGCAGAGCCTAAGTTAAGAAGGCTCCTTGACCCCTCCAGGCCCATATTCTTTTTTTTTTTTTTTAACTTTAATTTTAAGTTCAGGGGTACATGTGCAGGTTTGTGACATAGGTAAACATATGTTATAGGAGTTCGTTGTACAGATTATTTCATCACCCAAGTATTAAGCCTAGTACCTATTAGTAATTTTTTCCAGGCCCATATTCGCAACCATTATATTCTAGTGCCTCTTGTAAAAACTTAGTCTGCCCTTTGAAAGCTGAACTGTCCACCCCTAGGGCCAAGGACACGCATGTCACATATGGGGTGGGAGACAGAAAAGATGGCTTTTAGTGTTGTGGTTCATGGCTATTCCTCCTATTAGTGACATTTCTTACCCACTCAGAAACTGCAGCTGGTTTCAGGGGCCCTTTTGTTAGAAGTAGAGACAGTCAGGGAGAGAAAGAAACAGAGCTGGCCTTGTAGAGTAGTGGAGGATCTGGGAAGGTCGAGAGAAAGACATTTGTCTGGACCTAATTGACAAGAGGATGGAAATTCCCATTTCCCAATGTATTTCACTTTAACCCTTAGATAAAAGGGCTCAGGGAGCACTGGAATGTGGGGAAAGATGGAAGCTGGGGGGAGTAAGATTTGAGCTTTGGAAAGATAGACATTTATTGGTGCTTAAACATGTCTTTTGGTGAAAACCAGCTCCCAAATACAGAGCAGGCCGCAGACACAAACCCTTCCCTCCAGTGCAGTGATTCATGCCTCCTGAGGTTCCATCCCACTGTTGTCTCACTCATCGGAGGTCCCTGTTTCTTGAAAGGTTGGATCTGGCTCTACCCTGTGATAAATGTCCATCATGCTGAACCATCTGTCTAGCTTTGGCATCAATTCACCTGGTGGGTGACTGCTTTCCAATCCTACATATTTCCTCTCACCAGTGCCAGTTCACCAGCCACCATGCATTCCATGGTCCACTCGGTGAAGGGAGGAGAGGAAGGCGGATTCTAAAGTGGCTGAATAGCAAGACTCCCAGAGGGATCTGCTGCTCCTTCCTCCTCCATAGCACTTACTAGTCCGAACTATTTTTTTTTTTTTTTTTGAGACAGCGTCTGGCTCTGTCGCCCAGGCTGGAGTGCAGTGGTGCGATCTCGGCTCACTGCAAGCTCCGCCTCCTGGGTTCACGCCATTCTCCTGCCTCAGCCTCTCAAGTAGCTGGGACTACAGGAGCCCGCCACCGCTCCCGGCTAATTTGTTGTATTTTTAGTAGAGACGGGGTTTCACTGTGTTAGCCAGGATGGTCTCGATCTCCTGACCTCATAATCCACCCGCCTCGGCCTCCCAAAGTGCTGGGATTACAGGCGTGAGCCACCACGCCCGGCTAGTCCGAACTATTATACATTTACTTTTTTATTGTCTGTGTCCTCACTAGATTGTAAGCATAATAAGAACAGGGATTGTCAGCAAACAAAAACATAAAGTGGGGAAAGGACACTTTATTTAACAAACGGCGCTGGGGTAATTGGCAAGCCACATGTAGAAGAATGAAACTGGATCATTATCTCTCATCTTATACAAAAATCAACTCAAGATGGATCAAGGACTTAAATCTAAGACCTGAAACCATAATAATTCTAGAAGATAACATCAGAAAACCTCTTCTGGACATTGGCTTAGGCAAAGACTTCATGATGAAGAACCCAAAAGCAAAAAAAACCCCAAAAAACAAAGATAAATAGATGGTACTTAATTAAGCTAAAAAGCTTCTGCACAGCAAAACAAATAATCAGCAGAGTGAACAGACAACCCACAGAGTGGGAGAAGATCTTCATCATCTGTACATCCAACAAAGGACTCATATCTAGAATATACAAGGAACTCAAACAAAATCAGCAAGAAAAAAACAAACAATCCCATCAAAAAGTGGAGTAAGGACATGAATAGACCATTCTCATATGAAGATATACAAATGGCCAACAAACATATGAAAAAATGCTCAAGATCACTAATGATCAGGGAAATGCACATCAAAACCACAATGTGATACCACCTTACTCTTGCAAGAATGGCCATAATCAATAATAGATGGTGGCACGGATATGGTGAAAAGAGAACACTTTTACACTGCTAGTGGGATTGTAAACTAGTACAACCACTATGGAAAACAGTGTGGAGATTCCTTATAGAACTAAAAGTAGAACTACCATTTGATCCAGCAATCTCACTACTGGATATGTACCCAGAGGAAAAGAAGTCATTATACAAAAAAGATACTTGCACATGCATGTTTATTGCAGCACAATTCACAATAGCAAATCTATGGAACCAGCCCCAGCCCAAACGCCCATCAATTAACGAGTGGATAAAAAATTGTGATATATATATATGTGTGTGTGTGTGTGTGTGTGTGTATATGTATATACAGGGCTCGGCGCACACACATATATACATATATATACACACACACACATCATGGAATACTACTCAGCCATAAAAAGGAACAAAATAATGGCATTCACAGCAACCTGGGTGGAATTGGAGACCATTGTTTTAAGTGAAGTAACTCAGGAATGGAAAACCAAACATCGTATGTTCTCACTCATAAGTAGGAACTAAACTATGAGGATGCAAAGGCATAAGAATGATACAATAGACTTTGAAGACTTGGGGGAAAGAGCGGGAGGGGAGTGGGGGATAAAAGACTATACATAGGGTACAGTGTACACTGCTTGGGTGATGGGTGTACCAAAATCTCAGAAATCACCACTAAAGAACTTATTCATGTTACCAAACAGCACCTGTTTCCCAGAAACCTATTGAAATAAAATAAAATAAAAAAAACTGGGAAAAAAACAAGAACAGGGATTGTCTGTTGCTTTTATATCACCAGTATCTAGAATAGTGCATGGGACATAGTAGGTGCTCAATAATATGTGTTGAATAAATGAATGAATGCACGAGGTACCCTAACCAAATATTCTTTTTTATTTTTTTATTTTTTATTTTTTTTTGAGACAGAGTTTCACTGTGTCACCCAGGCTGGAATGCAGTGGCACAATCTTGGCTCACTGCAAGCTCCACCTCCCAGGTTCACGCCATTCTCTTGCCTCAGCCTCCCGAGTAGCTGGGACTACAGGCGCCCGCCACCACGCCCAGCTAATTTTTTTTTTGTATTTTTAGTAGAGATGGGGTTTCACCGTGTTAGCCAGGATGGTCTCGATCTCCTGACCTCATGATCCGCCCGCCTCGGCCTCCCAAAGTGCTGGGATTACAGGCGTGAGCCACCTTGCCCGGCCACCCAATATGATCTTGAGGAGACTAGTTGTGACTAGATGATTTAGCGATTGCTAAACATCCCCACTGTTCTCCCTATATTAGCACTTATACATCTCACAATCCCTTTCTGATGGAAACTTGCAAAAATAAATGGCTGCAATTTCTTTCCCTCCCTGTATTTATATTCATGCCTTTACAATGAGACATTGTAGCTTCTTCTTCCTTCTCCTTCTTCTTCTTTATAAAGACAGAGTCTTGCTCTGTCACCCAGGCTGGAGTGCATTGGCACAGCCATAGCTCCCTGCAGCATTTACCACCTGGGCTCAAGTGATCCTCCCACCTCAGCCTTTCAAGTAGCTGGGACTAAAGGTGTGTGCCACTGCGCCTGACTAATTTTTAAACTGTTGTTGAGATGGGGTCTTTCTATATTGCCTAGGTTGGTCTTAAACTCCTAGTCTCAAGGGATCCTCTTGTCTTGGCCTCCCAAAATGCTGGGATTACAAGCATGAGCCACTGCATCTGGCCAAGTTCTTCTTTTTTTTTTTTTTTTTTTTTTTTTTTAAATTAGTCTTTCTCAACTTTTGAGCTAGACTTGTGATTTGTTTTGCCTAATGGACACTAACAGACTCACAGACTTGAAAAGTGCTTGCATGCACAGTGAAATCCTAGGTCCTCATGCGACCAAGACATGCAAGCCTATAGCATAATAAGAGGCAAGTGGCTCAGTTCCTCTAGTGGCCCAGCTGGCAATGAACTAATACCCAGAAGCTGAGCCACTATCTTCAGACACATATGTGAGGCCAGCTGAGATCAGTTGAGCCCATTCCAGAATTGCCCAAAGCAGAATCATGACCTAAATGGCTGTTGTTTTAAGCCACTAAGTTTAGAGTGGTTTCTTTCATGGCAAAAGCTAACTCATATACCTGTATATGTGAAAAAGGAGAAGGCAGGAGTTAAAGAGTGAGGAAAAAGGATTTTAGTTGGCTTTAGTGGATATTGGTATAAGATTTCATAGTTCCAATAGCTAGGTCAAGCCCAAGGGGTAATGTTATCACTGCTGGGCCATGGAGCAGATGTACTTGGATTTAATGAGACTTTTTCAATGCAGAGAATGACAGTTAGTATTAATTCACATCATAGCCTTTTTCTTTCGGACATAGGAAGTCACGTTTGTGAAGCAGGTATGTCTTTATGGCTTCAGGACCTAACCATGGTGGTTCTTATCAGCAAGAGAATGATTCTGTTTTTTTCTAGTAAGTTAGGAATAAAGATTATAGAGGCCTATTTTTTTTTTTAATAGAAATTAGAGTAGAGAATAAGGGGCATCAGCTATTGGCCACTATTTGCCCTGGAGTAAATCACACGGGGGGTAGTAATTTCATCTCAAAGGAAAGGAGGAGCCGGGGAGAAGAGTCATTGAACATGAAAGGCTGGTGCAGCATTCTGTTGTGGGGGTTATTTGGGAAAGGCGCTCCAGCAATGTAGGAAGCATAATCTCATCTCACTGCCATTTATTGACTTTGTGACCTGGAATGAGGTTTTTCTTATCTAGAAAGTTTAGACTTTTATCAAAAAAAATGTGACTATCTGGCTCTCTGCCAGAATCTCTGCTTGGGTGTTCTAGAGCTTGTCATTGGGCTGCAATGTGCCAGTTCAGAGAGTTCCACATGGGAGGTGTTGGAAAGAAGTGATTTGGAATCGATGCTAGTCAAGGAGTGTGCCTGGGCTAAAGTGGGATCTATCTCTTGTTCATAGCCCAGTTTGTGTTCCTGGGAGAGAAGCAGGTATTTATGGCATCATGACGGGACAGACTGTGGGAATCTGTTGATGATTAAGCTGTGTAATATGTTGAAAGCTGCAACATACCTTTGAAATACAGGCTTGTTGGCCAGGCGCGGTGGCTCATGCCTGTAATCCCAGCACTTTGGGAGGCCGAGAAGAGTGGATCACTGGAGGTCAGGAGTTCAAGACCAGCCTGGCCAACATGGTGAAACCCCATCTCTACAAAAATACAAAAATTAGCCAGGCATGATGGCGGGTGCCTGTATTCCCAGCTACTCGGGAGGCTGAGATGGGAGAATCACTTGAACCCAAGAGGCGGACTTTGCAGTGAGCCAAGATTGCACCATTGCACTCCAGCCTGGGTGACAGAGTGAAACCCCTACTCAGAAAAAAAAAAAAAAAAAAAAAGAAAGAAATACATGCTTGTTGACATGCAACAGAATTGATGAAATTTCTATAACATATCCTTAATGCATAAGTTCTCTGCATCATGTCGTGAGTGTCCTTACACAAAATAAGAAAAGGTATTGCATTAGGTTCAAGAATGAAATTTCAGAGCCAAGGTAATGGATGACCCAGCTGCACACTGATTGAGGAATAATCTGTGAAGAAAAACAACAGGAAAGTGATTTGTGGAAATTCAGCTGCACTGCGAGATCACTGAGATGTAAGGATGTATCCACTTATTCAAGGCCTGAAGTGGTTTTCTGCCTTCACTCCTTATTTATCAGAGAGATACCTATTTTTCTTAAAGGTTCTCAGTAATTCCAGCAGATTCTTCAGTAGATAGCAGAAAATGTATTCAGACTCTGGGAGAAACATTAATTTATTGATTCACTGACTATTTACTGTTTATGATAGGCTATGCACTGTTCTAGGCACTTGAAATGCATCAGGGAAGCTGGGCACGGTGGCTTACACCTGTAATCCCAGCACTTTGGGAGGCCGAGGTGGGCGGATCACCTGAGGTCAGGAGTTCGAGACCAGCCTGGCCAACATAGTGAAACCCCGTCTCTACTAAAAATACAAAAATTAGCTGGGCGTGGTGGTGGGCGCCTGTAGTCCCACCTACTTGGGAGGCTGAGGCAGAAGAATGGCTTGAACCCTGGAGGCGGAGGCTGCAGTGAGCTGAGATCGTGCCACTGCACTCCAGCCTGGGTAACAAAGCGAGACTCGGTCTTAGAAAAAAAAAAAAAAAAGATAAAAGAAATACATCAGGGAATAGAACTCACAAAGATTCTTATACTGTGTGGAGATTGACAGTAAGTCATAAACATAAAAAAGCAAGTAAATATAAAGTTTATTGGAAGGAGATGTGCTATGGAATTAAAAAAAGGTATAGTAGGGGTAAGGGTTACAGGAGTGCTGAGGGTCAGTTGCAGTACTGAGAAGGTGGTCAGAGTGGACCTCATGGGGAAAGTGAAATCTAAGTGAAGACTTAAAAGAGGGAATACCCAGGCACCACCACAGAGAGATAGCAAGCACTCCTGTTTATCTGTGTCCCTTCTCCCCAGGATCCAGTCAAATACCTTATATATAGCAGTGGCTTAATTAATCTTTCTTGATATGAATTAAATTGAAGATGACCACATATTTCTTCAGCATATGGCAAATGGCTTTTTCCAAGAAAAAGAGATAGATGTTTTTATTCTTGCTATATCTCTCTTTTCTTTCCTCCCTCCTTCACTACCCTCTCACTCTTCAATCCATTGTGATCTGGATTCTGTCTTGATCACTCCAGTGAAATGTCCCTATTTTTGCTTTGGCCAAGCTATGGCTGTGAAGAAAATGCTAGAGCTGCTGTGATTTTTCTACTAGCAGCCAAGTGGGAGTGCTAGTGCCACGGTGGGAGTGCAAACAGACCCTTCCTCATTCTAGTGGCCCCCTCATGCCAGGTGCCAGCCACCTAGACCACCAGGACACATTCTCTCCTCTCTCCTCCTGCCATAGAATCCCTGGCAGAGAGCAAGAAGAAACTTACTTTCCTTGGCAGCCAGAGGGGGTAAGATACTAGCTTCCTTTATTCAAGGGGGAAATTGATTTGATTGACAGACTAGAGAGAGCTGCTTCTCATTTAACCCACCAAAAGATATTATATGGCTTTAAGCCGTGTTCAGGAGCACGAGAAGGTAATAAAGTAGGAGTATGACCTTAATTCTCCTGGGAGGGAGAGTTGCTGCCAAACCGACACTCAAATTGTTTCTTTCTTTCCTTTTGCAGGCCCTCTGTGCATGCCATGCTTAATAAGGTAATAAAAAGGTAAGATTATAAAGAAGGAAGAGGCCTATCAAGGAAAGAAGGCTCTTTATTTGCTTTGCTGTCATGGTATCCTTCCCATTCCACTGGCTTCCAGCACATATGTGGTAAGTGGCTGAATGGCAGTAATAGAAGAATGAATGAAGGTTGCATGAATTAGGAAATGAATTTGCAGTGTCCTCAATGTTGTTGTAGTCTTGTGATGGAAAGCAATCCATCTTCCTCTCAAGAGGTGTTTAGCTTGTTCTCAAAACCAGAGCTGCTCCTTGGTCTATAAGTGCTATTGGGGTGTGGCAGCAACCTGGGGTTGGGAGTCTTGGGCTTTACCTTGATGTACTGGGTCACATTAGATGGTTAGCCTATAGTTTATTTGCATCCACCACTGGTTTGCATACACAACTGGGCACATTTTGGGAGCCACGTAAATATTCATGTATAAATTAGTCTCCCTATGCCTTTGATGCCTCAGTTTCCCTGGTTGTAAAATAGTATAATACACTGGAAAGATCCTCTTCAGGCCTTCTCCCAATTATGCATGAAAATACTTTGGCAGGCCAGGAGTGGTGGCTCATGCCTGTAATCCCAGCACTTTGGGAGGCTGAGGTGGGTGGATCATTTGAGGTCAGGAGTTCAAGACCAGCCTGGCCAACATGGTGAAACCCTGTCTCTACTAAAAATACAAAAAAATTAGCTGGGTGTGGTGGCAGACGCCTGTAATCCCAGCTACTTGGGAGGCCGAGGTAGGAGAATCGCTTGAACCCAGGAAGCGGAGGTTGCAGTGAGCTGAGATCATGCCACTGCACTCCAGCCTGGGCAACAGAGGGAGACCAAGACTTAAAACAACAACAACAACAACACAACAAAACTTTGGCAGCATGCTGTTCACAAGAATGGGACCAGGCCTGTGGAGCTTTCTAATACCTTCAGGCACAGTCTTTATAAACACTAGAGAGCATTACTTTGTCTTTCCTGGAAACTTCTAGGTGTTAGGAAGTCCTAGCAGCAGTCCTCAGGGTTCGTAATCATCACATGCCGGTTGCTTATTCAGCAATAATAAGTAACACTGAGTGCTATGTAAATATCGAGCCCTTTCCTAGACGCTTGTGCTTACTTCATTTAATCCTCACAACATGAGGCAGGTAAGTACTATTAGTATCCCCATCTTACAGATGAGAAAACTGAGCCCCAGATAGATTACATTACTAAGTTTTCCAAGACTTATAGCTGACAAGTAGAAGAGCCAGGATATGAACCCAAGCAATTAAGCTCTAGAAGTTCTCTTCTAGCCATTGAGTTGTACTGGTTGTTCTTCAGCAACTGCTAACACAGTATGAGAGTTTTACAGGAATCTTGAGCAAGCTTTGCTGGTAAAGGAAATGTTCTATAGTTGTCTCTGTAATTTTTTTTTGAAGAGATTCCAGTGGGAGAAAGTACATAGCTAGTAACAGTTCTATTCTTCTTGTTAAGGGCACAGGCTAGGACATCATAGCAGCGTTCTTCACTACATCATAAGTCTACTTATGTTAATATATGTAGCAGCCATTCTGAAACTCTGCATTTCTGCTTGTTAAAAAGGAGGTGAAAAATGACCAACAACACAAACTTCGAGAAGCATATGCAAATACTACAGTTGTATTCAATATCAACTTTTATTGTAGCTTCCCCATAAGCAATTCTGAGATTATAAATACAGTCGTCTCTCAGTATTGTCAGGAGATTGATTCCAGGACACCCGTGAATACCAAAATCCACAGATGCTCAAGTGTCTGATATAAAATGGTATAGTGTTTGCATATAACCTACACACATCTTCTTGTATACTGTAAATCATGTCTAGATAACTTATAATACCTATTACAATGTATATGCTATGTAAACAGTTGTTATTCTGTATTTTTTCACTTGTATTATTTTGATTGTTGTATTGTTAGTTTTAATTATTATTATTTTTCAAATATTTTCAACTCATAGTTGGCTGAATCCATGGATGTGGAACCATGGATACTGAGGGCCACCTGTCATTGCTTCCAGGTGACTGTTACTTGTTTAGCATCTGTCACTTTTCTCTTCCACTGCTCACTTTTTTTTTTTTTTTTTCAGACAGAGTCTCGCTCTGTAGCCCAGGCTGGAGTGCAGTGGCGCAATCTCGGCTCACTGCAACCTCCGCCTCCAGGGTTCAAGCAATTCTCCTGTCTCAGCCTCCCAAGCTGGGACTACAGGGGCCCACCACCATGCCTGGCTAATTTTTGTAATTTTAGTAGAAATGGAATTTCACCATGTTGGCCAGGCTGGTCTCAAACTTCTGACCTCAGGTGATTCACCCACCTTGGACTCCCAAGGTGCTGGGATTACAGGTGTGAGCCACCATGCCTGGCCTCCACTGCTCATTTTTTAAAAAATCTAAATTTAAGAACAATCCATGAATTACTGGGGCAATTGCTTTTTTTGACAGATAATATAGCCATGGAAATTCCTTCTCAATCATTGTTCTGCTGACTAACTCAGGCCACCGTATTTACTGTAGGCTAAGGACAATGGGGGTTACATGGAAGCCACGATGTCTGTCTTACTGGAGGTTTTCTATCCATTGGAGAAACAAGAATATGTACATGGATAATTAAAGGATAGGATGAAGTAGCATTTGGTATGTGTACTGGGGGTGGCACAGACACTATGCTCCACGGGAATGAACTAATGATGGAGCTGGAGTGGTCAAGGAGAAGGTCATGGAGGAGGGCAGCTTTACTCCTACTGAATGGGATGGGGAGGATTTTGATGGGTGCAGAGAAGCAAAATTGCATTTCTAGTCTCATGTGTTATTGAGGCAGCATAGTTCAGGGGCTCTAAGAAAAGTTTCTGGAACAAGGCTGCTTGGGTTTAGATCCTGATTCTGCTACTTTTTAGCTGTAAATCTAAAGAAAAGTAGAAATTTGACTTCTCTGAGGTTTAGTTTTCTAATCTCTAAGGAGGTAGAAGGAGGAAAAGAGAATTTCAGTCAGGGTCCCAACAGGAAACAGATGGTGTCCTCTAAACAGGATGATTTATTTACAAGTATTAGTGCAGTAACGTGGAGCAGGAGCGGTGAGGGGAGAGGATAGGATATTATTATTAGATCCTTAGGATTGAGTGGGAAAGAAGGGTCCCTAGGAGCAGTAAGCCCAGTGTGG